>NC_000002.12:237843128-238196638 GCF_000001405.40 Homo sapiens
CTATGTAGCTGTGATTTTGTATCCTTAAACAAATCTCTCCCTATCTTCCCCTTCCCAGTCTTTAGTATCCTTTGTTCTACCTTTTATTTCTATGATATCAACTTTTCTTTAGCTTCCACATGAGTAAGAACATACAGTGTTTAACTTTCTGTTCCTGGCTTATTTCACTTAACATAATGTCTGCTAGTTCCATCCATTGCCACAAATGACAGGATTCATTCTTTTTTATGGCCGAATAGTATTCCACTGTGTATATATATCACATTTTATTTATCCATTCATCTTTGTTGGACACTTAGTTTAACTTCATATCTTGCCTGTTGTGAATAGTGCCATACCACTCTTTTTTTTTATACTTTAAGTTCTAGGGTACGTGTGCACAACATGCAGGTTTCTTACATATGTATACATGTGCCATGTTGGTGTGCTGCACCTGTTAACTCATCATTTACATTAGGTATATCTCTTAATGCTATCCTTCTCCCCTCCCCCTACCCCACGACTGGCCCCGGTGTGTGATGTTCCCCACCCTGTGTCCAAGTGTTCTCATTGTTCAGTTCCCACCTATGAGTGAGAACATGCAGTGTTTGGTTTTCTGTCCTTGCAATAGTTTGCTCAGAATTATGGTTTCCAGCTTCATCCGTGTCCCTACAAAGGACACGAACTCATCCTTTTTTATGGCTGCATAGTATTCCATGGTGTATATGTGCCACATTTTCCTAATCCAGTCTATCATTGATGGACATTTGGGTTGGTTCCAAGCCTTTGCTATTGTGAATAGTGCCACAATAAACATACATGTGCATATGTCTTTATAGCAGCATGATTTATAATCCTTTGGGTATATGCCCAGTAATGGGATGGCTGGGTCAAATGGTATTTCTAGTTCTAGATCCTTGAGGAATCGTCACATTGTCTTCCACAATGGTTGAACTAGTTTACAGTCCCACCAACAGTGTAAAAGCGTTCCTATTTCTCCACATCCTCTCTAGCACCTGTTGTTTCCTGACTTGTTAATGATTGCCATTCTAACTGGTGTGAGAAGGTATCTCATTGTGGTTTTGATTTGCATTTCTCTGATGGCCAGTGATGATGAGCATTTTTTCATGTGCCTGTTGGCTGCATAAATGTCTTCTTTTGAGAAGTGTCTGTTCATATCCTTCGCCCACTTTGTGATGGGGGTTGTTCGATTTTTTCTTGTAAATTTGTTTAAGTTCTTTGTAGATTCTGGATATTAGCCCTTTGTCAGATGGGTAGATTGTAAAAATTTTCTCCCACTCTGTAGGTTGCCTGTTCATTCTGATGGTAGTTTCTTTTGCTGTGCAGAAGCTCTTTAGTTACGTTAGATCCCATTTGTCAAATTTGGCTTTTGTTGCCATTGTTTTTGGTGTTTTAGTCATGAAGTCCTTGCCCGTGCCTATGTCCTGAATGGTATTGCCTAGGTTTTCTTCTAGGGTTTTTATGGTTTTAGGTCTAACATTTAAGTGTTTAATCCATCTTGAATTAATTTTTGTATAAGGTGTAAGGAAGGGATCCAGTTTCAGCTTTCTACATATGACTAGCCAGTTTTCCCAGCACCATTTATTAAATAGGGAATCCTTTCCCCATTTCTTCTTTTTGTCAGGTTTGTCAAAGATTAGATGGTTGTAGATGTGTGGTAGTGTTTCCGAGGGCTCTATTCTGTTCCATTGGTCTACATCTCTGTTTTGGTACCAGTACCATGCTGTTTTGGTTACTGTGGCCTTGTAGTATAGTTTGAAGTCAGGTAGTGTGATGCCTCTAGCTTTGTTCTTTTGGCTTAGGATTGTCTTGGCAATGCGGGCTCTTTTTTGGTTCCATATGAACTTTAAAGTAGTTTTTTCCAATTCTGTGAAGAAAGTCATTGGTAGCTTGATGGGCATGGCATTGAATCTATAAATTATCTTGGGCAGCATGGCCATTTTCACAATATTTATTCTTCCTATCCATGAGCATGGAATGTTCTTCCATTTGTTTGTGTCCTCTTTTATTTCGTTGAGCATGGTTTGTAGTTCTTGAAGAGGTCCCTCACATCCCTTGTAAGTTGGATTCCTAGGTATTTTATTCTCTTTGAAGCAATTGTGAGTGGGAGTTCACTCATGATTTGGCTCTCTGTCTGTTATTGGTGTATAGGAATGCTTGTGATTTTTGCACGTTGATTTTGTATCCTGAGACTTTGCTGAAGTTGTTTATCAGCTTAAGGAGATTTTGGGCTGAGACGATGGGGTTTTCTAAATATACAATCATGTCATCTGCAAACAGGGACAATTTGACTTCCTCTTTTCCTAATTGAATACCCTTTATTTCTGTCTTTTGCATGATTGCCCTGGCCAGAACTTCCAACACTATGTTGAATAGGAGTGGTGAGAGAGGGCATCCCTGTCTTGTGCCAGTTTTCAAAGGGAATGCTTCCAGTTTTTGCCCATGCAGTATGATATTGGCTGTGGGTTTGTCATAAATAGCTCTTATTATTTTGAGATACATCCCATCAATACCTAGTTTATTGAGAGTTTTTAGTATGAAGGGCTGTTGAATTTTGTCAAAGGCCTTTTCTGCATCTATCGAGATAATCATGTGGTTTTTGTCTTTGGTTCTGTTTATATGATGGATTACGTTTATTGATTTGCATATGTTGAACCAGCCTTGCATCCCAGGGATGAAGCCAAGTTGATTGTGGTGGATAAGCTTTTTGATGTGCTACTGGATTCGGTTTGCCAGTATTTTGTTGAGGATTTTTGCATCAATGTTTATCAGGGATATTGGTCTAAAATTCTCTTTTTTTGTTTTGTCTCTGCCAGGCTTTGGTATCAGGATGATATTGGCCCCTAAAATGAATTAGGGAGGATTCCCTCTTTTTCTATTGATTGGAATAGTTTCAGAAGGAATAGTACCAGCTCCTCTTTGTACCTCTGGTAGAATTCGGCTTGTGAATCCGTCTGGTCCTGGACTTTTTTTGGTTGTCAGGCTATTAATTATTGCCTCAATTTCAGAACCTGTTATTGGTCTATTCAGGGATTCAACTTCCTGGCTTAGTCTTGGGAGGGTGTATGTGTCCAGGAATTTATCCATTTCTTCTAGATTTTCTAGTTTATTTCTGTAGAGGTGTTTATAGTATTCTCTGATGGTAGTTTGTATTTCTGTGGGATCAGTGGTGATATCCCCTTTATCATTTTTTATTGCATCTATTTGATTCTTCTCTCTTTTCTTCTTTATTAGTCTTGCTGGTGGTCTATCAATTTTGTTGATCTTTTCAAAAAACCAGCTCCTGGATTCATTGATTTTTTGAAGGGTTTTTTTGTGTCTCTATCTCCTTCAGTTCTGCTCTGATCTTAGTTATTTCTTGCCTTCTGCTAGCTTTTGAATGTGTTTGCTCTTGCTTCTCTAGTTCTTTTAATTATGATGTTAGGTATCAATTTTAGATCTTTCCTGCTTTCTCTTATGGGCATTTAGTGCTATAAATTTCCCTCTACACACTGCTTTAAATATGTCCCAGAGATTCTGGTATGTTGTGTCTTTGTTCTCATTGGTTTCAAAGAACATCTTTATTTCTGCCTTCATTTCGTTATGTACCCAGTAGTTATTCAGGAGCAGGTTGTTCAGTTTCCATGTAGTTGAGCAGTTTTGAGTGAGTTTCTTAATCCTGGTTCTAGTTTGATTGCACTGTGGTCTGAGAGACAGTTTGTTATAATTTCTGTTCTTTTACATTTGCTGAGGAGTGCTTTACTTCCAAGTATGTGGTCAATTTTGGAATAAGTGTGATGTAGTGCTGAGAAGAATGTATATTCTGTTGATTTGGGGTGGAGAGTTCTGTAGATGTCTATTAGGTCTGCTTGGTGCAGAGCTGAGTTTAATTCCTGGATATCCTTGTTAACTTTCTGTCTCGTTGATCTGTCTAATGTTGACAGTGGGGTGTTAAAGTCTCCCATTATTATTGTGTGGGAGTCTAAGTCTCTTTGTAGGTCTCTAAGGACTTGCTTTATGAATCTGGATGCTCCTGTATTGGGTGCATATATATTTAGGATAGTTAGCTCTTCTTGTTGAATTGATCCCTTTACCATTATGTAATGGCCTTCTTGGTCTCTTTTGATCTTTGTTGGTTTAAAGTCTGTTTTATCAGAGACTAGGATCGCAACCCTTGCTTTTTTTTGTTTTCCATTTGCTTGGTAGATCTTCCTCCATCCCTTTATTTTGAGCCTATGTGTGTCTCTGCACGTGAGTTGGGTCTCCTGAATACAGCACACTGCTGGGTCTTGACTCTTTATCCAATTTGCCAGTCTGTGTCTTTTAATTGGAGCATTTAGCCCATTTACATTTAAGGTTAATATTGTTATGTGTGAATTTGGTCCTGTCATTATGATGTTAGCTGGTTATTTTGCTCATTAGTTGATGCAGTTTCTTCCTAGCATTGATGGTCTTTACAATTTGGCATGTTTTTGCCATGGCTGGTACCGGTTGTTCCTTTCCATGTTTAGTTCTTCCTTCAGGAGCTCCTGTAAGGCAGGCCTGGTGGCGACAGAATCTCTCAGCATTTGTTTGTCTGTAAAGGATTTTATTTCTCCTTCACATATGAAGCTTAGTTTGGCTGGATATGAAATTCTGGGTTGAAAATTCTTTTCTTTAAGAATGTTGAATGTTGGCCCCGACTCTCTTCTGGCTTGTAGAGTTTCTGCCAAGAGATCTGCTGTTAATCTCATGGGCTTCCCTTTGTGGGTAACCTGACCTTTCTTTCTGGCTGCCCTTAACATTTTTTCCTTCATTTCAACTTTGGTGAGTCTGACAATTATGTGTCTTGGAGTTGCTCTTCTTGAGGAGTATTTTTGTGGCGTTCTTTGTATTTCCTGAATTTGAGTGTTGACCTGCCTCGCTAGGTTGGGGAAGTTCTCCTGGATAATATCCTGAAGAGTGTTTTCCAACTTGGTTCCATTCTCCCCATCACTTTCAGGTACACCAATCAGATGTAGATTTGGTCTTTTCACATAGTCCCATATTTCTTGGAGGCTTTGTTCATTTCTTTTTACTCTTTTTTCTCTAAACTTCTCTTCTCACTTCATTTCATTTATTTGATCTTCAATCACTGATACCCTTTCTTCCACTTGATCAAATCGGCTACTGAAGCTTGTGCATGCATCCGTAGTTCTCGTGCCTTACCGTCAGATCATTTAAGGACTTCTCTACACTGTTTATTCTAGTTAGCCATTCATCTAATCTTTTTTCAAGGTTTTTAGCTTCTTTGTGATGAGTTCGAACATCCTCCCTTAGCTCAGAGAAGTTTGTTTTTACTGATCGTCTGAAGCCATCTTCTCTCAACTCATCAAAGTCATTCTCTGTCCAGCTCTGTTCCATTGCTGGCGAGGAGCTGCATTCCTTTGGAGGACAAGAGGCGCTCTGATTTTTAGAATTTTCAGCTTTTCTGCTCTGGTTTCTCCCCATCTTTGTAGTTTTATCTACCTTTGGTCTTTGATGATGGTGACGTACAGATGGGGTTTTGGTGTGGATGTCCTTTCTGTTTGTTAGTTTTCCTTGTAACAGTCAGGGCCCTCAGCTGCAGGTCTGTTGGAGTTTGCTGGAGGTCCCCTCCAGGCCCTGTTTGCCTGGGTATTACCAGCAGATGCTGCAGCAAACATTGCAGAATGGCAGATGTTGCTGCCTGATCCTGTGTCTGGAAGCTTCGTCTCAGAGGGGCACCCGGCTGTATGAGGTGTCAGTCAGCCCCTACCAGGAGGTGTCTCCCAGTTAGACTACTCGGGGGTCAGGGACCCACTTGAAGAGGCAGTCTGTCCATTCTCAGATCTCAAACTCCATGCTGGGAGAACCACTACTCTCTTCAAAGCTGTCAGACAGGGATGTTTAAGTCTGCAGAAGTTTCTGCTGCCTTTTATTCAGCTATGCCCTGCCCACAGAGGTGGAGTCTACAGAGGCAGGCAAGCCTCCTTGAGCTGCGGTGGGCTCCGCCCAGTTCGAGGTTCCTGGCCACTTTGTTTACCTACTCAAGCCTCAGCAATGGCGGATGCCCCTTCCCAGCCTCGCTGCCGCCTGGCAGTTCAATCTCAGACTGTTGCGCTAGCAGTGAGTGAGGCTCCATGGGCGTGAGACCCTCTGAGCTAGGTACGGGATATAATCTCCTGGTGTGCCGTTTGCTAAGGCCTTTGGAAAAGCGCAGTATTAGGGTGGGAGTGTCCCGATTTTCCAGGTATCGTCTGTCATGGCTTCCCTTTGCTAGGAAAGGGAATTCCCTGACCCCTTGCACTTTCCAGGTGAGGCGATGCCCCACCCTGCTCCGTGGGCTGCACCCACTGTCTGACAAGCCCCAGTGAGATGAACCCGGTGCCTCAGTTGGAAATGCAAAAATCACCCATCTTCTGTGTTGCTTACGCTGGGAGCTGCAGACTACAGCTATTCCTATTCAGCCATCTTGGAACCTCCATCTGGCATTTTCCAAGTATAATTTAGCCTACCAGTGTTGACATGGAATATACATGAATGGTAAGGCAATATATCAAATGACTGGATTTCAAATGTTTCCTCTTTTATGGGATTTATAAAAGAATTGAATATATTTGAGAATAAGGTTTTATTTCATATATTAATTTGTCTCCAGTTATTATCAGATCCACTCAAAATGTCCACCAGGAATTGGGTTCCAAAAAGTAATAATAATAATAATAATAATAATAATAATAATAATTTAAAAGGACTATATTTGATGAAACACAAAAATCATTGGCTTTAGCCATATATCAAATTAGTAAAATCCTAATTTTACTAATTAAATTACTAATTAAATTTTACTAAAATTATGGATATTTTTCCTGTATGTTAATTTTATGGTTATTTATATTAAAAGGCTACATTCAGAGCATTGAATAAAGTAGCAACATGGAATAGGTGTTATTTTCAACATACCCATAGAAATAAGAAGCATACCTCTAATCATTTGTTTCCCAGAGGAATGATGAAGTGGAATTCCATTCTAGAATACATAGAGACAAAATTACTGCCTTTGATTTGGGGAAAATATAGAAAGAGTCACTTGAAATTCTAATTTTCAGCACCGGGCATGGTGGCTCACACCTGTAATCCCAGCACTTTGGGGAGGCCGAGGCAGGTGGATCACGAGGTCAGGAATTCGAGACCAGCCTGGCCAACATGGTGAAACCTCCTCTCTACTGAAAATACAAAAATTAGCCGGGCATGGTGGCATGCACCTGTAATCCCAGCTACTTTGGAGCCTGAGGCAGGAGAATCGCTTGAACCCGGGAGGCGGAGGTTGCAGTGAGCCGAGATCTTGCCACTGAACTCCAGCCTGGGCAACAGAGTGAGACCCCATCTCAGCGTGGTGGAGGTGGGGAGGAAAGTAATTCTAACTGTCTCACGTGTCCGTGTGAAGAGGCCACCAAATAGGCTTTGTGTGAGCAACATGGCTGTTTATTTCACCTGGGTGCAGGTGGGCTGAGTCTGAAAAGAGAGTCAGCAAAGTGTGGTGGATTATCATTAGTTCTTAAGGTTTTGGGATAGGTGGTGGAGTTAAGAGCAATGTTTTGTGGGCAGGTGGTGGATCTCACAAAGTACATTCTCAAGGGTGGGGAGAATTACAAAGAACCTTCTTAAAGGTGGGGGAGATTACAAAGTACATTGATCAGTTAGCTTGGGGCAGAAATAAATCACAATGCTGGAACGTCATCAGTTAAGGCTATTTTCACTTCTTTTGTGGATCTTCAGTTGCTTCAGGCCATCTGGATGTATACGTACAGGTCACTGGGAATATGATGGCTTAGCTTGGGCTCAGAGGCCTGACACTAACTTTCAGGTTTTTTGAAGTAAAGTCCTATCCAAAAGCTAAAGGTAAAGATCAGGCAGCTTTCGTAAATTAAAGGGCTTTCAGCTGTGACCAGTAAATTGCTAGCTGTTACGAAGCTTCCCAAGTTAAATTTAGAAACTAGAGTTATTTTTCATGAATCTTTTGGAACCTCAAGTGAAAAATCTCTGTTTATCTTATTCTGTAAAATCTCTAACTTGATATTAGATAATTGGATAAAATTATTGTAGAATTTTAAAAGACTGGTCAAATTGTCCCAAGTTTTCATAGATCTTCACTAGCAAAAATTTAGATAATTTAACATACATTAGTGCTCAAAATCAATTTTCTTTCACACTGTTGTATTAGATACCAAAGAGCACTTAGCTATATCAACTAGAATATATAGATAATTAATATGTTTGGAGATAACCAGAGATTTGGAAAATTGTAAATACCATAAGACAATCAGCAAAAACAGTGGAACTAAAAATTCCCAATTGGCTCTGCCTGATGCCAATCTATACTGGTCAAAGGAGATACTATGTGTGACTCAGAAGCTCAATGTAACAGGTAATTTCTCTTTTAAAAAATAGATCTCAACCAGTAATCTCTATACATGGGCTTAAGTACTGCTTTTTCAGTATTGACATTGTTATGTATTATCAAATACATATGTGGCACGTAGTAGTAACATATTTTAACGTGGGCAGGACAGTGACCTTCTAAAATGTCCTGTTGTCATCTGGATCCTGTGATGTGTTGTACATGACAAAGAGAATTAAGGTTGCAGATGCAAGTAAGATTGTTAATTAGCCGACTTTTGAGATTAGGAGCTTATCCTGGATTATCTGGCCGGACTCAATCTAATTACATGAGTCCTTAAAAGTGGTAGAGGAGGCAGAAGAGAGAACCAGAGAAATGGCATTGTGAGAACTCAACACGCTCCTGCTGGCTTTGAAGACAGAATGAGGGGCCGAGAGCCAGTGGACAGCCCCCGGAAGCTGGAAAAGGTGGGAAACAGGGGCTCCCTAGAGCTTCCAGAAGGAATGCAGCTTTGCTGAAACCCTGATTTTAGTCTAGTGAGATCTGTGTCAGACTTCTTTTTTTGAGACAGAGTCTTGCTCTGTCACTCAAGCTCGAGTGCAGTGGCGCAATCTTGCCTCACTGCAACCTCCACCTCCTGGGTTCAAGCAATTCTCCTGCCTCAGCCTCCTAAGTAGCTGGGATTACAGGCATCCGCCACCATACTCGGCTAATTTTTTTTTGTATTATTATTATTTTTGTTTGAGATGGAGTCTCACTCTGATGCCCAGGCTGGAGTGCAGTGGCACAATCTTGGCTCACTGCAACCTCCGCCTCCCGGGCTCAAGCGATTCTCCTGCCTCAGCCTCCCGAGTAGCTAGGACTACAGGCATGCACCACCACACCCATTTAATTTTTGTATTTTTAGTAGAGATGGGGTTTTGCCATGTTGGCCAGGCTGGTCTTGAACTCCTGAGGTGATCCACCTGCCTTGGCCTCCCAAAGTGCTAGGATTACAGGCATGAGGCTTTTTTTTTTTTGTATTTTTTAGTACAAAAATACAAAACGGGGTTTCACCACATTGGCCAGGCTGGTTTCAAACTCCTGACCTCAAGTGATCCGCCTGCCTCAGCCTCCCAAAGTGCTAGGATTACAGGCATGAGCCACCATGCCCGGCTTGGTTCATCTTTAATATCAGCTATTTAAGAGGGTCTGAAGGGCTTTCTTTAAAGCTTTACTGCACAGGCCTAGAGTGAAGCATTTACCATGGTGTATGGCGCAGTCAAGGTTTGCTGCTGCTGCTGGTGGTAGTGCTGTCATCTAGCAGTGTGTCATGGTGCATCTTTGTTAGTAACCTTACCCTGACTTTGTTGTAATAATCTGTTGTTTTACTTCATTCTTTCTTAATTTATTTTTATTCCTCTTCTATTAATGTCTGTAACCTGCTTCAGTATTTATTAGAATAAGGCAGACCATAGGTTGGCTTGCTAGTCAGGGGACACGTGATTGCAAATAATAGAAACATAAACTAGCAAAAGTACAAGAAAATGGAAATGAACGTACATAGTTGAATACTCCAGAAATGAATTCAGGTGAAGCTGGATATGCTTTCTTCTGGGTTGGCATCAGGCTCCGCACACATAAGGGCAAAGATGGTCGCTAACAGGTTTATCTAATTTATGTAATTCTCTGAGTTACTAATTCGAGGAAAAAAATCGTGTAACTCCAGCAAAACCCCGGGGAAGACTCTGATGATAGGCCTGGGCTCCACAAACACCCATGAAGTGAAGAGTGGCCAGAGAACAGGAAACCTGATTCTCCAGTGAGAAGCAGAATAAGCAGGAGGCATTTTTCCCTCATTTTATAATACAAAGGCTTTGTTATACAGACTTTAATTATGTTTGTATACATAAACATATGCCGATATATATGTATACCTACATTCACAGTAAAGTCACTAGCTTTGGCTTTCTAAATGCTTCCAACACTGTCAGATGCTTCAGATGTGAAGGATTTGTTTATGCCTCTCTCAAACACTCACATTACCCTGAGTAATTAGGAATGGTTCCAGTGTTCACTAAGAATTACTGGGAAGTAGGAACACAGGCAATGTTAAGAGTTGGGTATATGACTGCTTATTTGACCTTTTAATTTAGGAGTAGTTTTATTGCTAATATATTAGGTATATACGATCTTTTTATTTAGTCTAAAATATAGTCTATATAAGTCTTATATAAGTCTAAAATAGTTTTAGACTTACAGAAAAGTTGCAAAAAATACCATAGGAAGTTAATGTCTGCCATTCATTCCACTTCCCCTAATGTTAACAACTCCTGTAACCATAGTAAAATTATCAAAACTAAGAAATTAACACTGGTGCAATGCTATTAACCACAAATCTTACTCATTTTTACCAATTTTCTTCCTAATGTTCTTTTTCTGTTTTAGGATCCGATCCAGTAGCCCACACTGCATTTAGTTATTGTGCTTTCTTCATCCTCCATCCTTCATCTGTGACAGTTCCTCAGTATTTTCTTGAGTTTCATGACTATTGTCATGGTAGTGAATTGTTTTATCTTGACATTTGATGAGTATTAATTGGTTATTTTGTAGATTACCTCTTAATTTGGATGTATCTGATGTTTTCTCATGATTAGATTGAGCTATACGTTTTTATGAGTACCACAGAAATAACGTCTCTTTCTTAGCACATCATACCTGGGGATAATATCTTTTACAGGTGATGTTATCCTTGATCACTTGGTTCAGGTGGCTTCTGCTGGGTTCCTGCACTATGAGGTTAATGGTTTTCCTTTGTAATTGAAGGAGCTCTTTGAGAGTACACAAATATGCTGCTCCTGAAACATTTGGTCACTGGTTCTAGTATTCGTCAAATCTTGGCTGAAACAGTTATTCTTGTGGTGTTTGCTTAATGATGATTTTGTGTGTCTCTCATCCCTTCTATATTTATTACTTGGAATTTTTCTGTAAGGAGGAGCCACACCTTGTCCCCTGTTTATTCAGTGTTTTATATCAGTATGCACTCGATGTTTATTTTGTTCTGTGCATTACAATAGTGTTCTTTTCTTACTTCGTTGCTCACATTATTCCAGCATTAGCCATTAGGAGCTTCTTCAGGTTGGGGTCTGTGTCCTTTTGAAAAACCCATTCTTTTTTAAGTACTTATTTTCTGGCATCACAGGATATTTTTGGCTCATCTTGTACATTCCCTGCCCCAGCACTGGACTCCACCACTTCAACAAGCTGTTTCCTTTTATTGGAGAATAGTATTTAGAAACGAAGACCTGGTCAGGAGGTTTGCTTGTTGCTGTTGGAGTTGGTCTTAGGCTCTCTCGGTAGATATAGCTGGGAAATATGTGCGTGTGTATTAATCCAAGCAAACAGACACACTTGTATTTTGTCCCTGTATTTACAGCTAGTCATCAGCACCATATATCTGTGTGTGTTCATACTGATACTTTGAATTTCTGTCCCTTATTTCTACCTTATACCAATAGTGAGAAAACTGGCTCACGTTATTCACAATTTATTTATGTATTTATTTGCTCAATCCTACTATACACGTAAAGTCATTACAGCGTTGCTAAACCATGGCCCTGTAAGAAACAGATTTACTAACTGGAGTACGTCATTTGTGTACAGTTCTTTTGTCTTTTGCTCTTTTGTCTAAATGTGCTTAGGTTATGTCTTTTATTCCTGATCCACCCAGGGTGGCTATGTTACACATTTGTAATATAGTCTCCTAGAGGTTAGGGGTTCCTTCAGTTTGTATGTCTGACATTTCATGTCCCGGTTTTCTGCAGTAGCTCTAGATGGACTTGTCTCTTGTTTGTCTCTATGGTATTGGGGTATTTTAAATTTTTCACGTCTAGAGTGTTAAGAGTTCGTCTTTCTGGAGATTGTTTCATATCACCCGTAGGCCTGTTCATCAGCCTCCCTCTTGGCTCCACGATTTTTCTCAGTCTGCCTTTGCTCACACTAAGCATGTGGCTGGCTGAGGGTAGTATAGGAGTGTGAGTTGTGTAGTGGGATTTGGTGGGAATTTTTTCCCTGTTACTCAGCTCCTTTGCAGTTGGAAAATTCTCCAAGTAATGCTGAGGACAGTTTTATATAGAATTTATTTTTCACTTCTTGTTTTTTGTTTGTTTTGTTTCTTGGGGGAATAGGGGAGATAGGCAACTTCTGTTCTCAGCTACTTGCAAGTGTGTTGGTTTTAACAGTGGGACTTCCTGCAGGACTTGAAAAATTGATAGTTGATGAACCTGAGTTCCCTGAGATACTGCTGTTTTTGTTAGTGTTTATCCAGCAATTGCACGATTTAAACAACTCACAGAACTAAGTTGTTATTGCTTATAAGCATGTTATCTTCAGAACCACTGATTCATTATTGATAATGATTGAAGTTCAGCCTTTAAATTGCAGGCCTGATAGTGAGGACACCAGTGGAGTCTTCCCCTTCATATCAGCAAGTTATTGAAAAACTATCTGTAGAATATTTGATGCTTTTTTCCTTCCAGTACTTAAAAACGTTCCATTGTATTCTGGTGGCATTATATCCCATGAGAACTCTTCTGTCACCCTTACCTGTGTTTTGTACATCAGCAGTCCCTAGCCTTTTTGGCACCAGGGACTGGTTTTGTGGAAGACAATTTTTCCATGGGGTGAGAGGGGGATGGTTTAGGGATGAAACGGTTCCACCTCAGATCATCATTCTCATAAGAAGTGCAACCTAGATCCCTTGCATGAACAGTTCACGGTAGGGTTAGATCAGCTACTGCTGATCTAACAAGATGCGGACCTCAGCTTCACTAGCTCACCCGCTGCTCACCTCCTGCTGTGAGGCCAGGTTCCTAACAGGCCATGATCTGGTACTCCTGTGGGGTTGGGGGACCCCTGCTATACGTAATGTCTTCTCTCTCTGGCTGCTTTTAAGGTTTTCTCTTTATTACTGGCTTTAGGCAATTTGATCGTGATGTGCTTTCACATATTTTTCTAAATGATTTTTGTGCTTGGAGTTTGGGGATGTTCTTGGCTCATGGGTTAATAGAAAATGTTCCACATAGTGGTTTTTCACATATTTCCCACCCATCTTCCTCCAGGGGCTCCAGTTACACCTTAGAGTTGCCACCTGGAGTTGCCTCATGGCTCTCTGATGCTTTGTTCTTTTATTGTTTTTAAGTTACGGGATGTAATAGCTACTTGGAAATCATTTGCTCCTGTTAGTTCTTGCTTTTAAGTTTTGTTAGGCAGCACCAGAATAGCCTTTGTAATTTTTACTGACTACAGAGAGGGACTTGCCCTTCTAATTATGCTCTGATGTTCTGTGTATTTCAAGATTTTTCCACTATGGTTGGTGGGAACTGGAACTATTCCCAGCTGGGTGTGGGCTCTTAGGCTCTTTTCCCTTGGGTAGTGTCCTTAGATGTGTGGGCTGAGACTCAAGTGGGACCCTCTGTGATCTCGCAAGCGCATTCTTTGCGCAGCTCTTTCCTCTCTGGTACTATGCCCTGCCAGCGTTAACTGCCTGGCTTCCCCAGACTCTCTTTGGGTTTCCTTTCTCCATCTGTGGTCTGCAAACTCCAGGCAGTGAGCAGTTGTAGCACTCACCTTATTTGTTTCCCTGCTCTCAGGGGTCCCTGCACTTCTTGTGGTCCACTGTGACAACTGTTGTTTCATACATTTTGTCCAGTTTTTTAGTTTAAGATGGGAAGGTGAGTCCAGTCCCTGTAACTTCATCTCGGCTGGAAGCAGGAATCTTATGTTAATAGTGAATTTTTAGCAGTGTTGACCAGGCTTTGATTGTATCTTTAGCCCTACTGTGTATGCAGTAAAGCACTTGGCCATTTTCTAATCTCTTCTATTGTTTAACCTAATGCCCCTCTAGATTGAGGTACCCTGGGAGAGGAATGATTTTCCATGCTACCTATGACCAATTAGAAATACAGATACATCAGACTACAACTTTTGAAGACGGGAAGCCCATAGTAGTTGCTAAGGAATGTCTTACTTAGACCCAAGGTACAGACAGGAAAATCATTAGGAGAGAACATGCCTCTAGGTGTGTGCCTTACTTCAGCATTCTCCAGAGAACTGTGAATTTCTAAAGCATGTGAACTTGAGAAATAGGCTTTGTCTTCTTAGGAAAATGTATCCTTTAGGGGGTGTTGAGAAAACAGCAGTGACAGGGGCCTCTGGCCTTGCCTCCTTGCAGTCAAGCTTCAAAGAGAAAACGTTGGGAAGAAAGACTCCTGCTGAGCCTGATGAAAGAGGAGTCCCAGTTGCCAACCAAAAACATGCAGCCAAAGTCCACAAGCTACAAGTAGAAAGGGTGGCTCAAGCCAGAGTCCCTGGATATGGAGGGCGAGTGATGGCTGCAGAAAGATGCAGGTTCTTCTCCCCCACTATGACTGGCCATCGCCTAGTGCAGGATGTACGGTGGCCCTGTCCCAGGGCTGTGCTGGCAGCCACCCTTCCCCACTAGCTGTGCTGCTCTCACATGGCACGGCCTCTGGCTGCCAGGCCTGTGCTCGGGCCTGCATTTCCCTTGTGCCCTTCTCTCCACCCAGCCCTCAGGACTGCCTGGGCTGCATTTTGTCCAGAATCCTTTGTCTCCTTACTTGCACTGCAGCTGAGGCGAGTGTCCCTTGTTCCGGGTGGCTCCTGTATTGTGGCGCTCATGTTATTGAGAGTCTTAGAGGTCACCCCCTAGATTCACCAATTGAAGGGCAGGGCTTGTCGATCTAACAGTGTCTTGCACATAGGGACACAAATGTCTGTTAAATGAAGAAAGTAGGGATGCCAGGCCACCCAATGGGGTGTATCTCCTAGGGTTCAAGAACAAGGGCTAATCAAGTCAAGAGAATGTGTGCCCTCCCCCACCATCTCACCCCTCACTCTCAGAACACTTGGGGCCCCTGCACAGGTGGTAGGCATGCTGGCCCTGAGTGCCCTCCCAGCCTGTGTTAGAAGAACCAGTGGATGACCTCGCTGTCAGCTGTCTCCCCTTCTCTGAGCTTACTGCAGGTGGCAGCAGCCTCTCAGCCACAGACTGTTCCCTTTCCTAGGAGAAAACGATGGTCACTCAGCAATGCTGTGCGCTTGCAGCTTCCACCACAAAAGAGACAGCTGTGGCCGCAGCACCAGGGTGGTGATTCTTCCCCCTCCAAGGGCAGTGGTGCATTCCTTAGCACAAGTATAAATTTACTGTTGCTAAGAGTTCTCGGAACAGGATAATACAAGAAGGAACCACTGCAAGTGAAATCCAGCCACCAGTAATGCCGAGAGGCCAGGCCTGTGCCTCCCAAAACCTGCTCCTCCGCAGGCTTCCCCGGCCCATCTCCAGAGCGCCCTCCTCTCACCACTTTACATAAACGAATGTACCCAAGATCCCCCATCAGTTTTCCATGCAGCTGCCAGAGTGCCACCAAAGCAAACCTCATCTCAAGACTCTGTGGCCAGGCCCTCACAACCTCCTGCCAGGCTCTCGCTACCTACCCATCAACAGCAAGACTCCCAGGCCATCTCAATCCCCCCAAAGAGCCCTGTTCCTCCAGCCCCACGGCTTCTGTTCACCTGCCGTGCTGTCCCCGCCTCTGCCCACCCACTCATCCTGCAGATCTGGAGCAGCATTCCAGGGCCTGGTAAGTGTGCGCCATTTTGGGTTACTACGGGTCTCGCCAGGCGCGGTGGCGAGTTTTGCCCCCCACGCTCCCCAGCGCCTGCACCTGGGCGGAGAGGTAGATAAGGCTGGGAGATCTTAGCCTTTTGCAAGGCAAACACCAGGCAGGAACGCCCAGAACCTCGGAGGAGGAGGAGGGGAAGATCCCCAGGTGGAGACCAAGGTGCCCCTCACGCTGAGTCGTCTAGGAGACCCTCCCTAGTTTAAAAAGTGTTTATTTGCTCGGAGAACATTTCAGGAGGCCTTCCTGGGACCCCAAGTGTGCCGCCCCCCGGGAGGGGCCTGGAGACGCCCGCGCGGCCCCCCTGCAAAGTTTTACCGGCCCTGGGCGCCCCCGGCCCTGGCACCCACGCGGGGAGCCGCAGTGGGCCGGGCCGCGCGGCCGCCGCCTCCCACCGCTCCCGCGCCCGCTCCCGCCCCCGGCGCGTCTCCTCCGGGCCCGCGCCGCGGCGGGCTCAGTCCTCAGCGGGGCGCGTGGCGAGCGGACTCGACTCGGCACCGCTGTGCACCATGGCCCGGGCCCTGTGCCGCCTCCCGCGGCGCGGCCTCTGGCTGCTCCTGGGTGAGTAGGTCCAGGGGTCCCGGCCGAGCTCCCTTCCCCTGGCCAGCCGGTGTCCTCTAGGGGAGAGGAGGGGAGCGGGTGGGAGCGGGTGGGAGCGGGTGGGGGCGGGCGCCGCGGGCGCACAGATCCGCTGCCCTTGAACGCGGGCCGCCCCGGTTCCAGGCGGGAGGCCCCAGGGCACAGGGGAGGCGGAGGGCGCGGACCGGTGTTGCGCTTCTCGCCGGGGAAGGGACGGCTTTGGGGACGTCGGAGAGCGGGCATTCTGGAAAGCGTGGGGTGAGTCAGCCCTGCACACTGGAGAACTAGTTTTCAGAAGGAAAAACAGGACGCGGGGTTCCCCAGCCCCGCACCTCGTTTCTCAGGCTGTGCGCCGCGGTGACTGCCAGCGCAGGCTCCCTTCCCTAGGCCGTCCCGCGTTGCAAAACCTGCAGACGGGCACCTTGCAGAAGACGCAGTGTTCGGGAATCAGAACCACAGCCGGTTTGTATGGAAATTAGTCAACACTGACAATCTGTCGCCTGCAGCAGTTGCTTGTTTGCAAATCACGTCTTTTGCAGAAATGAGGCCAGCCCTTTTCGGGACACTTCCATCGCTTTTTTTCTTTTTTCTTTTGGTTTGCTTGTTAACTTGGCACTTTTGGCTAATAGAAATTTAAAGAAGGACGGGTCCCTTGGTGAAGTGGTGGAACACGTTTGGCTTTCCACTTGGAGGGAGAAGTGGAGATTAGCGGCAGCCTCATGGCCACAGGAACTGGCCACACACTCGGCAAGAAACGGTGCTGTTCACTTCCCTTGTCTGTAATGTGTTCCTAAAATGCTAACTCAAGCCCCTTCTAAACCGCTTTGGCTATTGCATTATTCCGTGTATTTAGCTACCTTTTAACGGAAACTGTGAATAGGTTACTGGCGTGGGAGAACCCAGTGTCCCTGGGAAGGCCGGAGCAGTTGTTTCTGGTATGTGTGGCCTTTCCCCGGAAACAGTGATGTTGGTCAGAGGCACCTGCCGCACAAGACCTCTTTGGCGCTGGCACTGGGCAAGCAGGGACCACCGGCGCTGTTGTAGCTGGGGGAGTGGTTCGTGGCCCAGCGAGGAGAGGGGCCAGGGCTTCTTGGGAGCCATGGATTTCTGTTCCCTATTTGTAAACCTCTCCAAGGGGTGGCAGATCTGCATAGAATCCTCAGAGGCCGATATAATATAATCTGAAAGCGGATCTTGCCACTTTAGAGTTTTGGCTGAAGTTACGTGGAAAGCAGAATCTCGCAGTAATTTTATTCTCTCCATTTGGCTTGACATGGCCTTCACTGTTTTCATTTACTAAGAAACAAACATTTCTTTGTTAGCAAGGCAGAGAGCTGGGTTGTGGAATATTTTTTACATAAATAACCAAATAAATAAACGTTCTTTACTAGTGTCCAGAGGCTGAACCCTCTAAAGCTTGTGTAAATAAAACACTATGTCACGATCACATATAAAGACCTTCCTTGTTTACCGAGAAAACTATTCATGTTCTGCCGAAAGTCCAAAGTCCTGTAATTTTAACGTTATTTTGAGTGGCCTGGCTAATGTTATCTCTTGGAAGAACAAACAAAACTTTATGAGGTTATCAGTAAATTAATGTCATTGGAGCCCAGCTGTAATTAGTAGAATTACTGAGCACAGGCTGTTTCCTTCCCAAGCTGTAGCACTAGCCAGGTCTCCTTGGTGATGAAGATTTTGCTACCAAGAATGGCAATGTGGAATTTTTTTAAGTACTCTAGTTTACAGGTTTAAGAACTTATCTGTGACAATTTTACAATCAAGCTATTTGTCTTAGGTAGTTATTAAGAATCTCATAATCCGGCCAGGCATGGTGACTCACGCCTGTAATCCCAGCACTTTGGGAGGCTGAGGTGGGTGAATCGCCTGAGGTGAGGAATTCAAGACCAGCCTGGCCAACATGGTGAAACCCCGTCTCTACTAAAAATACAAAAAAAATTAGGCAGGCATGGTGGCAGGCACCTATAATCCCGGCTACTTGGGAGGCTGAGGCAGGAGAATCGCTTGAACTCAGAAGGCAGAGGTTGCAGTGAGCTGAGATCATGCCACTGCACTCCAGCCTGGGTGATAAGAGTGAAACTCCGTCTCAAAAAAAAAAAAAACTTAGGATCCATATATAGTTCTTTTCCCTCTGAGCATCCTGTGTACTCTTCTGTTTACTGGAGACTCTACATGCATTCTGAAAAGTTTGTGTATAGACACCGAAAAGCTGTTCGTTAACCAGGAAAGAAGGATGCGTTAGAAGCCCCTGGTTTTTCGAGTCCATCTTCACTCAGGGAATGCTGGCTGGTGCTGTCACACATGAACTCAGTCACCTGTCCTAGGAAACGCATGCCTTCCTTGGCTGTCACGTGGGAGCCAGGGGTTTTTTTAATGGCTGCAACATTAATTGAAATGTATGACTTTATATAAATACAAGTAGAATTGGAATGACAGGGACATCACAGGAAATGCTATGTGACTGCTTCAGATTGCCATGCGGTTTTAAATCTGGACACAGTTCTCATGCCAAAGTCCAAATCTGAAGGATTCTTATTTGTTAATCAACTCAGTGTGTTTGTTTACCCTCTCTGTGTGTCTAGCTGCAGGAAGAAATTTCTGGATTTTTGTCTTCCTTCCACAGGCGCATGCCTGTCAGCGTGCTTATTACCAGTCCGAGGCCAGGGCTGTTGAGAAACATTTATATCCACAGTGCAAATGGTAGATTCAGCTCCGGGAAATGTTTTAGGTGGAATCTTTAGTTAAGGCTAGTTGGAAAAGTCTGTCCTGATTTTTTTCCCCAGAATGCGCCCATTTCATAGCTTCTAATCAGTTACAACTGGCGTCTGGCTGACTGTGTGATGCAGGTGCCATGTGTAGTGTGAATTCCAGCGGAAATGCTGAGCCCAGAGAGTGAAGCCCCTCGGGCTTGCCTGCCAGTGCCCCTGCCAGTGCCCCCACCCCCAACTCAGGCCTAGAACCCCTCTTTCCTGACGGTCTTTGTGGTATGGTGGGCTGGCCCTCAGTGGTCTCTGAGCCAGGCCTGGCCATCCAGATGGTCCCAGGGAGGAGACTGGCCGCAGGCTGGACAGTCAGTGTTCTGCTGGAACCACGGGGAAAAGCTGCGTCTTTCCTCCAGGCTGGATCTGAGTGGGGCTGCCACAGTCTACCCTGTGAGCCATGGGGGAGTACCTGTCCATGACATAGAGCACTCCTGAAGCCTTTTGAGCCCCTAGATCGAGCTCATGGGGTACACATTTCCATCATGTGACCCATAACGTTTGAGATGGGTGTCTGTCCCTTGCAGGGACGGCAGGCTCAGGGGGCTCCGAGAATGGCGTACCTGGGGGACTGTGGGAATCCTGCCCAAGAGCCTCCTCCTCCACTGGGGACCCAGGGAGGCCTCCTGAAAGAAGAGGTGCTGCAGCCAGGAAGACAGTGGGAGCTGGGAAGGGGACAGGGGAGCCCGGGCTACAGTGGCCCTGGTGGCTCCAGCACTTGCTGGACCATGTGCCCACTGCCCCAGCCCACCAGTTTCTTGGTGGCAAATGAAGAGGCAGAGACGGTGCTGCCAGGGCACTGTTCAGTTCCCAGCCTGCCATACCCCCTGCCTACCTCTGACACATCCCACAGCAGACATATGAAGCCCTGGAGGGATGTCCTTGTCCCCAGTCCTCTCTGCTCCAGAACAGGAGGACTCTCAGCTGGGTGATGTTCCTGGAGGACCTGTTTCTCCTTAGTGAGGAGGATGCGTCAACACGGCCACCATAGGAGGGCTCCCAGCCCAAACAAAATCGTACTCACTTCACCGAATGATGTTATTCTGTTCAGGAAAAATATTTTTTTCCTAAGATGGTTTATTTCAGTAATTTCTGGGGCATCCGAAAGGCATCACTTTAACCATCTTTTAAATCACGGCTTCTGGGTGGCTTTGTTGGAGCAGGGTCCAGGGGGACACACTAGCCAGATGTGGCAGGAGTGCAGGGCTATGGGCCTGAGTCACAGGCCCCCCGACTCTACGTTCTCAGCTCTCTCGGTGACTCCTCCCCGTGCTCCGAGAGTGCTTCACTCCCTCCCATGTGCAGTCACATGGTGGATTCTCTGGGACCGAGAACCAGAATCCCAAAACCCCAGGCCCCGGCTGTCCACTGTGCCCTCCGCCAGGGTCAGCACCACCTCCACCCCTCACGGGGACAACTGCCCAGCCTCCCAGAACCCCCACCCCACCCACCACCCCAGGGACAGGGGGTCTTCCTCTGTGCCCCCAGCAGACCCTCAGGGTACGTTAGTGTCACCCCCACACATGCCATGTTCAGGCCCCCAGGCCTTGGCTCCGGGGAAGCAGCTCCTGAATTAGCTGAGAGTTCTGGGAAACCACGGGGGCAGGAGGGGAGGCAGAGTGACCTGGCCCGTGGCCTGGGCCAGCTCACTCCAGGGGGTGGGGTACAGCTTGCCCAGGAAGCCCTGCCCCCTGTTCTCCCGGACCACGTATCCCCACACGAGTCTCAGGAAGGACTGTCTTGAGTCTGACACCACCTGGGAGGAGAAAAGTCAGTGATTTGCCCAACCATGCGCGTGTTTGCTTCGTAAGGCCTGCCGCTGTCAGGTACCCTGGCCCCAGGCCGGGAGGGGAAGAAGCCTAGAAAGCATTGCCTCTTCAATGGACACTTGGTGACTGACACCCGGGGTGGCTCTCTCTGCAGGGATTTTCTTGCCTCTGGAGGAGACAGTTGTGAGAGGGAAGCGGGGGAGGTGGATGGATGAGGGAATGCCGGGAAAGCGCTGCACCGTTTCTCCTGGAAACACCCATCTGCCACCTCACACACGGGACACACAGGGTCAGGACTCTCACACACGTGGGACACCCAGGGTCAGGACTCGGAGGGGGCAAAGGACAGGGGTGCAGAGCAGCCTGCTACAGTAGGGTGTCCTACACAACCCAGGGCAGCTCCCCCAGAGGATGATCCCACACCAAATGTCCATAGTGCCAGGGTGGGGCAGCCCTGCTGCATGTCAACCATGTAGACATGTGGTGCTACTTAAATGCAGCAGGAAATAAACAGGAGACCACGGAGCACAGCCCTGAGGAGCAGCGGCAGCACAGTCCAGAGGGCAGAGGGCAAGGACGGTTGTGCAAAGGCCCTGCTTTGGAAGTTCCTGGAAGCCTTTTTGACTGAAGCATGGTGGGGAAGAGGGCTTTGAGCCGAAGCTGGTGCTGGAGGAAAGACCCATTCTCTAAGCATTCAGATCTCATTCCTAGGGCAGTGGGAAAACCTTGAAGGACATTAAAGGGGGTGACAGGACAGAAGGTGTGGTTTAAAGGAGCCCTCAGCTGTGGCCCCCAGCATGGGCAGGAGGCCAGGCAAGGATAGGAGTGGGAGGGTTCCAGGGAGTCCTGGAGGCGAAAGTGATGGACTCCAGTCCCTGGGCCTGGATGCAGGAAGTGAGGCAGCGCTGAGGAATGAAGAACAGCACCTGGCAGAGCTCCTGGGGGAGTAGGGAGGGCAGGGCAGGGGAGAAGAGAGGAGAGGAGGGGAGGGGAGAGCAGGGGAGAGGAGAGGAGGGGAGGGCAGGGGAGAAGAGAGGAGGGGAGGGGAGGGCAGGGGAGTAGAGAGGAGAGTGCAGGGGAGGGGAGATGACACCCCAGGCCACAGCCAGGGCTGCCAGGAAACATGGGAGCCCCAGGCAAACTGGAATTTCAGATAAACAAGAAGCATAAGCCTGTCTCATACAGTATCGGGAACATGCCTCAAAAACCACCGTTTCTCTGAGATGCAGATTTCGCAGGGCCTCCTGTCATTTGCTGCACCTGGCAGCCCCGTCCTCAGCAGCCACATGGGGTTCAGCGTTCCCCTTGGATTCTGAGGGGTGATGGTACGTAGACAGGAGTCTATGCAAATCAAGGGTTCAGAAAGAGGTATGGCCAAGAGAGGTGTTTCTGGCGGCAGCAGGGCCTGGCCTATGTCAAATCCTTGCTTGGAGGGGTGACCGGTGAGAGTGGGTAGAAACAGGCCCAGGCTCCTTGTGAGAGGCCAGAGAGGACGGCCAGGGAGGACAGAGAAGGAAACGGGCCCCAGGCACCACTGGGCACCTTGACATGATTGGTGGTGGAGGGAGGCAGATGGCAGGGTCCTTTGCAGGAGAGGCAGCGGCGAAAGCTGCCCTTAGGAGGCAGCGAGGAGGTGAAACCAGAGAGCATGCCTGTGTAGGTTTCCTCCAGTGCCTTATGGTTCTAAACACACAAACCTTTGATGCATCTGGAATTTACCTTAATTTCCTAGCAATTTTTATCAATGGCTCAATATTTGGGGGATTTTCATGGTAATTGCACTGAATGTATTAACTGGTCAGGGAGGATTACATCAAGACCACCGGCTCGAGAAACAGCAGTCTGTTCCTCCACCCCCACGTCTGCATCCAGGCCCTTCCACAGAGATCTCATTTCTCCTGCAGATGACTCATTCAGTGTCTAGGAATCCGGTGCTCTGTGGCCACTACCGAGAGTGGGATATTTTCCCCCATTTTATTTTCTAGCTGGTCATCGCTGGGCTAAGAGGAAGCTCCTCTTCTGTGTGTTTCTTTTGTGACTGTTGTCACCCTGTGCCTGTTTTTTATTTTAGTTTTTTTGCTTCCTGCTTGGTTCTTCAGGCCAGTCATAAGGTCACCCGTAACCTAGGGTGGTCCTACCACCTCTTAACAATTTTCCCTGTTTTGTTCTCCAGTCGTACTGTGTTGGAGAGTGACTCACTGCTGAGTAGGGGAGTGACAGCAGCTGCCTTCCTTTGCTGCTGGCGATGGCAATACAAGTGACCCTTGAACAACGCAGGGGTGGGGCGCCGAACCCCCACATGGTCAGAAATTCGAGTGTAGCTCTTGACTCCCCCAAAGCTTAACGACAGCCTACTATTGAGCAGAGGCCTTACTGATAACATTATCTGTGAGTTAACCCATATTTTGTATGTTACATGTATGTATACTGTATTCTTTTTTTTTTTTCTTTTTTTGAGACTGAGTCTCCCTCTTTTGCCCAGGCTGTAGTACAGTGGTGCGATCTTGGCTCACCACAACCTCCAACTCCCGGGTTCAAGTGTTTCTCCTGCCTCAGCCTCCCCAGTAGCTCAGATTATAGGTGCCCGCTACCATGCCCGGCAAATTTTTGTATTTTTGGTAGAGACGGGGTTTCACTATCTTGGCCAGGCTGGTCTCAAACTCCCAACCTCAAGTGATCCATGCATCTTGGCTTCCCGAAGTGCTGGGATTACAGGCGTGAGCCACTGTGCCCAGCCTATACTGTATTCTTATAATGAAGTAAGCTAGAGAAAAGAAAGTGTTATTAAGAAAATTAGACCCAGCATGGTATCTCACGCCTGTAATCCTTGCATTTTGGGAGGCCAAGGTGGGAGGATCGCTTGAGTCCAGGGGGTGGAGGTTGCAATGAACCAAGATCACACCACTGCAATCCAGCGTGGGCAATAGAGTGAGATCCCATCTCAAAAAAACCCACAGAAAATATATATACTTTTCATTAAGTGTAAGTGGATCATCCTAAGGTCTTCATGTTGAGGAGGCCAAGAAGGAGGAGCAAGAGGAGGGGTTGGTCTTGCTGTCTCAGTGGCGGCAGCGGCAGAAGAAAAGCTTCATGTAGGTGATCCACACAGTTCAGAGCCATGTGGTCAAGAGTTAACACCTTAAACCTTCTGTCTTTCTCCTTTGGGGCCAGATGCTTTTTTATTGTATTTTTGTGGGGGTGGGGGTGGGAGAGGGATGGAGAATGCATCTTCTTCCCGTGTGTAAAGTAAGCTTTTGTCCTGTGAAGGAAGAACCGTTCGATGTGACACAACAACCTGCCCAGCTGGACATTGTCTCAGTGCTGGCAGGCCGCTGGCACTGGCGAGGCTGTGACACAGGAGAAGTGGTCAGAGGCTGCGAACCTACCGTGTTTCTGGGATGAATGGAGCGTTTCCTCATTCCTGTGCAGCCTTTCGGCAGTCTCAGGTGTCTGTTGGCCACTGTTTGTTCTGAGTGTGGCTTCGTTCTTCCTGAGTGAGCTTGCTCTGTACTTTACCTTGGGAGTTTTATTACCAGCATTGGGTTTTCTTCCCAAGATACAGGTTGTGGACCCTTATTCTTTCCCTGTGTGCTAGGATAGTCAGGATGATGGAAATAAGCAGTTCCTTGAAGATCTAGAGGGTCTTCATTTTCACCTGCAAAACCACCGGGGCCAGGCTCCTTTTCATGGTGTAGAAAATTGGCAACCTTTTCAGTATCTTTCTGGTGTTAATTGGTCCCCTTGGGTTTTCTGTCTTTTTTTTTTTTTTTTGGATGGAGTCTTGCTCTGTCGCCCAGGCTGGAGTGCAGTGGAGCGATGTCAGCTCACTGCAACCTCCACCTCCCAAGTTCAAGTGATTCTCCTGCCTCAGTCTCTCAGGTAGCTGGGATTACTGGTGCCTGCCACCATGTCCAGCTAATTTTTGTATTTTTAGTAGAGATAGGGTTTCACCATGTTGGCCAGGCTGCTCTCGAACTCCTGGCCTTCGGTGATCCACCCACCTCAGCCTCTCAAAGTGCTGGGATTACAGGCATGAGCCACTGTGCCTGGCTGGGGTTTTCTGTGTCTTGTAGCAGTGATGTTGTTTTACATTTTCCTCTGAAGTTGTTCATTTTATCCACATATCATTATGTGAACAATTATTTTTCTAATTCCCTCTACATCTGTGAACATCTGTCCTTTTTAGTGCAATTTTGTGAATTTGTATTTTCATGTTATTTCTTGATCAGAATGGACAGTGGTTAATCTGTGATTGGTCTCTTCCCCACTGATTCCCTCCCCCCACCAAAAAAAAAAAACAAAAAAAAAAAAACAGTTCCTGAGTTTACTTACTCTACACTTTTTCTTGAATGCCTAACGCATTTCTTTTTGTTCTTTGCTGGCGTGGGAATGAAACGTCATCGGTTCTCTGCTTGGCAGCTTGGCTGGATCCCCTGAGTTTGCCTCTGCCTTGTGCTCATGGTTGATATTTTCTGGATTCTCTGTATTTGTGGTTTCTGTTTCCTCTTTAGCACGTGAATTGTTTGGAAGCAAGTTTTTACAAATCTCAGGGGCTCCGGCTTTTTGGTTTCTCTCCCGATACTCATTGCTAGTTTTATTGCACTGTGGTCGGGGGCAGAGCGGGAACCACAACCATGACTTAGTGTGCATTGCGGGTTCTTTCTTGGTCTTACAAATTTTTCGTGTTGTAAATGGCCCGTAAGCCCGTGGGAGGAGTGTGGCGTTTTTATGTATCCATCCCGGTCATCATATTAAATTTAATACTTAGGGCCTCCGTATCCCTATTTTCATCTTCTCCATCCATGCGCATTGTGTGAAAACCCTGCACTGCGTTTGTGATCCTGCCTGCTTTCCCTGGGCACGTGTTGCTGCGTGTTCACGCAGGGGAGAGGATGGGGAATTCCATATGTGACCCTGCCAGTCACAGCTGCATGGTGACTTCTTATAGCTCTGTCCCAGTCATTGCTTTTTTAATTTTAATTGCGGTAAAGTATACACCACATAAAATGTACCATCTTACCTATTTTTAAGTGTACAGTTCTATGCCACTAAGCACACTCACGCTGCTGTACAACCATCGCCACTATCCATCCCTAGAAGTTTTTTCATTTTGCAAAACTGAAACTCTGTCCCAGTTAAACACTAACCCCCTGCTGATTTACCACCTCCCCCAGCCCCTGGGACCCACGATTCTACTTTCTGTCTCTGACTACTCTAGGAACCTGTATTAGTGGAATCATACAGCATTTGTGACTGGCTCATTTCACTTAAGGTTCTTCCATGTCGTAGTGTGAATCAGAATTTCCTTCCTTTTGAAGGCCAAATAATATTCCACTGTTATGGATAGACCACACTGTGTTTATCCATTCATCCATGGACACGTGGGTTGCTTCCACTTCTGGCTGTTGTGAATCAGGCTGCTGTGAACATGGGTGTTCAGATATCTCTGTGAGACCCTGCTTCCAGTTCCTTTGGGCATATACCCAGGGCATATACCCCGGATCATTAGGTGGTTCTGTGTTTAATGTTTTGAGGAGCCGCCACAGCGTTTCCGCAGTGGCTGTGGCATCGTGCGTTCCCACCAGCAGTGCACAAGGCTCTGGTTCTCAGGGGCCGTGTGAGGCCACCTCTGCCATGCTGCAGGCTCCCCAGCACGCAGTGGGGAACCCAACCTTGGAGAGCCGAGCCGGGGAAGAAAAAGCGTCTCCACAGCCTTGGCAACACTTGTGATTTTGTTTTCGATGGTAGCCGTTCTAACGGGATTGAGGAGCCATTCGTTACTTCACAGGTGGACAGCAGCAGCTTTGTCGGGGACAACATTGTGGTTTCTCGTTGTCTAGTCTTTTGTCTGTGTCATGTCCCGCCACCCACCTTTTGGATGTTCCCCGGAGTCACTTAGCTCTTTGACCTGGTTTAACATCTGGTTTTCTTGTGGATTTTAATGTTGTTTACCAAATCCCAGGGCCTGCCCCGAGGGCCTGGTGACCCTGGGCAGGCCATTTCCCGTCCTGTGCAACTCTGATCTGCAGGATGGGGTGGTGTGGGAGCACCCATGTCCCTGCCTGAGGACTCTCCAGGCCTCCGTGGGGGCGGTAGCAGGGCCTGGCCCATGCGGCGCGCTGGTGCTGCTCACCCGCCTTTCTGGCTTTAAGAAGTATGCTTGGAGCTCATCTAACATCTTATTTTCCATTTTCTGTTTCTTAATACTTACAGAGGCTTCCGACTTTTTCTCCAGGTCTGTATTTTCCTTGTTCTTCTCTGGTAATTTGGAAGGTAGACAGTCAGTTTTTAGTTCAACCTGTGTTTTATTTTATGACTTAAAAAAATGAGGATTTCTTGGCTTGTCAACTTCAGAAATGAAGAGTGCCGGTTGACAATGTGTAGAGTTTTACTGAATGGCAGTCGGGGGCAGGACCAAGGCTGGGGAGGAGGATGGAGGGTACTGTGTGCAGTCAGGGGTCTCCCACCAGGTTCCTAAGGTTGGAGGTGAGGCTGGAGGCTGCCACAGTTATCCAAGTGAGGACTCGGAAGGGCCTGGGCATTTCCAGTAAGAGTGAGCAACACGGATGCAAGAGAGGGACAAAGAACTGTGCACAGCAACCCCATCCAGCACAAAGCAGGCACTTCGTGGGGGTAGAGGCTCTGAGCCCGAGAGAGGGGACAGTGGGCTGGAATGCAGTGCTTTGCTGTCTTTGAGGACCAAAATCAGATGACAGGTGGAGGAGAATCTACTTGGTGGAGGCTTTGGCGGGGTAAGCGGCTGTGTGGGTGGGAGAGGAACAACCCGGCCCTGGCCCACGGCCCCGAGGACCTTTCCTCTTCTCGCAACCGCCCCTGCACTGGCTGCTCAGAGGTGTCAGTGGATGGCGGGAGTTTCTCAGCCTGGACTTGAGAAGTTGGAATGAGAGGGTCTTGCCAGAGAAAGGAGAGCACCTTGGGGCTTCAGCCAGCTGACCCCTAGAGAGACAGGACTTTAGACAGAGCAGGGGCAGGGAGAGGAGGAGCTCAGACAGCTGAGTGCTTTCACTCTAGAGGATGTCAAGTTTGACCTGGAGGGAAGCAATGGGGAGATATCCCAGCCACACAGGAAACGCCAGGCCATGGTTGACACCTCACGCAGGCACTCGCATGCCTGAAACGGACCAGGCCATGCAGGGAGCAGATGCTCACCGGGGACAGAGGCCTCGCAACCCACCAGGGACAGATCGTGGCAACTGAAGGGGCCCTGTTCAGGAGAGCTAGATGTCAGGGAGGCAGCAGCAGGCGTTCCTATGGGCTGGGGAGCTCTGGGTTCCTCCACCGCCCCCCGACCCCAACTCCCTTGGGCCCTGGGCACTTCTACCCTCTGGGACAGTCGTCCCCAACTCTCTTGGTCCTGCCCCCGCCAGTAAAATAATCTGGACACGCTCCTCCAGGATTTGCTTATAAATTAGACCCCTGTGCCACTGCGCTATGTGTTCTAAAATGTATGCAAAAATAGGCTTCTTTAAGCCCAGGAAGTCAAGGCTGCAGCGAGCCAAGAGAGCGCCAGTGCACTCCAACCTAGGCAGCAGAGTGAGACCCTGTCTCCAAAAAAGGAAGAAAGAAAACCACTAGATACGGTGATGGTTGTACACCTTAGTGAATTTACTAACAATCATTGAATTGTCTATGTAAAATGGGTGAATTTGTGGTATATAAATTATACTTCAATAAAGGCGTGTTTTAGAAGAGAAAAAATATAGGCTTCTTTGAAAGGAGGGATGCTGAGAATAGTTTACTACAGTCACGACCATCTTTCCACCCTCCTGCGATGGTATCGTCCATGCCTTAAGGATGTTAGGGGTTCTTAGCGGGGGCTTCAGGATTGAGTATGGATCGAGCCTGCGCTTAGATGGACGATGCCAGCCCCTCAGCCAAGGAGGGCCTGGCACGGGGAGGAGAGGCGGCTCGGCAGCCTATTCTCGGCCTGCCCTGGTGCTGCCGGGGGCACCTCGTGCTCTATCCAGTCCATGCCCCTTTGCCAAAGTCGTCCACTCAGTGACGGTGATGATGGCCACACATCCACTCTCCCAGGGCCCCTGTGCTCTTGGGCATTAGTGTGGGGTGGCCAGGTGACTGCCCAGGTCGTGGGACTCACGCGTGCCCAGTGAGAGCCCCCGAAGCCTCTCCTGGGAAGCCTGAGGGAGGCAGACACCCTGAGGAAGCCCATCTGCAGCCGGGGCTCCTGGCCAAGGGTCTCAGAGCCTCCACAGACATGGGTCACCCACAGCCTTTGGGGCAGGTGTTGGGGTCTCCACAAGAGGTCTCTGACCTCACCATGCCTCCTACGTGTTCTGAGATGAGCGTGCCAGGGATTGCATCCAGGCTGTACCACTCCTGGGCTGTGTGACTCTAGGCAGGCTACTTAACCTGTCTGAGCCCCTCTGTCCCTGCCATGATGGTTATTTGCAAGGATTAAATAGGCTAATGGTGGCCAGGCACTGTGGCTCACGCCTGTAATCCCAGCACTGTGGGACGCTGAGGTGGGACGATGCCCAGGAGTTCAAGACCAGCCTGGACAACGTGGGGAAACCCCATCTCTACAAAAAATAGAAAAATTAGCTGGGTGTGGTGGCATGTGCCTCTGGTCCCAGCTACTTGGGAGGCTGAGGTGGAAGGATTGCCTAAGCCTAAGGAGGTCAAGACTCTGCAGTAAGCCATGATTGTGCTGCTGCACTCCAGCCTGGGCAACAGACCAAGACCCCGTCTCAAAATCAAATAAAATAAACAGGCTAATGGGTGTAAGGGGCTTAAGCCTGGACTTGGCCTGTGAGCTGCAGCTACTAGCATCCTGGACTGGCTGGTGGGAGGGGAGCAGGGAGGCTTCAGGAATTTGCATGAACTTGACCTAGAACCTGACCTGCACTCTCTGTTTAGCCACCACTCCAGCTGGGAGGAGGACAGTGATGGGGTCTGAGATTCTCTCTCTACAAACCTAAAATACACAGCTACAGAACTGGCCTTTCCTGCCCCATGTGGCACAGACCAAACATGGGCATCAAGTGCATTTGCTGAGTTTGAGACCCATTAGCTCTGTGCCTCTTGTCTCCTTAGAAAGCCCAAACACCTGATGAGCAGTGTCCAGGGGTCCCCTGTGGGGGGCCCGGCTGCCCCGTCCTTCTGTCCCCACCCTGTCACTTTGCTTGAGGGGCCCTCCACCTTTGGGGTGCCTGCTATGCATGCTCATTTCAGGGGCGCTGTCCTGCTGTGGAGAAGGAAGCCGTTGCTCTGAACCCCCTCAAGCAACACTGAGTTCCTAACTTACGCACAGCTCGAGGGAAGTTTCCTGTCTTAACACGCCGAGGGCTGAGTGAGGAGCGCAGCCGTCTACCCAGCAACCTCTGCACGTGGCTTTTGAAAGACATGAGTTATGAATGATTACATTTGCAGTCACACAGAGGAATGGAACCCATTTGGCCCTGAATGGCTTGTTTTAAAACTTTGGCAATTTTATCCTATTTTAAAACTTTGATGTTACCTCTCTCTGCAAGGAAAGAAACCACATCAGGCTCGTTTAAGAAAAACCCAAGCATTCTTCGCCTGTACCTAAAAAATGAAACTGGTTTCCAGATTTGCCTGAACAGCTGCCCCTGGCCTCATCCCAGCTGTGGGACTCTGGGCTCCCATAGGGCGGGAAAGAAAGGGCAGCACTGGTCAGGGAGGGCTCTGTCCCTAAGGAGCAAGGGACAATGGGCTGGGTATGGCAGTCCCGCCCCTTGGGAGGCAGAATGGCTCTAAGAGAGGTGGGGGATGCAGCATCCAGGAGGGACCAGCCCAGAGCCAGGCCAGGGTCAAGGCCACCGGACCAGCCCTGCAGCCAGACCCGGACAGGGGATTGCATGGGTGGTGGAAGCTAGAACTGGCTGGGCTGCAGGAGAGGAAGGCCCAGTAGGCTGGGGGCAGGCCGCTGCTCTGGACAGCCCAGGGGACAGCAGGAGATTGACCTGAATTTGACAGGGAGGGCCACCCTGTGGCCTGGGGTGAAAGGACCGCTGTCATTGTTTCTGGCCCCTGCACCTGCATTCGCTTCACTTGTTGGAGACCCCACCAGAAGGAGCAGCTCGGCCTCCGCACGGGGACTGGCTCTGCAGGGCGGTTGTGCAGACCCCGCTTCCCAGACCCTCCTGGGGACTTGGGAGCCACCAGGGTCCCTTTACCAGATCCTCCACTGCTCACACCAGCCCCAGTTGGTTTCTGTTGCGTGCAGCCAAGGATCCCGACTGAGGCACAGACATGCCTGTTCATCTTCATTTGTCCTAGAAGCGGCTCTTCCAAAGCAGGAGGGGAGTCTGCAGTGGTTCATGACCCTGACACCCAATCTTTCCACTCCAGGCAGGATAGCCTGAGGCACGCTTGCTTCACTCCCAGGCAGAATGGCCACTGAGAAATCCGGGTATGGCCATCTTATTTGCTGGCTCATTTGACAAATATGAATGTGCAAAGCTGCTGGGTGCCAGCGTGAGTCAGAAAGGAGTAGGAGATGAGAGGGCAGCCAAGAGGGTTCTGAGAAAAGAAAGAGACCCTCCACCAGCCCTGAGTGAGGCTCTGAGGAAATGGGCTGGGGGACAGGGTAAGGGGGCAGGCTTCCCATAGGTAGGATCAGCCGGGGGCCTCTTGGAGGACAGGGCAGCGGAGGAGGGCAGGTGGGACTGGGACCCAGGATTCACCAGAGAAAGGCAGTGGGGGGCGGGATGCCAGGAGCAGTGAGGGATAAACAGAGGGACGATTCTCCAATTGCAGCTGGACAGGCAGCCTGGAATTCCTTCCCTGAGTTGACAAGTCAGTGTCTGAGCCCTCCTGAGCCCCTGGGAGCTCCTGGGGCATCACTGTCCACAGTAGGTGGGCTTTCCTAGGGGGCATCTTGATGGGGCAGGTGTCAGAAATAGCCCCTTCCCCAAGGCTGCCCTGACTGGGGGTGAAAGAAGCCCCCAGGGTGGGGGGTGCATCCACAGCGGGCCCAGCCAGCCCCAAGGTGCACTCACAGTGCTGGTATGGACATGGTGGGGACACACCTGTGCTGTCGGGAAGCAGCATGGACTCAGGTGGGTACAGAGCCTCCTGAGGTGTCCCCGGGGTGCCCGGAGGAGGCTGTTCTGCCCTCAGCCTTCCCAGAGGCAGATGCAGCTCCCTCTGTGGCCACAAACTCCAATGCTGGGCACTCATGCCAGGGGTCGAGGGTGGGTGACCCACTGGAGTGAGGTGGGGGGACTCTGTCTCGCTTGCTAGCAGGTCCTGTCCTGAGCTCCTCCGTGGGGCTTTTTCCAACTCCCAGCCTTCCATGCAGGCCCGACTGCACCCACATCACTCCCTGGCTTCTTGGGCTAAACATCCCTGATTCAACACACCTGGCTCTTTGGGACCCACTCATGGCCTCAGCCCCGTGCAGGGCTCAGCCTCTCTGGTCAGCACTCAGCTCTCTCTAGCAGCTGTGGGCTGGGCCAGTGCCCAGGTGTGCAGTGTGTGGGATCCGTTCACCCTGACACACCAGCCATTGGGCCTGGAGTGGTGCTCTGCAACAGCACCCCCACCCCACCCCTGCATGGCCACCTGCTCGCCCTCCCCCAGGTGCACCTCCAGGGACATCAGGCCATTCCCTGTACTTCCTGCCTCCCATCTGGTGCCCAGCCCCACAGCCCCAGAAGCGGCCAAGTGCTCTCTGGTCCATACCACTTCCGGCCATGGGACCTGGGGCCGAGTTCTGAACCCTGAAGCCTCAGTTCCCCCATCCGTAAATTGCTGATCGCAGTCAGATCCACTTTGAGGCGGCTGTGTGTGAAGAGCTCCAGGGTGCCCGGCGCATCGGGGCAGCTCCAGTTCCTCTGCGTTTTACTCAGCAGTCCGAGGGGCCCCTCGAGCTCACACCCACCCCAGGCCACGTGCCGGAGACTGGTACTCCAGAACCCCTCGCCCAATCTGCCTGCCCAAGGGCAGCCACCTCTCCTTGGGTGGGCTCCCTGGGCCCGAGGCTGCAAGGGGCAACTTGATGTCCTCACTCATGAGGCCCAGGGGGCCAGGCGGTGGGCTGCAGGGGCTGGGTGCCCCCAGCGTCTCCCAGGGCAGCTCTGGCCTCCCAGTGCCAAGCTCCTTCCAGGAATTTGAAAGGGCCAGGCCGGTAGGGGTGGGGCTGGGGGTCCCCCCTGGGCAGAGGATGTGGCCTGGGGGGAAAAGGAGGGGGACCTGGGGACAGTGGGAGGGCCAGGAGCCAAGCCCTAAACAGGGAATGCAAAGCTTCTGCCCCCAGCTGCCCTACGAGGTGGCCAAGAAAGAGAGGCTCAGCCTGAGGAGGAAGAAGAAGCCTGGTGGGTGGGGGACCAAGGGCCATGCTCTCCCCGCCACCCCCGCCCCCACCCAGCCAGCAGTGAGCTACGGGGGAAATTAGTCAATCCTGATTCTGTGCGGGGCATCGCTGGGCAGGTCACTGTTGCTCTGGTGTATGGCTCGAGGCAGGAGGAGGGAGCACAGTTCATGCTTCCGTTTGTCAGCTCGGTTCATAGCCCGCAGATAGTCAGACAGGAGATGTGCCTGCAGCTCCTGGGCTGGGGGGCACAGCCCAGCCCAGCCCATCCCCAGGTACCCGTGGAACAGGGGCAGCCAGAGACTGTCTCCGGGCCCCTCTCATGCTGCCCATGCCTGGGGCAGCCCGATGGCATAATTGTGGGATGGAATGTGCCCTGGCCCAAGCTGGCACGGGCACTGAGGGCCAAGCCACCCTTAGCAGGCAGGGAGGGCCTTTGCCAGGTCACAGAACAATTGATGAAGAGCGTCCACTTGGAGCCACAGTCGCCCTCTCCAGGGGTTGCTTAGAGGCCCCGTTCTCGTGGAGTCCGGGCTGCAGGGGCGCGCGGGCTGGCGGTGATACCCCTAGGCCTCTGCTGCCGCCCGCCATCTCTTCATGGCCGTGTCTATTTCAGCCCATCACCTCTTCATGACCACTGCCTGCCAGGAGGCTAACTACGGTGCCCTCCTCCGGGAGCTCTGCCTCACCCAGTTCCAGGTAGACATGGAGGCCGTCGGGGAGACGCTGTGGTGTGACTGGGGCAGGACCATCAGGTGAGTCCCATGGCCCCTGGTGGGCAGGACACGGTTGGGGAGGGAGAGGGGGCAAGCGGAGGAGGAGTGGACCACGTGGGAGCTGTGGAAGATCCTTTCTAGACCCCGGAAGGGTTCTTCCCCCAGTGGGGGGGGCCGGGATGAAGACAGAGGAGGGAGCCAGTAGCAGGTGGACGTGAAGAGTGACGGTGGGAGGAGGCCACGTCCTCAATAATCTGGTCTGGGGATGGAGGGTTCAGACTGGGCCATGTCCAGCCAGAGATGCCCGCGGCCTCTCCAAGGGCAGGCGCCTGGGGAATGACTGAGAGTAGGGTCTCATGCCCAGGGTGGCCGGGTCTCTGACTGGAGCCTGGCTTCAGGGACGTCCCTGCTGATTCCCTCTGTCCCTGTGGTCAGGCCAAAGCTGTCCTTCCTGGCCCCACCCTGTCCAGGGCTCAGAGCTTCTGGTAATGGAGCAGGCTGTCACCACCCACAGCCCCCAGCAGGACGGCTTCAGCCGAACCCTTCCCCACCTGGCCCGATCCTCCTGCCCAAGGGCCCTTCTTCCCGCTTGAGGGGCTCCCTCATTGCCTCCCTCAGCCTCCTGGGTGCTGGGCCCCCATCAGCAGGCCGGGGGGTTCTCCCCAGCAGGCCCAGGCTCCTCTGCCTCCAGAGCGGCGATCAGAACTCGGCATGTCCGCAATCGACTTTCAAGTCCTTGTTTCTGCCTCCGTGGGAGGCGCTGGGGTGTCCTGGGGCTGCAGTGGGTGAGTAGCGGGGTCAGCAGTGCATGCGTGGAGCTGAAGGCCACCGCCTCCCTGCCATGCAAACTTCGCACAGAGATCTGTCTGTGGGTTCACAGCGCAGCGCAAGTCCTGGTGCCCCACCGATGACAAGCGCTTTCCCCAGTGCCTGAGAGAAAGGGAGCCCTGGGGACTGGTGGGGAGGGCCAGGGGCAGGGAGGAGGGCCTCGGGAGGGTCTTCACGGAGGAAAGGTTGCACCAAGGTCACACACGAAGAGTACCTGTGGCTGTGGTGTCCCCTGAGGGTCCAGACACACCCGGGCACAATTCTGTGGGGTTGAAGACCCCTAGTTGGACTCGTCACCCCTCCCCTGTGGGTTGCAGGCTGGCGTGAGCACAGGGAGAAAGCCCACGGCTGGGAGGCCCTGAGGCTGGGTGGCTCCCACTGCCCCTCTGAGCCTGGGTTTGGGCCTCCCTCTACCCTCAGAGCCCCGCTGGCCACAGCCTGCCCTCTTCAGTCCTACTGAGATTGGCAGATGAGTGGCCTCTGTTTTCTCCTCCCACCGGCCATGTGCTCTCTGCCCACTTCGTCCACCCCAGGGAACTCCCTCAGGCCCAGAGTCCGTGCTCAGTGCACTGTTGTTGAGGCGACTCTGTACCTTGGGAGCCCAAACTTTTTAAAAAGTAGGAAAGCATGGGGTATATGCAGGTGTGCATGCTGGGATTTAAAACAACAGAAACTCCGTACCCTCTGCTCCAGTTCAGGTGGGAGAGTTGGTGCTCCCGAAGGTGGGAGGGCCAAAGTCACGGCTCCAGCCTCAAAGGCCCCTGATAAGACACAGTGAACCAGGGAGCCCACCCCAACCCTCTGGGGTCTCCAGGGGCCCTGTGCCCTCAGCAGGGTCTCCTCACTCTACTGTACTGAAGGTCTCTCCAAGATTTCAGGGCCTCCTTTTCTAAGCTGAAAAATGAGTTGAGTGGGAAGAGGTTGTTAAAAATCAGAACAGCCTGTTCTTTAGGCTAATTGGCCTTCTGCCACAGCTGAGTCATTTGTATTTAAATTAAGATTGCATTTTATTATGATCCAGGGAAGACACAATGGGGGGCCCCTGGAGAAAAGCACTCTCCCCCGCCTGCTTTGTGGAAGTGATGGTTAATTTGTGTAGATTGATTGTGAACGGGAGGCCTGGCAGAAGACAGCAGGGTAATGCACACAGTGTTCTACAAGCAGCCATGGTGGAGTGTCCTTAGAAATGGAAGCCACCACAGATGGCTTCCTGCAGTGCCAGAGCACAAAGAGGAATAACTAGCGCTGAGGCCAGAGAGAGTTCGCCATCCTCGGAGCCGAGTGGCCATAGCTGGAACTAGAAGGAGGGGGAGTTGCTGGGAATTTTCGTTTTTTTATTATTATTATTATTATGATACTTTAAGTTCTAGGGCACATGTGCACAACGTGCAGGTTTGTTACGTATGTATACATGTGCCATATTGGTGTGCTGCACCCATTAACTCGTCATTTAATGGGTTCAGCACACCAATATGGCACATGTATACATACGTAACAAACCTGCACGTTGTGCACATGTGCCCTAGAACTTAAAGTATTAAAAAAAAAAAAAATCTGACCGGGCACTGTGGCTCACACCTGTGATCCCAACGCTTTGGGAGGTCAAGGCGGGTGGATCAACTGAGGTCAGGAGTTCCAGACCAGCCTAGCCAACATGGTGAAACCCCATCTCTACTAAAAATATAAAAATTAGCCGGGCGTGGTAGCACACGCCTGTAATCCCAGCTACTCGGGAGGCTGAGGCAGGAGAATTGCTTGAACCCAGGAGGCGGAGGTTGCCGTGAGCCGAGATGGCGCCACTGCACTCCAGCCTGAGGGACAGAGTGAGACTTTGTCTCAAAAAAAAAAAAAAAAAAAAAATCAAGATAATTTAGGAACCAAGAAGGAAAAGTCCACATCACAACAGCATCTCAGCACGTCAGCCCAGGCCTGCCAGCCCCTGGGGTCTGCGTTTGGCAGAATGATGCCCCCCAGAGATGTCCATGCGTAATTCCTGGAACTGTCGATGTGTCACACGGCAAAGGGGATAAAGTCACAGACAGAATTGGTGACACTAATCAGGTGGCTTTGAGATGGGAGATGCGGGATCATCCCGGGGCCCGGTGCTATCACAAGGTCCCTTAGGTTGGTCCCAGCTTTGGCTACTGGAGAGCCTTCACACTGGCTTCTGTGTCCTTTCGACATTGCCCCTGGCTGTTTTTGAGCACTTTCTTTCTTTCTGGTACCACGAGATGTTCCAGGCTTATCTTAGACATTTTGTGCCCCAGCCCTGAAGTCAGCCATTTCTCCAAGGAACACTGGTTCCTTTTGTTAGAGAATGGTATCTAGAAACCAAGATATATGTGCGTATGTGTGGGTGTACACACATCCCAGGGATTTAGATGGAACCCACGGAACCATACAGGTGCTAGAAGAAAACATGGGTGAATCCCTATTTAAGCCATGGTATCGAGAAAGGCTGGGTAAAACAATATTGTTTCAAAAAATTGGCTTGCCCAATCCCAGGGCCCAGCAGGCCAGCAGGCTGGAAACTCTTGGGAGCCGACGCAGCATTCTTGAGGCAGAATTTCCGAACGTGCTGGTAAGGCCTTACCATTGGCTGGGTGAGGCCCCACCCCCAGCATCAAGGATTATCCCCTTTACTTAAAGACAACTGATGATAGATGTTAACCACATCTCCCAAATACCCCCACAGTGACCCCTAGACTAGTGTTTGACTGAGTAACTGGGCACTGTAGCCTGGCCAAGTTGGCTCATAAAGCTATAATCATCACACTGGTTCCAGGGGCAGAGGTCTCTGCGCAAAGGTGTGTTCAGACAACTGGCATTGTCCCTCCTCCTCCTGCCCCTGCCCATTTCTCTCATTCCTTTCACCCTGTTCCCACCCAATTCCTGTGGGCAACTTACCTCATCAGTTTCTGGTCTTTCTTTCCTGTATATCTTTTGCATAAATGAGCAGATGCCTGCATTTTCTTACATCCCCTTCTTTCTTATATAAAGGGTTGTATACTAGTGACACTCCTTTGTACTTTGGTTTTTCTTCACTTAACAACATAACCTGGAACTCTCTCCTTGTCAGTGCAGAGGGAGCCTCCTCCTTCATTTTTACAGCTGTATAGTACTCCGCCGTGCAGAGTCTTTCAGCCATTTTCCTTTCAGCCAGGGCAGAAGCCAAGCGAGCAGAGGCACTTAGGTTGTGGCCAGTATTTTCCCATTTCAGCATCGACGTGGATGGCCTCACGCATCCGTGTTTTCCCAGCACTGGAGCTGACTCTTCAGAATAGATACCCAGAAGTGGGGTCGCAGGACCAAAGGTGAGAGCAGGAGGAATGTGTTAGGTTTTGCAACGTCCCTCCAGAAGGCTGATGCCAGTTTGCATTCCCACCAGCAGCGTATGGGGTGCCCGTTTCCCCAGACCCACCAACAGACTGTGTTGTCGTCCATTAGAGTTGTTACTGTCTGATAAGTGAGAAGTGATGTCTCAGCAGCATGTGAGTTTGCATTTCTGTACTTAGGAGTGAATCCGAACATCTTTCGTATGTTTACAGGCCGTTCTTTTATCTTTTTGGCAAATTGTGTCTTTTCCTATTTTCTATCAGGTCGTTTTTAAAGAGTTCTTTGTATGTTAGATGGGTTAGGCCTTTGTCTCTCGTGTACATTAGAGATTTTCTCCTAGTTTGTTGGTTGTCTTTCAACTTTGTTTTTTTTTTCTTTTGGTGTTTTTGTTGCCACACAATTTTTTTAATGTGGTCAAAACCATCCATCTTTGATCGCCTCTGGATTGGAGTCCTAGTGGAAAGCCCCTCCCCACATGAAGGGAAAAGAGGGATTTGCCACGTTTTCCTCTAGCCTGTGTGGTCCCACTGGTTCCATCGAAATCCTTGGCCCATCGGAGTTTATTCCAGTTTATTCTTGTGTATGGTGTGAACTATGAATCAAATGTTATCTTTTTCTGGATGCGCTACCCACTTGTCCCATTTATGCAAACGTCCATCTCTGCTCCCCGTGACCTGAGATGCCACCTTTGTCATGCACTAAGCTTCCCTGTGCACTTGGCCCGTGCCTTCTTAAATCGTCCCTTTCCCAAACCTTCCTCATCTCACCTGAATCTCATATTGATCTATTCTCCAGAACTATCAATGGGTCCTCACCGCCTGCTGAATGTTTACCTAATTATCCCTTAACTTAGTCCAAGAAACGCGTTTACTGTAGCTGGCGTTTATTACCGCGTGCTGGGCTTTGTGTCGAGCACGTAACGTACATTGGCTTTTTGAGGTCAGCAGCAGCCTGGCGGAGGTGGGGCTGTTGTGATTGCTGCTTCACCTGCCCAGGCTCGCACAGCTGGTACCCATGGCTCCCTCCTGGTTCCCGGCGGAGGTGGAGGGATGCCCTGCCTCCATATAACTGTGGCCTCCTGAGATGGGGATGCAAGCCTTCAGGTGCTGCCTCCGTCCTGGCGATGTCCCTACCAACCTGGTGAGGTCCATCGCATTGAGACACCAAGCCTGGCAGTGGGCCAAGGGCAGCCTTCCAAGGGTCTCCAGTAGCAGCGAGGGCCTGGGGTTCTAGGGTGGGCAAGTTTGTCCAAGTAACTAGTGGAGGGGAAGAGGGCCCTGGAGAGAACACGAAGGCACAAATAGGGTGAGAGGCGCTAGGCTGCCTGCAGGCAGGCCATCACCAGGTGTGGGCAGGTGGCACTGTGTCTGTTGGATGAGCGGGACCCCAAAGTGAGGCTGACCGGCAGGCAGCCAGACAGCCAGGTGGCTGGCCTCAGGGAATGCTCCCAGCCCAAGCAGGGTCCCAGCTGGTCTCAAGGACTGTGAGCCAGGCAGGTGACCTGATGGGGGACACAGGCTCTGGGAAAGGCCCGTCTCTGAGCCAAGTGCAGTTGAGGCTTGGCAGCTGGGGCAGAAGCCAAGCAAGCAGAACCAGGCAATTATTGGGGTCTGGTATCCAAAACCAGGCTGGCATGGAGGCCAGGGGATTCTGAAGGCAGGAGCCTCTGGGCCAGAGCTGCCACATGCCTGCTGCCGCCCAAGGTCATAGCTGTCCCAGGGCCCTGGGCTGGGCCTGCAGGTATCTTGGTATATGGCAGAGGGAAGCTTCCAGACTCTTCTGAAATCAGAGGTCTCATTTAACAACAGCTGCGTGTCAAAGGGGACTCACCTTCCTATGAGCGACGTAGACAAAGGCGGCCGGCCAGCCTTTTATGGGATACACACACAGGAGTAAGTGGGGGCTGAGACATGCTCGTGCCAGCTCCTAGTGCCGGCCCAGAAGTCTTGCTTCCTCTATCAAAGCAGATGGGAAGGAGGCCCCCCGTGATCCCTGCTTTACTCAGGACGTTGAATAGAAGTAAAAAGTGAATGGAAGACTCCTCATGGCCTGGTGCAGTGGCTTTCGCCTGTAATCCCAACACTTTGGGAGGCCAAGGCAGAAGAATTACTTAAGCCCAGGAGTGTGAGAACAGCCTGGACAACAAAGTGAGACTCCATCTCTACAAAAATTTTAAAAATTAGCTGTACATGGTGTTGGACACCTGTAGACCCAGGTGCTTGGGAGGCTGAGGCGGGAGGATCACTCAAGCCTGAGAGGTCAAGGCTGCAGTGAGCCATGATGGTACCACTTGCACTCCAGCCTGGGTGATAGAACCAGACCCTACCTCAAAAAAAAAAAAAAGAAAAGAAAAGAAAAAAAAAAAAGAGGCTCCTCCTCTGCACAGGGGTCATTCCTGGGTCCCTGCCCTGGCCTGTAGGTCCACTTTTTTTTTTTTTTTTTTTTTTTTGCGCATTCAGGGTTTGTAGCCACTGCGCTTGCCCTGGGACCTTGGCTGCCCGGCATGGATCTGCACGCAGGTGCTTGCTGGGTTCCGACAGCCCTTGCCCTGACCGTGACCCCACTCCTCCGCTCATCCTGTTGCTTTGTTACCTGGTTGGTGGATTTTGTCAGGTTGTCTGTTGTGAGCAAGGCTTGGGGGTGATTCCTGAGCCCTTTCTAACACGTGTTGGGTGTCTTCCACTCAGCTACATGGAACAGGTCCCTGAAAAGTGGCTGAATGAGCTCAGCGGGGCCAGGCTCCCCTGCAAGCTGGCTGGGCCGTCATTTACCAGGGGTTATCATCTCATTAAGCTGCAGCCTTGGTTTGCTGATGGAGGCATAATGTGATTTAATGTATTAACTGGAGCTACAATCTAATTTGAGGAGGTATAGAAAACCTGGCAAATGTGTCATCGGGAACTCTCATTTCCAGAGACCTTCCTATGGGTGTAGGGGAGGGAGAGAGAAGGCAGAACAGAGAAGAGAAGAATCTGGAACGTGCTGGACTCGGCTATAAAACATGGGTTTTTAAAAGCCTCACGTCAGATTTCCTCACCTAAATAAGAAATGCTCGGTTGATTTAAGAGGGAAGGGGACACGCCTATTCCACCCCACCCTGTATGGCTTCAGGGTCTGAGTGCCATCTTGGGCAGGGGAAAGGTGTCCTCGGGGAAGATGCCAGAGGATGGGGCCACAGCCTTCCCAGCATCTGAGGTCACTGGGCCCCAGAGAACCAGACTTCACTTCCATACCAGCTGGGATGCCTCCGTCCCTCTGCCCTAAAGCTTCCAGGTTTGTAAATACTGACCATGGTAGCCTCAGGTCACCTCAGCTTTGGTTACCCGAGGCTGTCACTGCGGACCCTGCCCTGCCCTGCCGACCCCATGCTGGGCAATCATGGGCCCTCCCCCAGCCCAAGGAGCTGCTCAGAGGACGGGGCTCCAGGCCCCAGGGAGTGGGGCTGCAGCCCAGCGTGGTAGTTGGGGGACGCAAGACAAATGTCTGCAGTGCCTGCTGTGGTACGGCGGCTCAGCATGGCCAGCGCCAGGCATGACGCTCTGGGTCCACACGACGTTGGGCAGGGTGCACCAACACTTTGGGGTCCTTCCCAGCCTGCTGCATTTCCCTCCTGCTGCCTTCTTTGTGTCTCCTGCTAAAAGAGTCAAGTCAGGAAATTCTTCAGAACTCAGCAGCAACATGGGAACAGCTGCTTGTATTTTGAATTTCAGCAGGAACTGAGAGGGAGGCTTCTTCTGAAATCACGAGGGCTGTCTGGGCCAAGGGCAGGGTGTCCTCCTGGATTTCTGCTGAGCTCGACCCCCACGAGGTCTCGGGATGGGCTGTTCACAGAGCCCTGCCCGCCGCCTGCCCCTGCCCGGAGGCCTGGCCCTGGAGCCCACCCACCTCCCTGAGGCCTGTCGTGAGCATCAGGAGCTCCCAGTACAGCATCTGGGGCTGCCTCGGTGCCCTCGTGGGTTTGTTCATGGCGGTGTCCGCCCTGGAACTTGCCACATGCCCACGAGCACTGGGACCCCTCTGTGCTCTCCCTGGTGGCTGTGGTGCTGTCATCCCTGTGTGTGCTGGTGGAATAGCGTGGGCTCCACGGAAAGGCCCTCAGGCGTGGACAGGACAGATGGCAGTGCCCAGCACAGCCAGGTCTCAGAGGATCCAAAGGCGAGCATTGCCCAGGCCGAGGCCGCCCTCCCTGCCTACTGACCTCCCTGCCCACCGCCACACCATCGCTCCTGCCGTGCCCCTCTCTGTGTGTCTGCACCAGGCGTGAAGCCAGTTCTTGTGAGGAAAGCCCTGGCTAGATGTCTGTTCCCCCACCCTCTGCCCCCCCTGGGTGGGAGAATCTTTCCAGGCATCTCCAGAGCACACCCCAGGGGCACGGAAACCCGGCTGCTGACCCCTGACCTCCTGGGGCCTTCAGCACTAATGGCCAGCCCCGCGGGAGGCAGAGGAGCAGGAAGAGCCCCTGGGAGCCGGGTCCTCGAAGACTCCAGGCTATGGCTTACAGAGGAGAAGGGGGCAGAGGAGGAGAGAAGGAGGTGGCTGTGCCAGGAAAGACATGCAGCTCGCGCAGTGACACCAGTCTGGCTCCCCTGAGGACGCCACTCCTGTGGCCTGCGCAGGCATCAGCCGGGGTGCCGGGTCCCCATGGGGACGAGCTGTAGACACAGCTGTCCAGGGCTGGGCAGAGTGGGGCAGTGGCTGGGGATATGCCGGCCCTGCCCAGGCCGCCCCACGGGGGTGTCGTTCCACCTTCCTGTAGTCTCCTTGGCGCGCGTGACCGTGGTTGTGCAGGGAGCGCCTTCTGCTGGTTTTCAGCACTGGAGAAATAAACCAGGGCTCAGAGTCCTTGGCAGCCGCCCCTGGAATGTGTTCAGGTCAGGGGTTGCCTCACTTAACGTGCGCGCCATGGTGGGTTCTGATGAGGATCCCCAGAGGATCTGATGACACCTGCCTGCTGGGCTGGGGGGCTCTGGAATGGGGAGGAGGAGCCCCATTTCCCTTCTCAGAAAGCTCCAGGAGAAATGCATCTGTGAGGACCCACAGAGAGGAGCCCTCGTGTTGGGGGAGCTTGGAGGCTGGGGCTGGAGCGGGCGACTGCTGGCCTCACCCCTCCACACCCAGGGACCACCTTGTCATCCTCAGCACATCTTTTTCGGAAGTCTTCTGGCCCTGGGGGAAGGCACAGATGGAGAGACCTTCCCCAGACCCTGTGGTGACTTAGCGCGGAGCGTGGCACTGAGCCCACCATGGCGTCTTTCCCATCAGGTGATTAACTGCCTGGTTTCACATCCTCCTGAGTATGGGGATGAAATCAGGCCTGTGCGTCAACGCGAAAGGTCAGACATGCGGTGACGCTAACCAGATCCCGGCAGTGAGTGAAAGGGTGGGCAGGTGGAACACGTCTGGTGGCGGGGGCTCGTCGTAGCTCAGCATCCACCCCCGCCTCCCCTGTGGACACTCGACTACAGCAGCCACACCCCCAGAAAGCCCTAGAACCATCCAGGCTGTGCAGACGGGACTTGGCTGTCCTGGGACACAGGCCAGTTTGTGCACACAGGGCTTCACTGAGCCCCGAAGGCGGCCTCCTGGGCTGCCCATGGGGAAGGGGTGGGGGTGGGGTGGGGGAGAGAGGATGAAGATGTGCCCTTGTGTGTGACACCTCTGGCTGTGGGTCCTGTGTGGGGAGGGCAGTGGGTAGAGGACAGAGCAGATGTCCCCTCCTAATGCTGACCTTCACTCCAGCCCCCAGGCTGGGCCATGGCATCTCCCAGGATCTATCCATTCATCACTCAGATGGTAGACATCTCCCAGGCACAGGCAGGGCCAGCAGCATTCTCAGTCCCCTGTGGGAGGGCCTCCAGGGAGCAGTGGCACCTCACAGCCTTCCCTGTGCATAGTTCGAGGACACCGAGTATCTTGCGGGACCTAAGCACAGGGTGCCCTTTGGGATGCGTCTTGGGACAGGCCTTGGGTCTGAGTCCACTCTTGTTTCAGCTTCTTGTCTCAATCAAAAAATGGAGAATGCACTTTCTGAAAAAGAGACTGAGTTTACCCTCACTGCCCAGGCAGTGGAGGCCGCCTCACTCTAGGGCAGGCCACACTGGCACGCTGTGGTTCCCTACTCCTGCTCGAGTTAAAGCCATTTCCTGGTTTTTGCTATTATAAATGATGGAGCTGGGCACAGTGGCTCACACCTGCAATCCCAGCACTTTGGGAGACCAAGGCATGTGGATCACTTGAGCCCAGGAGTTCGAGACCAGCCTGGGCAACATGGCGAAACCAGGTATCTACAAAAAATGTAAACATTAGCTGAGTGTAATGGGCGCACCTGTAGTCCTAGGGAGGCTGAAGTGGGAGGATCGCCTCGGCCCAGGAGGTTGAGGTTGTGCCACTCCATTCCAGCCCAGGTGACAAAGTGAGACCTTGTCTGAAATAAATGACAACACTATAAGAACTTGTGTACATATATCCTTTGTTTTTTTAAAAAAGATTTTGTTGTTAGACATTCCTGGGAGAAATAATTCATGCAAGTAGGCTTACTGTAGCATGTACCATGAACATTCTGTGGTTCTGGGGGGTTTTTTTTTGAGACAGAATCCTGCTGTGTCGCCCAGGCTGGAGTGCAGTGGCACAATCTCGGCTCACTGCAACTTCTGGCTTCTGGGTTCAAGCGATTCTCCTGCCTCAGCCTCCCGAGTAGCTGGGATTACAGGTGCCTGCCACCATGCCTAGCTAATTTTTTGTATTTTTAGTAGAGACAGGGTTTCACTATGTTGGCCAGGCTGGTCTCAAACTCCTGATCTCAGGTGATCCACCTCCGCCTCTCAAAGTGCTGGAATTACAGGCGTGAGCCACCACGCCCGGCCCATTCTGTGGTTCTTGATAGATTTTTGCCAGTTGTTCCTCTAAAGAATTTTACTAATTTATAATTCTATCAGCAACATATGAAAATGCCTAGTTCCTCATAGGCTCGTGAGTATTGAGTTTGTAGGGATTTTATTTTTGCAGGTCAAAGGAGATTTCCTCTGTAGTTTTAGTTTGCATGTCTTTGGCAATTAGGAAAGTTGAACTGGTCTCTGACAGTTATTTGGAATTTGTTTTTTCTCAAGTGCAAGTTACGTCACCATGACCTTTCCTATTTGTCCTGTGAGTCATTGCCCTTTTTTCCTTTTTTTAAGACTTTATTTTTTAGAGCAGTTTTAGGTTCACAGCAAAATTGAGAGGAAGGTACAGAGATTTCCCATATGCCCATTGGAGGTATTTTTAATCTTCTTTTACAAATTCTTTTTTTTGTTTGTTTGTTTTGAGACGGAGTCTCCCTCTCTTGCCCAGGCTGGAGTGCAGCGGCACAATCTTGGCTCACTGCAACCCCTGCCTCCCGGGTTCAAGTGATTCTCCTACCTCAGCCTCCTGAGTAGCTGGAACTACAGGCACCCGCCACCACGCCCAGCTAATTTTTTGTATTTTTAATAGAGACGGGGTTTCACCATGTTGGCCAGGCTGGTCTCGAACTCCTGACCTCAAGTGATCCATCCGCCTCGGCCTCCCAAGATTACAGGCATGAGCCACTTTGCCCGGCCATAGATTCTTGAAGAATATATATATTAACTATTTGCCATTGTGCTCTAAATATTTTCTTGTTTCGTTTGTGTGTCTTTTGATGTTCATTTTCCACACTGTCGTTCATTAGCTAATCTGTGAACACATGGATGCTCCCATTCACCCCTCATCAGTCAGTGACCGTGTGACCTCCGCACAGCTGTAACTGTCCACAGACTCTGTCGTCTCAATTGTGAGAGTCATATGCCCACAAGATTATGTTCTGTGTCTTTGTAGTTGTTCTGTGTTTTGAAATGATATGTATCTTCTTAACACAGTGGATGGACAGAAATGTATTTCCTTCCCACCTCAATTATCCTAACAGAATTTGTTAAATAATGTCGCCAACCTCCATTGTTTTGTGTTGCTTAATTTAACACATAATAGCTTCCTATGTGCATTAGAGTCTATTTGAAATAATTTTTACTTATATTCTGGGGTCGTACCACGCCATTTAAATTACCACAACTTTACAATATTTCCTACAATTTAGAAGGCCTCTCCTACCATGTTTCATTTTCATTATATTTTACATTATGTTTTGCATGCTTTGATATATTTTCTGCCTATTTTTCCAAAAGAACTTAAGAATCATGTTGCTAAATTCCATAAAAAGTCATTGCAGCCCCGACCTCCTGGGCTCAAGCAATCCTCCCACCTCAGCCTCCCAAATAGCTGGAACTACAGGCATGTGCCACCACACCCAGCTAATTTTTATTTTTTTGTAGAGATGAGGTCTCCCTATGTTACCCAGGCAGGTCTTGAATTCTGGGCTAACGCAATCCTCCTGCCTGAGCCTCCCAAAGTGCTGGGATTACAGTTTGATGGGTTGTTACCTGATACTGCTTTTTAGCGAATAGTAGGAAAACTACCATGGACCTTGGGGACCAAGCATGCAGTGCCAAGTGGGGCCCGCCTGCAGAAACCCCGCCGGCTGCGTCCCTCCTTCAGCGCTGTGAGCCTCTGCGGCCTCCCCAGTAAAATGGGTATAGAAAGTGATGAATAAGGAAGCTCCGGATTTTCCTCTTTGTGTTTCCTTAATCAGGTTTTAGGGTTAGGACCACGTTTGCCTAATGGGATAGACATGCTAGCCCACCATTAGAATCAAGGGTGGGAAATAATTTTTTTTTTTTTTTGAGACAGAGTCTCACTGTGTCACCCAGGCTGGAGTCCAGTGGTGTGATCTTGGCTCACTGCAACCTCCACCTCCTGGGTTCAAGTGATCCTCCTGCCTCAGCCTCCTGAGTAGCTGGGACTACAGGCACTCACCACCACGCCTGGCTAATTTTTGTATTTTTGGTAGAAATGGGGTTTCACTGTGTTTCCCAGGCTGGTCTCAAACTCCTGGGCTCAAGTGATCCACCCGCCTCGGCCTCCCAAAGTGCTGGGATTACAGGCATGAGCCACTGCACCGAGCCAGAAATAATTTGTGATGTGAGAATTACTTATTTCTTAGAAGTTTGAATGAATTCATCACTAACACCATCAAACCTCAGTAATTTGGGGGATTTCCTTCTCCAGTTACTTCCTCCACTATTGATTTATTTTGACTTTCTAGCTCTTGTTTTAACGGTTATCTTCATCTGTGTTTATTTGGTCTATGTCCTTCAGATTTCTCAGTTAACTGAAACATGCTGCATAGTATTCCTTTACGTGTTTAATATCCCTTAGACTCAAGCTTATGCCTCCACTTTTGTTTTTGCTGTGTTTCTTCTTTCCCCTTTTTTTCTTTGTTTAGATGCTATTTCATTCATCAAAAGGAACTGAGAGGCCACTGTTTAATGAACCGCACATGCCCAGTTTTGTAGTCTTTAGAAAATAGGCCACACTTTGCATCACCGTGTCTTTTCTCAGTTTTTTTGCTTTAACTTTTACCACTCACTTCCCCCCTTTTCCCTTTCTTAAAATTGTTTCTTTCCTAAGATATGATTTCAATCCTTAGTTCATCATTTTTCTCACTTTTCTTGAAAATAATAAAGACATTTAAGGCTGTGATGTGTTTCTCTAAGGACTTTCCTCATTCATCACTTTCTATAGGTTTTGATATGTCAGTTTTTTTCATTGTATTCTCTTTTTTTTTTTTTGAGACGGAGTCTCACTCTGTCACCCAGAGTGAGGGTGCAGTGGCATGGTCTCGGCTCACTGCAAGCTCCGCCTCCCGGGTTCACGCCATTCTTCTGCCTCAGACTCCTGAGTAGCTGGGACTACAGGCGCCCGCCACCACGCCCGGCTGATTTTTTGTATTTTTAGTAGAGACAGGGTTTCACCGTGTTAGCCAGGATGGTCTCGATCTCCTGACCTCGTGATCCGCCTGCCTCGGCCTCCCAAAGTGCTGGGATTACAGGCGTGAGCCACCGCGCCCAGCCCATTGTATTTTCTTAACAGACAGATATTGTCTTCTTGACTTTCTTCTCAAGACAATTTTTTCCTTAGGTAAGTATATTTTAAAATATACTATTTCTATTTCTGTTTGTTCTTAATCTCTTTTTTTGCCGTAGGGAGGAAATGTAGCCTGAATCATTTCTGCTTTTGTATTTTTATGGAGATTTGATTTGAGACTAGTATATGATGACTTTTTGTGAACATACAATGAATACTTGAAAAAGAAGAAATTATCTGTTTGTTCTATTTAATCCCCACCAAAACAACCATTAATGTTACCTTGTTTTGATCTTCAGCTCCTTTATGTGTTGCTGAATTTCTTATGTAGTTGATAATGAAGTATTTTAATTTTATAATCATATTTTTATCATTTCTACTTCTTTTTTCTCAGAGATATTTGCATATATGTTTTGCTCTGTCTTTATGGCATTTAGATTCCATGTAATTATGCTGCCACCACCCATGCCTCTCATCCTGATACCTCTCCTTATCACATGTAATCATTTTTGCTCTAAATTATTTTTTGCTATATATTAACATTGGAATCCCAGCCTTTCAACTACTTGAAGTTTACTGGTAACTCTTTTTAGTCTTCCTATTTTGTTTTAATGACCTCTCTTGCCCACAGCTTATTGCTGGATTTCATTTTTTCTTCTGGAGAGTGGCAAGCCTTTTAACACAGGAAATTAAGTTGTATTTTTTCAATCTTCAGGCACTCCAATTTTTGTCTTAATTGTTTATCTTTCCATGCTGATTACTTTTCTTTTCCCTCAATTGTTGAAACACCATGTGTTTTTTCTTTCTTTCTTTCTTTTTTTTTTTTTTTTTTTTGAGACAAGCTGGAGTGCAGTGGTGTGATCATGGCTCACTGCAGCCTCAACCTCCTGGGCCCAAGAGATCCTCCCACCTCAGCCTCCCAAGTAGCTGGAACTACAGGCATGCACCACATCATCTGCCTAATTGTTTCTATTTTTTGTAGAGATGGGGTCTCACTGTGTTGCCCAGGCTGGTCTTGAACTCCTGGGCTCAAGCAATCCTCCCATGTTGGCCTCTCAAAGTGTTGGGATTGCAGGTGTGAGCCACCGTGCCCAGCCTGTGTTTTCTCTTCTATTATTACTGAAATATTGGCAAGCTGTTTTTCATTCAACCAGCCATGAAATGTGAAGCAAACAGATGTTCTTATCTTGTACTTATTATCTTACATTGTCCAACCACACACTTTGGCCTCCCCTGTGTGAGATGACAGGAATCTGGGTTTTGGGCTTCCTCTTCTCTCTCTCTCTCTCTCTCTCTTCTCCATCCTTCTCTCCCTCCCCCACTTCTTCCTTCTCCTCAATGATTGCAATTAATGTTCTAAAACCTACTTTTTCCTTTCTGTCTTCTATGTAATTTGGTTTTTAATTTTTACGCTGTTTTTCTGACAGTTGCACTATTTGCATACTTTTATCAGTAATAACCCTTGCTCTGATAGGGCTCTTGTTTACTTATCTTTGCAAATAGGTTGTTAATTCAAGCGTGTCTTATTTCTAGCATCATTCCCTTTTACATGTTACCTTTTAAATTCAGGAGATTATTTCAAGTAGGTCCTAGAAATAAGCCATGTGATTAATACATTCTCAGAATTCAACAATTTCTAAGGAGCTCTCTGCCGTCTTTGCAACGTGAGTGACAGCTTGGCAAGATAATAAATCTCCAAGGAGCAACCTTGTTCTGTGAAGTTCCTGTAGCTGTTGTTCCATTGTCTCTGGGTGTTTGGGATGTCATCAGAGAAGGCAGAAGGGATTGTGATTTATGTATATTTTTAAAATCTGACCTCCTCCTTCCTGGCGTGGTTGCTTGCAGTATTCTTTTTGGTTTAAACATTTTGTGAGAACTTGTTTTGCTGATGGCCTCGTTAAGCCTGCAGAAGCTTTGGTGTGCAGTGCAGTTTCCTCCTCGGACTCCTTTCTCCAGGACCGGACACTGACATTCCCCGATAGCTGAGGTTTCCGGACATGGTTCCTCCGGCACCCTCCTCTGTCCCCTCTGTGCTCCAGTGGAATTATTTTTGCCTTCTTTCACTTCTTTGTCATATCTTGCACTGTTTCCACCTGTACATGTTACATCCTTTTTCCAGATACATTTTTCCAGATAATCTGTTTTTACTTCCTGTAATACAAATTCTGCTTTTTACTCTTTCTAAAGTAGTTTCGGCCGGGTATGGTGGCTCACACCTGTAATCCCAGCACTTTGGGAGGCCAAGGCAGGTGGATCACTTGAGGTCAGGAGTTCGAGACCAGTGTGAGCAACATGGCGAAACCCTGTCTCTACTAAAAATACAAAAATCAGTTGGGCGTGGTGGCACGCACCTGCAGTCCCAGCTACTCGGAGGCTGAGGAAAGAGAATTGCTCTCGAACCCAGGAGGTGGAGGTTGCAGTGAGCCAAGATTGTGCCACTGCACTCCAGCCTGGGCAACAAGCACAAAACTTTGTCTCAAAAAAATAAGTAAAAATAAAAATACTTTCTTTTTTTTTTTTTTTTTTTGAGACAGTCTCACTCTGTCACCCAGGCTGGAGTGCAGTGGCGTGATCTCAGCTCACTGCAACCTCCGCCTCCCAAGTTCACGTGATTCTTGTGCCTCAGCCTCCCTAGAAGCTGGGACTACAGGTGCATGCCATGATGCCCAGCTAATTTTGTGTATTTTTAGTAGAGACAGGATTTCGCCATGTTGCCCAGGCTGGTCTTGAACTCCTGACCTCAAGTGATCAGCCCACCTTGGCCCTCCAAAGTCTTGGGATTACAGGCGTGAGCCACTTCACCCGGCCTAAAGTAGTTTTTAATTAGGATATTGTAATTGAAACTAATTATACTGCAGTGAATTAAAGTTTCCTTTATCCCCAAGCCTAATGGACACATTAACTCACCTCTTTACAGGGAGGCCAGATTTCTGCCATTGTGGGAAGGAGGCAGGAGGAGCCGGGGGCAGTGCTGGGGTGGGAGCTAGGCCAGGGCGAGGCTGGCTGTGGAAGGGCCCTTTGGGCAGCCGCAGGCCATACGTCCTCAGACCTGGGGCAGCCAGGACCACCAGGGAATGTTGCTGACAGGCAGCACCAGCGCCTGAATCCCCCGCCCCAGATGGACCTGGCTAGGGGGTGAGACCCCCCTGCCACCCCTCCATCCCAGAAGCCAGGCGGGGCTGAGGCTCTATGGGTCCCCACCACACTTATTTATTGGCACCTTCATCCTCCTGGTGCACTGTGGCAGTTCCAAGGCCCAGGCTGTCCAGGTGGCTTTTGAACTGTGGAGAGGCCCCTGGACGGCTGGAACCTTCTCCCTTGCTCGGGTGAATGTGGCTCCCCGTGGTGCACAAACACGTTCAAAGACGGAACAAAGGGACACGTGTTCATAGGAGGTGAGACAAAGCGTTGCCAGCCCTGGGGAACAGGAGTGGCCTGTTCCTACTCCTATCTGGTTGTGGTTCTCCTTCGACAAGTTAGGTGAAGGCACCTTGGTAGCAGGGTACCCTTCAGAATCCAGATACCTGATTCAGCTCAGCAGCCATTTGCTGAGCACTTAGCAGGCACCTAGCCAATGGTGCCAGCCACCAAGGGCCCAGCAGGGCAGGACCTCCCCCTCCCTCCTGGAGCCACGGCCCCCCAGCACCATGGCCTCTGGAGCCCCTCACCCTCCCTTGAGGTCAGCCCTATGGTGGCGATTGTAGAGCGAGTCAGGAGCGAGACAGGAGGCCACGTGTTGCCTGCCTGTGTGGGGCTCCCATCCAAAGGCAGGGCAGCGCGAGTCACATGCCCACCCCCTGCTGTGCAAAGGGGTCCTGTGGGGGGGTCATGGGCTCCCATCAGAGAATGGCATGGTGGTGGCCCTCTGAGGGAGTTCTCACCACGCTGCTGCTGTGAGCCAGGGATCACTGAACCCATTTTAAAGGTGAAAACACCGAGGCTCCGTAACTGCCAACTCCTCAAAACCCCCACAGTGAACACCCCACGTTGGGATGTTTCCTGGCCTGGCCTTTCCCCACACTCAGTGTTGCCCTGAGCTCCAAACGAGGTGAGATTGTGGCAGGAGGGCAGGGGTGGCAAGGCTGCTACCCCGATGGAGGCGGCCAGTTGGTGGGATGCCCGAACAGGGACCAGCATGGTGCAGGGCGCCCCGTGGGTGGGCAGGATGGGTCGCTGAAGGCTCGTGAAGCCCGGCAGGGGTCCCTGAAGAGTCTAGTGGCATCGGGGGAGAGTTTCTTGTACAGAGAGGGTGAGTATGCTTTGGGCCGGCTGGCTGGGGCTGAGACCAGGGGTGGATAGGAAGGCAGAGCCCGTCCAGCCTCCAGGCCAGCGTTGCTTCACAAGGACAATGCCCCCAGGGTGTTAGCATCCAAATATAGCTTGCCGGCTGTCATGCTTAATCCTGAGACTCGGACACATGTCACACCCATGTCCCCGTGAGGTGGGAACCCTGGGGCCTGGACAGGCCTGAGTGTGGTCTCAGCCCCATCACACACAGCTGGGCAGCTAGACCTGGGTGTCCCCACAGGGGTGCCAGGACACCTCCCAGGGGTTGTAGTGAGCCCTCAGCACCCGGCCCACAATGGGCACAGCTCAGCGATCTCCCAGCATTCCCTGATCCTCGGACCCTGGGACGCAATGCAACCCCTGCTCAGGCCCAGATGCAGCCAGCATAGGACAGTCTGTGACTTTGCCTGGGACACCCACTGCATTTTAAAACTGCACTTCATTTGGCAGCCCCAGGAGCCAGGGCGCTGCCCAGGCCTGTTCTCAGAGGAGGTATTATGCCCGTCCGCCCGCCTGCTGTGGCTGCTCTGTGGGGAGCCTGACTTGGCAGCTCCCAGGCTGTGTCTGGTGCCAGACCTGGCTGCACATGGAGCCAGGGATGGATTTAGAAACCTCTCGCTTCTCCCAGCATGGGCAGAGGCGCCCAGATTCCTCCCCGGCCTGGGGCCACCATAGCAGGAGAAGGGGAGGGAGGCAGAGGAAGCCAGGCCCAGGGAGGGCCAAGCAGCCCCCAGGCAGACCCCTGGACCGTTCCCCAGTCTGCACTGCCGCCTCAGGGACCTCCCCATCACCTCAGCAAGCGCCCTTTTCTGTAAGGAGGGGGTAAGAACACCTGCCCTCGGGTGATGTGAGAAGCACACTCACGCGGGGAAACAGGTCTTAGTATTTTCTTAGACTTTGTTTTGTTTTGTTTTAAGGCAGGGTCTCACTCTGCCGCCTAGATTGGAATGCAGTTGCATGATCTTAGCTCACTGCAGACTTGACTTCCTGGACTCAAGCAACCCTCTTGACTCAGCCTCCCAAGTAGCCAGGACTATAGGCACACACCACCACTCCTGGCTAACTTTTAAACTTTGTGTAGAGATGGGGGAGTCTCTCTGTGTTGCCCAGACTGGTCTGGAACTCCTGGGCTCAAGCGATCCTCCTGTTTTGGCCTCTCAAAGTGCTGGGGTTGCAGGCGTGAGCCACTGCACCCAGCCTCTTAGACTTTTGGACAGCAGAGGGGCCAGGCCTTTAAATGTCCTGGGGGTGTGATGTGCTGTCCGTGGGGATGGTGGGGTCACCTGCCCCAGCCTCAGTGGGTCCCTCTTTTACATGCCTGCAGCTCACCGGATGCTCCCGTGTGGCACTCAGCTATCATGAGGTGTGCATCCGTCCAGGTGGACCCCAGAGCCCCGCATGCAACCACGGGCCCCGCCTGGGCCTCAGCCTCCATCCCAGGAATGGGAGAACCAGCTTCACTTCAGGCCAGGAAAGAGGGAGACTGAAAGAGCAGATGACATGGGACAGGACAGAGCCTGAGGCCCAGACAGGCCATGAGCGAGGGGAGGTGAGAATAAGGCCACAGGTGGTCCCGTGTCTGCCTTCCCTGCTCAACGTGCAGAGAGGGCTGGCCATTTTCTCCGGCTTCATCAGCATGCTCTACAGTCACTGCGAGTGTTGCAGGAGGAATTGTGGCCTCCTCCACAGCAGCGAGAACACTGAGCCCCGTTTCATCTGTCTTCCTCCTGTTTCCTTGAACCCTCCCAAGATTCTTTCTTTGGTGCGTTATTCATGTTGTTCCTTTTCCTGCAAGAGAGAGGCCTTTGTCCTCCTTGTTCAGCAAGCACCTAGTCAGTGGTAAAGTGCAATATTTAGCTGGTAACAAAGGTGTGGAATGGAATTGGCTTCCATGATTTGGCGAAGTATTTGCAAGAAGCCTATGGTGAGGCTTCTTGTTTACAGATCCACGTGTCTTAGTGGAAACCTCAGAAACACATGCTCTCGTGGATGCTGTCATTCTTCTTTTTTTGTTTGTTTTGGTTTTTTGGGGGGGGGTTTTGTTTTTTGTTTGTTTGTTTGTTTTTTGAGATGGGGTCTCGCTCTTTCTCCCAGGCTGGAGTGCAGTGGTGCAACCTCAGCTCACTGCAACCTCCACCTCCCGAGTTCAAGCCATTCTCCTGCCTCAGCCTCCTGAGTAGATGGGACCACAGGCGTGCACCACCACGCCCAGCTAATTTTTGTATTTTTAGTAGAGACTGGGTTTCACCATGTTGGCCAGGCTGGTCTCAAACTCCTGACCTCAGGTGATCCACCCTCCTCAGCCTCCCACAGTGCTGGGATTGCAGGCGGGAACCACTGTGCCTGGCCAGATGCTGTAATTCTTTGGAAAGGGATGGAGTTGGCATTTCCCCTTATGCTGTTGGGAAAATGGCTTTGCTAAGATGTCAGAAGTCCCTGTTAATACAACTTAAATAGATAAACCATAGTCAGAGCCTGGGGAAAATTCCTGTTTAACATATTCATTTGCATGCAGTGATGACACTTATTTCAAAGCATTCCTGTCTCAGCAATGCAGTAGGTCAAATGTGTAGGCATCCCTGGGCTGGCACAGGTACATAGGACTTCTAATGCTTGGCCTTTTCCCTAGTTTGATTGTACTCTCTGACCAGCCTGATTTAGGAAGGGTTTGATAGTACAATATCCGTCTTTCCCTCACGCGTGCTGCCAGTCCCAGGGGGATGGGAGCAGCCACTCACCCGTAGGAGTTCCAGGTGTGCACAGCTGGCTCAGAGCCTGCTGGCCCAGCACACATTTCCCAGGCCAGCACAGTGTGCTGAAGTGCTTTTCATCAAACAGTTAACAAGACTTCCTTATACATTTCCCCAGTGTCAAGAAAAACAAAAGGTGCCCAGTTCTCTGCTGCCTCCAGCAGTGCTGGGCAGAAGTGAGACAGGAAGCCAGGCTCCCGAGCTCACACACGCAGACGTAGGTGGGAAGCTACACTGCGTGGGCTTTCACATCCCCAGGGCCCGGGCTGAGGCCTCTTAAAGACAAGCTGGCCCTGTGCTTGCTCCACACCTGACGCACGCCAGGCCAGGCCACAGCGTGGCTCTCTGTCAACAGAGGAAGTGGCGCAGTAAGTGGCCAGCCCCTCCCTGCTTTGGAAAGGTCCCGCTATTCACAGAATCCTGGGTGTGAGCCCTGACACCAAAGGCAGAAACCACAAGGGAGAAGCCAGCCCTGGCTGCCTAAATGCGAAATAAGCCTGTTGCTGGCTGCCACGAAAATGCCACTGTGTTCCAGTCCTAAATGGGGTGCATGCTATTGGTTTGAGACAGTGATTTTTTTTTTTTCTTTGAGACTGGGTCACACTCTGTCACCCATGCTGGAGTGCAGTGGCATGATCTCCGCTCGCTGCAACCTCCGCCTCCCGGGTTCAAGCAATTCTCCTGCCTCAGCCTCCTGAGTAGCTGGGACTACAGGCACACGCTGCCACACCCAGCTAATTTTTTGTATTTTAGTAGAGATGGGGTTTCACCGTGTTGCCCAGGCTGGTCGCGAACTCCTGACCTCAGGTGACCCGCCCGCCTCGGCCTCCCAAAGTGCTGAGATTACAGGCGTGAGCCACTGCACCTGGCCGAGAGAGAGATTTTTATCACATGAAGAAAATAGCTTCTTTCTGTGTTTTCAAGGTTGTGGCTTTTTTAAAATCAGAAAAGAATATTGAGTTTTCTCAAATGCCTTCTCAATGCGTATTAAAATGACGGTACATTTTTTTCCCATGGTGTATTAAAGTGTGATTTTGTAGTAACAGGTTTAAAGCATTCCTGAAATTAGCCCTCCTTTAAATAAAATATGCTATGTGGCTAGATGAAGTTTGTTAGCATTGGGTAGGGGACTTGAGTGTCTATTTATAGGTGGAAGCGAAGGGCATCTGTTCCGTCCGTGTGCGCATGCGTTGAGACGCATGTCATGCCATCTCAAGAGGCTTGGGATCAGGGTTTGTTAACTTTTTTAAATGAACTGGGAAGCTGCACATCTTTTTCTTTCACTTTAAGAATTTGCAGTGGCTCACGCCTCCCACACCTGTAATCCCAGCACTTTGGAAGGCCGAGGTGGGAGGATCGCTTGAGCCCAGGAGTTTGAGACCAGCCTGAGCAACATAGTGAGAACCTGTCTCAATTAAAAAGAAAAAAAAAGAATTTGAAAGAACTGCCTGGGATCTAGTGCCTTTTGAAACAGCAATTCTTTAATAACATTTGCCATTTTTCTTCTTGGAATTCCTCCTTTTTAAGTCGATATTTGATAGTTTATAATTTAACCAAAAAGTATCCCAATTCACTGAGGATTTTCCAATTTTTAACAAACCTTTTTTACGTATTAATCTCTTATACTTCTTCTTTTTCTTTTCTGTTTTTTGTTTTTTGTTTATTTGTTTGTTTGTTTAGGACAGTGTCTGGCTCTGTCGCCCAGGCTGGAGTGCAGTGGCACGATCTCGACTCACTGCAACCTCTGCCTCCTGGGTTCACGGCATTCTCGTGCCTCAGCCACTCAAGTTAACTGGGACTACAGGTGTGTGCCACCATGCCTGGCTAATTTTGATATTTTCAGCAGAGATGGGGTTTCGCCATGCTGCCCCGGCTGGTCTTGAACTCCTGAGCTCAAGTGATCTGCCCACCTCGGCCTCCCAAAGTGGTGGTATTACAGGCGTGAGCCACCGCACCTGGCCTATATTGCTTCTAATAATTATTGATGGACAAATTATGTGCCATTTGGAGAGATTTATTTTGTTCTTTTTAAAAAATATCTTGCTTTGGATACTTATTTTGTTTATTTTCATTTATTTTTGTTTAATAAAATAATTTATAACTATTAATTTTTCTCAGAATTCACTTTTGCCCCATTCCATTCATTTGTACATATAGTATTGCCGATCTTGTTCTCTTAATATTTTGTAATTGAATTTTTAAATTCTCCTGTGACTTCGAAATTATATAAATGATCTTTCATTTCTAGGAATTCCATTTTTTTAAATTTATCCTTTTTTTAAAACTAATTTTTAGTTTTCAGTATTGTAGCCTGAGAATATTGACTTATGATTTATACTCTGGGGATTTGATGAGTCTCTTTTTGCCGCCTAACACAGACCCAGGGGCCTTTGAAAAGCCGGCTGAGTCTCTGTAGAATAGAACCTTTATCAGACAGTCACTGCATCGGTTTATTAACATTATTTTTCATAATCACTTTATGCTACTGTTTATCTACCTAGCCTTGGGAGGTGTGTTTAAGTCTCCCACGTGTCTTGCGTTCCTGGCAGCTGCGGGCTGTCTGTACGCTGTGGCGCAGTGCCAGCTGTCCTGGGTGGAGCATCCCCATCAGCCCCACTGATGGCCCTTCTCACCGGCCTGGGCCAGGTCTGCTGGGAAGCCCACACCCCTGCTCACCTTCTGTCTGCGTCTCCTGGGTACATCCCTCTCTCGCTGTCTTCCTTCAGGCTTTGTTTCACTTTGCCTTGGAGGTGGCCACTGTGACCAGAGTAAGGGGGATTTTTGCTCTTACCCTCCCTGCCCCGGTGGTGTCTGCAGTCTGGTTGTTGAGACCAACAGTGGGTGAATAATCACATGAGTTCATGGACAGCCACAAAGTAACACCCATCTATGAAGGAAAACCCCACTTTGCTGGGGAAGCCAAATATGATTGAAGCATCCAGAAAAGGCCTCTTTGAGGACGTGACATTTAAGCGAAGGGCGAGCATAGGGTGGCCTTGTGAAGATGAGGCTAAGAGCTTTCCAGTTAAAAGGAACAGCATGTGCAAAGGTCCTGAGGCAGAACACTGGCCACTGTGGCTAGAATGTGGCCAGCAGGAGGGAGGGGACCCAGTTGAGTGACCCACACAGAAGCTTCTGAATCTGGGACAGGTGTAATGGTGAGCACTGAAGGCGTGAAGCAGGGGTGGGAAGGTGTGGACGGTGGGCTTGGGCAGCGGCCAGGGTGTGGGATGTGGCCTGGAGAGCCCGTGGTAGCTAAGCCCAGCATGCAGAGTGGAGGGCGGTGGAGGGGTTTGATGGCTGCCCCTGACTAAACTGGGGGAGGCAGAAGAAGGGGTAGATAGATGCCAAGCCCCCACATACTCACTACAGAAAAGTGGAAGCTGGTATGTAAGTTGTAATAACCCATCCACCAGGACGAGTCACTTCTGCCCCATCCTGGGCACAGTGATGGGGCCTCAGGAGGGGAGGGCACCCTTGAGGGAAAGGGGAGCCATGATAACTCAGGGGATAGGCATGGCATGGGGGCCCTGAGTCACATGTGTTCACAGCCAGAAGTGAACAGCCCAGGCTTCAGGTGGAGGAGGGAGAATGGGGAACTCTCAGGTGCAGCCCAAGGCCGAGAGAGAAGGAGCACTTCGCGGGGGATGCCTCTCCTCCGGGGGCTGGTAAGGGCCCGGGGTCTTCAGTGAGTGAGGATGCCCCACTGCCACCCGGAGCAAGGCTGGAGTGAGGATGAGGTGGGGGCCTGGAGCAAGGGCGAGGTGGAAGAGGGAGGGGTAAGGAGGGATCGGGAGGAGGAGGAGGGGCTGGGAGGAGGAGGGAGGGATCAGGGGGTGGAGGAGGGGCTGGGAGGAGGAGGGAGAGGCCAGGAGGAGAGAGGGATCAGGAGGAAGAGGAGGGGCCAGAAGGACAGGGAGATGGAGGAGGGAACAGGAGGACCAGGAGGACGCAGAGGTCTCCGCAGAGGGGGTGGGGGGAACACAGCGAGGAGGAAAGTGGGGTCCTGCCCCCAGGGCCCACCCCGCACCCCCACTCACCCTTCCACAGAGCCCCTTCCTGCCTCAGAGTTGGGTCCCGCGGGGCCCCCAGTTCCACGCAGGAGGCCACTGAGACTGGAGAGGCCCAACGCCCCGTCCCCGCTCCCTGTCTGCCCTGCACGCCTCCCCCATGAGCCGCTGTCACCAGAGGGTCCCAGCCCTGCCTGCACATCAGAGCCCTCTGGTGGGAAGACCCAGGCTGCCCCAGACACCAGGCACGGTGGCTGCAGATGCAGTGACGCCAACATCTAGTTTCCTGTGAGCCTTCCTGCTAAAATGAGCTGTTAAATATAATTATAAAAAGTATGTATGCTCAAGGTAGAAAACCCAAAAAAGTTGAGAGAAAAGTCCTTCGTGTTATTACCATTCTGGTGGGGATCACTCCTGTGACATTCTGCTGTGTCCCCCTCCCATGTGGACCATTTTACCCCAATCCAGGCTGTTTATGGCACCTGGTCTAACCTGCTGCTGCTTTTCAAAACTTTATTTATTTATTTAGCAGAGAGACTGGGTCTCACTAGGTTGCCCAGGCTGGTCTTGAACTCCTGGCCTCAAGCGATCCTCCTGCCTCAGCCTCCCAAAGTGCTAGGATCACAGGCATGAGAGCTGTTCTTCTGCCCAGCTTTAGAACATAAATGTTTTTCCACATCTTAAAATTTTCTTCCTAAATATAATTTTAACAGCTACATAATGGAGCCACTCATAAACAATTTCTGTGACCGCTGTCCTGTTGTTTGCTGTTTTTCATAATTATAAATCTGCAGTGGACACCTTCTTACATCACTGTTATCTATATTTCACATTATTAATTTAGGATAATTCCCAGTAATGCAATTACGGGGTCAAGAGGCATCCGTGAGTTTGAGATTATTGATACATATTGCCAAATTGTGTTTCAGAAAAATTGTACCAGTTTATCTTCCCTGAGGATTGCTATGAGTGCCTGCCTCAGTATCCTACACCTTCACTAGCATTCAGCATTATTTTCTTTTTTTTTGAGACAGGGTCTTATTCTGTTGCCCAGGCTGGAGTGCAGTGGCAGGAACATAGCTCACTGCAGCCTCAATCTCCCACCTCCCTGGGCTCATGTGATCCTCTGACCTAAGCCTCCCAACTAGCTGGGACTACAGGTGCATCCCAGCACTGGCAAATGTTTGTTGTTGTTGTTTCTTTAAGACAGAGTCTCGCTCTGTCACCCAGGCTGGAGTGCAGTGGTGCGATCTCCGCTCGCTGCAACCTCCACCTCCCAGGTCCACGCCATTCTCCTGCCTTAGCCTCCCGAGTAGCTGGGACTACAGGCACCCGCCACCACGCCCGGCTAATTTTTTGTATTTTTGGTAGAGTTGGGGTTTCACTGTGTTAGCCATTTTGTATTTTTTTGTAGAGACAAGGTCTCACTATGTTTCCCAGGCTGCTCTCAAACTCCTAGGCTCAAGCAATCCTCCGGCCTAGGCCTCCCCCAGCGTTGGGTTTACACGTGTGAGCCACCACGCCCAGCCTAGCATTCTCCTTTTTAAGAGGAGTGCCATCTGGATGTTTGGTCTTTCATTTCACATGCTTAGTAGTCATTTGTATTTCTAGAAGAAATATTGGGCCGGGCTCAGTGGCTCACGCCTGTAATCCCAGCACTTTGGGAGTCTGAGGCGGGCGGATCACGAGGTCGGGAGATCAAGACCATCCTGGCTAACACGGTGAAACCCCGTCTCTACTAAAAATACAAAAAAAAAAAATAGCCAGGGCGTGGTGGCGGGCACCTGTAGTCCCAGCTACTCGGGAGGCTGAGGCAGGAGAATGGCATGAACCCAGGAAGTGGGGCTTGCAGTGAGCTGAGATCATGCCACTGGACTCCATCCTGGGCAACAGAGCAAGACTCTGTCTCAAAAATAGAATAAAAATCAAAATAAATAAATAAATGAAAGTTAGCCAGGTGTGGTGGTGCACGCCTGTAATCCCAGCTATTCTGGAGGGTGAGGCAAGAGGATCACCTGAGCCCGGGAGGCAGAGGTTGCAGTGAGCCAAGATCGTGCCACTGCACTCCAGCCCGAGCAACAGAGCAAAACGCTGTCTAAAATAATAAATAAATTTTAAAAAGCGAATATAAAGCCAAAAGTGCTTTCCCCTCAGATTTTCTGACAATTTAGACACACATTGCCTGGTCACCTTTTGCTTAAGTATAAACTCAAAAAGGACAAGAAATGTATACGTCATGAGCCAGTCAAGTGAGGACCTGTATCTTTATCTTAATAGGAGACTAAGACTTGAACAAGCGAATGAGGTCTCCAGGATCACTCTGGGTAAGAGGTGGAGCTGGGATTTGAACCCAGGTCTATGGGTGACAGGGCCCAGGCTCAGATATTTCATATTAGGGCCAGCCGGGGGTAGCTGGGGGACAACTGCAACCCAGGGTGTCCCCAGAGTAGATGACTCACCTGTGAGCATCAGTGATCACACTTTCTTACCAGCAAGTAACCATGAACAGTGGTGTCGGGCCTTGACTTGGGACCCAGATATGCTGGAAACTCCCACCATAGGATTCAGGAACATTCCAAGCAAAGTTTGCTTCGAGCCCCAGAATAGAAGGTCCTAGCCAAAAAAGGATAATTACTCAGTGACACGAGAACTGAAACTTTAGGGAGTTAAAGCCAGGGTGTATTTTTCATGACTATTTTGGGTCCTTCAGTCCGTTCTGTGTTCTTTTGGGCAGAAGAATGTCTGTACTCTGAGGGGAATTCTTTTATCACATCCTCACTGACGGAGCTCACAACATTTATTGAAAGTTTCAGCTGTCACTTCTGTATAAATAAACAGGATGAAGTGGGCAGCCGACTGCACATTAGAGATATTTTTAGACGTGGGTGGCACTGCAATCCAGAAGGCTGACATATCAAGGAGAGAGTGCCTGATCCCAGAATAGCCCACCCACACACGGCCCTATCTGCCTCAGCGTGGCCTCGGCGTGGGTTCTGTGGTGGCGTGGCTTCCTGCATCCGCTCCTTCCTGTTCTGTTTGGCCAGTGCAGAGATGGCAATAGCTCCTCCTAAAAATGCCACAGCTCCGCTCCTCAGAGGACAGGGGTCAGTGTTCAGGATCATGTGTCACTGGATCTGCAGAACACCAAAAACTAAACTGCCTGCGGGTTTGGTGGGTCTGAGATATGGGAGAGGATCATCATTCAAAGCAGGCTTCATTGGTCAGATGCAGTGGCTCACGCCTGTAATCCCAGCACTTTGGGAAGCCAAGGAGGGTAGATCACCTGAGGTCAGGAGTTCGAGACCAGCCTGGCCAACATAGTGAAACCCCATCTCTACTAAAAATACAAAAATTAGCCAGGCATGGTGGACCATGTCTGTAGTCCCAGCTACTTAGGAGGCTGAGGCAGGAGAATCGCTTGAACCTGGGAAGCGGAGGTTGCAGTGAGCTGAGATTGTACCACTGCACTCCAGCCTGGGCAACAGAGCAAGACTCTGTCTCAAAAAAAAAAAAAAAAAAAAGGCAGCATTCTCACTGTTTAGCCCTGTAGTTGAGAAGGCTGGACTTGGTTTTCAGCAACAATAACACGTCTAACATTTACCATGGACCGGCCACATAACGTGCACTCATTCGTTTTTCCCCCACGATGAGACTCAAACCGTCACGACTTCATGTGGCTTTTTCCACTTCTGTTTTCTTCTTGAAACATGAGTCCTTGTTCACCTGGAGAGACCACACACCCCAATGCCTACAGGCACGGCACACTCTCTGCTGCCTCTCCCTCCTCATGCCTCATCTACTAGGCCTCTTGGATGGGCTAAGGGAGGCCCTGCACACTCAGGGCAGTGACCTAGAGGGCAGCCAGGAAGGAAAAACAGTGACCGTACGATAGGGGCGGGGGTAGAGGGGTGCTGGGATGCCGGAGAGGCCCCTACTTTTTCTGTATAGCCTCTTAAAGCCCCCAGGGGTCTCCTCACATTTAATTTATGGCCTCTGATCCATTTACTCACTTTCTAGATTAAATATAAGGAAAAGTACCCTTCTATTGTCTTCATTTTCACTGTTTTTGGAGCCCTTCATCTATTTATGTGGATCTCAAACTCTTTCTTATCACTGAAGAACTTTCTTTGACATTTCTTGTAGCACAGGTCTGCTGGCAATGAATTCTCTCAGCTGCTTTTTTCTCAAAAGGTTCTTATATCAACCTCTTTTTTTTTTTTTTTTTTTTTTTTAAAGACAGTCTTGCTCTGTCACCCAGGCTGGAGTGCAATGGCGTGATCTCAACTCACTGCAACCTCCGCCTCCCAGGTTCAAGTAATTCTCCTGCCTCAGCCTCCCGAGTAGCTGGGATTACAGGCATCTGCCACCATGCCCAGCTAATTTTTGTATTTTTAGTAGAGATGAGGTTTCACCATGTTAGCCAGGCTGGTCTCGAACTCCTGACCTCAAGTGATCCGCCTGCCTTGGCCTCCCAAAGTGCTGGAATCACAGGTGTGAGCCAATGTGCCCAGCCTCAACCTCATTTTCAAAAGGTATTTTTTTCTAGGTATAGAATTCCAGGCTGACAAATGTGTTTCCCCTCCCCGCAACCTCTAATACTTTCAAGATGTTGCCCATTGTCTTCCCACATGACAAGCCTCTGATAAGAAATTAAGAAATCTGCTGTAACTCACTGTTCTTCTGTATGTCTTTTTTCCTCTGACCTCAAGATTTTTTCCTTTTTCTTTGGTGCTCAGCAGTTGGAGTTTGATGTGTCTATTTGGTTGTTTGCTGTTGTAGCTGCTTTGTTTTCTGTCCTGCTTGAGGTTCTCCAAGCTTCTTGGATCTGCGATTTTATGTCTTTCATTATTTTTTTAAAAGCCTGAGCCATTATCTCTTCAAATATTTCTTCTGCTCCATTCCCTCTCCTCTTTCTGGGACTCTCACATTATGAGTTGAGGTTGATGTCATTTATAGGATTGTCATGTTACACAGTTCTTGGATGCTCTGGTTTTCCCTCACTTTTTTTTCTCTTTGTGTTCCAGTTTGGTTAATTTCTACTGACATCTTCAATTTCTCTCTTTCCTCAGTTTTCGTGTCTGCTGATGGGCCCATTGAAGGAATTCTCTCTGATGCCATATCTTTTTATTTCTAGCAACTGTCTTTGACTTTGAGTTTTCACTTCTCTGCTTAAATTCTCCATCTGTTCATGCATATTGTCTGCCATTTCCACTAGACCCGTTGTCATACTAGCCATTCTAACATAACTGTCTGATAGTTACAACATCTAGGTCGTCTCTGAGTCTAACTCCATTCATTGTTTTGCCTCTTGACAATGGGTTGGTTGTTTTTTGTTGCTTCTGAACAAAAAATATATAATTTTTATTGAATACTGAACATTCATGTATAGAACAGAGGTGACTACGGTCAATAGTATTTACATATGGAAATGGGTAATCCTCTTCTGTCAGACCGTTAGTGTGGGATTTGAGTCAATCTTGTTAGGAATTGAGCTGGGTTTGGGATTTGTCATTGTTATGGTTATCTTCAATGTACCATAGGCCTCAAGTACCTCTAGCAATGAGCTGTCATTGCCTTGTGCCCAGGGTTGGGACTAGGGCACTGGAGGAGATTCCTCAGTGTGGTGCCCCACCCTCTGCTTTCAGCTTTCTCTTGCCTGCCTGTGCTGCAGCATGGATCTTACCCCACTTTCTCTCGGCAGTAGACAGCTGCTGCTTGTTATTCTACCAAGGTTATGTTCAAGGCTTGGGGTGGGTTCTCTGTGTACTGGTCCAGCCTCAGTTTAGACAGGCCCTTCCCTGTGCCCTTCACCCCAGCATTCCTACCCCTCTTCCCTGTGGCAAACTCTGTCGGGGTCTTGGGTGTGACTGTCCTGTCCCTTCCCCAGTGAGAAGAGACCTCTGGTGGTGGTGGTGGTGGTGGTGGTGGTGTTTTTGAGACAGAGTCTTGCTCTGTCACCCAGGCTAGAGTGCAGTGGCATGATCTCGGCATGATCTCGGCTCACTGCAACCTCCACCTCCTGGGTTCAAGCGATTCTCTTGCCTCAGACTCCCTCGTAGCTGGGATTACAGGTGCCCGCCACTGTGCCTGGCTAATTTTTGTATTTTTAGTAGAGATAGGGTTTCACCATCTTGGCCAGGCTGGTCTTGAACTCCTGACCTTGTGATCCACCCGCCTCAGCCTCCCAAAGTGCTGGGATTACAGGTGTTAAGCCACCACACCCAGCCAAGGCCTCTGTTTTCTATGGTGCAGGATCGTAGGCCAGGATGGTTTCCTGGTGCCCTTCCAAGGAAAAAGAGTTCCTTCCTATCCTTCCCCTAGCCATGGTGTGTCTTTGTCTGTGCCCTGGGGGTGACAGGCTGTGCTGTTCCTCCCTCAGCAGCCTAAGGCATCTGCTTCCCAGGAGAGAAGAGTCTGGGATGGTGGAAAGGCCTTTGAGCCTGTTCCTACCCTGGCTGCAGCCCTGGTGGCACAACTTCCACAGCAAGCCTGGCATCACACTGGCATCATGGATACGGGGGTGAAGGGGACTCAGCACCTGCCCTAGAGGCACTCAGGCTGCCCCCATGGGGCAAGGGCTCATTCAAGGCTCTCTGGCTTACGGATGCCCACTGTGGCCTCAACCCCCAGTGAGTGCAACTTGGACCCAGACAAGGAAGTGTCCAAGCTGTGGCCAGATCTGGCCACCGAGGGCGAGGGACAGTGGTGAGGTGTGAGACCCGTGCAGTCACACCCTGGCCCTCTCACCTGGCAGCCCTCCAGCCTTCCCAAACCTCCATTTCCCTGTCTACAAAACAATGGGTAACAGCGGTCCCCGAGCATGAGCGAGCTCACACACAGGCCTTGCCGAGCCTGTGCCTGTCATGCAGGGGTACCCAGTGGACCTTCATGATTGCAGCAGTTATCATGGAATGGTGACAACAGTGAATGCCACCAAGACCCCTTCAGGCCATCAGTCCCCAAGAACAGGCTCTGAGCCCCATGAAACGCCAGAGGGGCCTTTCTTCCTGAGTCTCAGGGCTGTTCTGTGAAGCAGGAGGTCACAGGGGGTTGGAGGGAATGCAGGGCTGGAGGCAGAAGGAGCCGGCGTGGTCTGGGCTCTACCCACGGCCAGTGATGTCTCAGAGCCTCAGTTTCCTCTGCTGCAAGAGGCACTTGACACCCACGTCCTGGGTTGGAAGATGACACAGAAAAGCACCGATGGCTGGGTCCACTTGGGTTTTGTCCACTTCATTTCAAAGGGCATCCTGTGGCCTACAAACCCACATCTATGGAGAAAGTTGTTCAGAAACAGATGGCGTTTGCTCTCCCCAGAGAGCCCTGGGGAGCAGAGTCCTGAGAGCACCTAAGGGGCAGGGTGGGAATGAGCTCACCCGCTGTGGCTTCGAGGGTTAAAATTCCTGGAGCAGAGGGGACTCCGCGATGGCTTCTCTCCAAGCCAAGCCCAAGGAACACCCCAATGGCACACCCTCTGCCCGTGCCGCCCAGGCCCCTGGCTCGGCACGGCCACCTCCACTCCCTTCCTTCTAGCCTGGTGGCAGCCATACCTGTGGGTAAAGGCACCTGCAGCCGTGGCAGGATAGGGTCAGAGGCCCTGTGGTGAAGTCCATATGGGGTCACACGTACCCGGTCACACACACAGAATAACACAGTCACACGTGCACACACAGGTTCACACACACAGAATAACACAGTTACACCCACACACAGGGACACACACAGAATAACAGTTACACCCACACACAGGGACACACACAGAATAACACAGTCACACACCCACAGACAATAACAAGTTACGCTCACACACAGGGACACACATACAGAGAATAACACAGTCACACACACACACAATCACACACAGAGAATAACACAGTCACACACACACACAGAGTAACACAGTGTTGCACAGTCACACATAGAATGTCACACACTCAGAGAATAACAGTCACACACAGAGAATAACAGTCACACCCACACACAGTCACACACAGAATAACACAATTACATATACATAGTCACACACACAGTAACACACAGAATAACAGTCACACACACAGAATAACAGTTACACAGTCACACAGAATAACACAGTCACACAGTCACACACAGAATAACAGTCACACAGAATAACACAGCTATACACACACAGTCACACACAGGGAATAACAGCCACTCACAGATAACAGTTACACAGTCACATAGTCACACACAGAGAATAACAGTAACACACAGTCACACAGAAAATAGTCACACACACAGTCACACACAAAATAACAGTCACACAATGTCACACACAGTCACAAAGAGAATAATAGTCACACAGTCACATGCAGAATAACACAGTTACAGCCACACACAGAGAATAACAGTCACACACAGTCACACACACAGAATAACACAGTCATCCACACAGAGTCACACACAGAATAACAGTCACACACACAGAGTCACACACAGTGAATAATAGTCACATACACAGTCACACAGAAAATAGTCACACACACGGTCACACAGAGAATAACACTGTCACACATTGAATAACAGTCACACACAGTCGCACACAGAATAACAGTTACACATAGTCACACACAGTCACACACAAAGAATAACAGTTACAGTCACATACAGAATAACAGTCACACACAGACGCGACACCAGCCTGCGACCTTGCCCAGGGTGGCAGAAGGAGCTGGTGGCAGAGGAGCTGGTGGCAGAGGTTCGGGCCTTATTTGGCCACCCAGCCTGGCTTGTCCTCCTGGTGCAGACAGAGCTGCGAGGGGCCCCACGGCCACGCCAGGGCTTCCTGCACCACGGGCCGCCATGCAGGTCGCCTTGGAGTCCCCTTGGAGCCATCGGGCCCCTGCCCTCCTGGATCCAGGGCCACTGCCTCGGCGTCGGGGCTTCTCCGAGCCAAGCTTCAGGGCTGCATGAGGGGCCACGGTGCAGCAGCCCGGGCTGGGGTCCCGCGTTGGATCCCCCGCCTGCCCAGGGTCTTACCACCTCCTCTTCCATCCGCAGGAGCTACAGGGAGCTGGCCGACTGCACCTGGCACATGGCGGAGAAGCTGGGCTGCTTCTGGCCCAATGCAGAGGTGGACAGGTTCTTCCTGGCAGTGCATGGCCGCTACTTCAGGAGCTGCCCCATCTCAGGCAGGGCCGTGCGGGACCCGCCCGGCAGCATCCTCTACCCCTTCATCGTGGTCCCCATCACGGTGACCCTGCTGGTGACGGCACTGGTGGTCTGGCAGAGCAAGCGCACTGAGGGCATTGTGTAGGCGGGGCCCAGGCTGCCCGCGGGTGCACCCAGGCTGCAGGGTGAGGCCAGGCAGGCCTGGGTAGGGGCAGCTTCTGGAGCCTTGGGACAGAGCAGGCCCACAATGCCCCCCTTCTTCCAGCCAAGAAGAGCTCACAGGAGTCCAGAGTAGCCGAGGCTCTGGTATTAACCTGGAAGCCCCCCTGGCTGGAGGCCACCGCCACCCTAGGAAGGGGGCAGGGACGTGACCTTGACTTACCTCTGGAAAGGGTCCCAGCCTAGACTGCTTACCCCATAGCCACATTTGTGGATGAGTGGTTTGTGATTAAAAGGGATGTTCTTGAACTTGGAAAGACTCATTATCTCTGGGTACCCATCACTGGGAGAAGGGTGGAAACCCAGGCCCTGCGGACTCTCTTTCCTCTAACAGGAGGAATCAGGGGCCTTTGCTCGGGGGTGGCATTGGAGCCAGTGCTGAGTGCACTGAGGTGCTCCTGGGGATTCTGGGGCCCTTGCTGCCCCCCGGCGACACAGTCCAGACCAGGGCTGGACACACTGAGCTCACAGACCAGGAAGGGCTGGGACCCTCCCCACAGATACCTGGGGCCTTGGGTGCAGGCTCTCTTCTTGTCTGTCCCCGAGGCATCACCGGGCTTGGCCCTCTGCCCGTCACCTCCCTGCTCTCCATCCATGCTTCTGCCCACGCCCCTACCTGCAGCTTCCAGAAGCCTCTGGCTCCCCAAAGGAGCCCCTCCACGGTCCCTCCGGGGTGTCCCCTGAGTTCAGACCCCTCCTCTCGGGTCCCTGCAGCCCCCAGGACCTGTCCCTTCTCCAGTGACTGAGAAGAGTGTCCACTCCCCCATCACCTTCAGCTTGTCCTCTCCCTCTGCCCCACAGGACAGCCCCATCCAAACACGGCAGCCGGTGCCGTGGCCTTGTAGGTTCAGCTGTAGCCCACCACAGCCACGTGGGGCCACCCACCGCCCAGGCTGGGCTGAGCCCACCAGACCCCAGGCAGCCCATCACAGCAGCCTCCCCCAACAGAGCCCCTGAGCCTCCTCCTGGGTGTTGCGGTCCCCACCCCACGCCCACAAGGTGCACCCATCACGGGCAGTCCCCACCTCCCCACCCAGCCAGTCCCAAGAGGCATCCCCAGCCTAAGAGACCAGAAGGAGCCCCGAGTGGCTTCTCGGCTTCTCCAGCGGAACCGTGGCTGTGGTGTGGGCCCGTTTTCCCAAGAGGAGCAGGCGTGGCTGCACCTTACACTGGGTCAGGAGAGGAGCCCAGGGTCTACTGACAGTGGGCGGTGGCCTCAGGGACTGATCCTAGTCTCTGTCTTGTTGGGAACCGCCGGGACTCCACTGTCCGTGACCCAGTCTCAGCCTTGGGCCCTCAGTGAGGGTCTGGTCAGTCTGCTACGCCAGGCCCCAGCTTCCTCCGCTTCTAGGATGTCACCACCTGTGAGTGGAGAAGCCGAGGGTGCTCTGGGGCCAGTGGCTTTGGGCCATAAGGAAATAATAAGAATGACAACAGCAGTAGCGTTTGCGTGAGCCGGGCACTGCGCTGTGAACTTGTGCTCATAAAACTCCCAGAGAAGCCCCTTGAGGGAGAGCCTGTCGTTGTGCCCATTTCACAGAGGAGGAAAAGAGAGTTCAAGTCACTTGCCCGAGTTACTTCAATAATGTGTCCAAGAAGATTCCTTGAGAGACTCCAATACACAGGACAGATGAAGGCGAAGAGGGGCCAGGATGCTGCCTCCCCCTTCTCTCCTCTGTTCCCCCCTCAGCTCCTCCCCGACCTGCCCCCTGGGCCACACTGGGGTCCAGGCCTCACCCCTGTGTTCACAAGCTGGCCTTTCCTGAGAGGCCCCAGTGAGGGCGAGGAGACGGGAGGTGGGAGCTTCTCACACGATTTCGACCTGCGATACCGACGGCATCTCTCAGACAACCTGCAGCCGGGCCAACCTGGGTTGGGGGGCTGTGCTGGGACCTAAGTCAGGGACCACCGGAGGAGGTAGCCCTTGAGCCGCCCTGGAGCCCGGGCCATGGCTGGGTCGGCCGGCTAGGCAGGCGTGGGAGCTTGGGATGGAGTCCTCCTGCAGGGGACTGGGGAAAAGAGGGATTCACTGAAAATTACCACCAAAACAGCGCCCACGGGGATGGCCCACAGGTCCACTCCGGGAACATTATCAGTGAGGCCAGGCTGGGGCTGTCCTCTTACCAGTAAGCATTTGTCACCTTAGTTGACAATGCTTTTTAAGACACTGTCTAGTCCACACCACTCACTCCGCCATCTCCACTTCCAGAAATCTCACCCCTCCCTGGGATCCAGGGACCCCTGAGCCCTCAGCCAGCTCTTCCTCCATCTGCCTCCTTTCCTAAGGGCCCAGTTGTAACCCACCTGCACTCATGACACAAAGTGGTTATGAGAGCTGGAAGAAAATGGGACAATTGTCTCGGCTCATCCCCCACTTCTCCCCTAGAAAGCCAGGGAGTCCTGAGGACCCTAGTGGCTAGCCCACGGTCACACCACCAGTGGCAGAGCCCCAGGCCCTGGCTTCAGCAGCCCCGCGGCCCCCGGGCCCCCAGGTGGGGATGCAGAGCCCACTGCTGCACATGCAGAATCCTCCCAGAATCCGTTTTAGGGCTGTAGCATCTTCAAGGACAAGGCCCTGCCATGTGCTCTGCCAGCCGTGTGTGTGTGTGTGTGTGTGTGTGTGCGCGCGCGTGTGTGCGTGTGTGTGCGCATGCATGTGGGTGCATGTGTGTGCATGCGTGCGTGCGCATGCGTGCGTGTGTGTGCACGTATGTGTGTGCATGTGTGTGCGTGTGTGTGTGTACAAACAGTAACCTTCAAGTGCAGCTATCCCTTCCAATGTTCTATTGCTTTATTCAGTGGTCACGACGTGGGTTTTTCACTGGTTCCAGGCCTGCTGTTTGCTGCTGGTTGTGGTTGTGGAGGGGTGTGTTATACTTTGTGGACATGAATCTCCTGCCACACATCTTTCTAGGTGGCCACTCACAGCTGTGCTACCACTTGCCTCAGATTAATAAGATTTGTTTTGATTAAGGACAGTAACCTTTCCCAGGACACCGGGACCGTGGCTGCTTTTCACATCACAGCACCGACAGACCCTCATGACCACTGCCCCATTATAGGGAAGCAGACCAAGGGAAACTAGACACTGAAATTCAGAGGCTGGTTTTATGTAGGAGAAGGTGTTCCCAGAGCACTCTAATCAAAAAAGGTCTGATCCAAAAGATGTCACCCAATTTCATAAACTTCAGAGTGTTGGCTGTTCTGGAAGGATGGTATGCCTATTCTACAACTTGGAAAAGTATGTCTACTGTCATCAGAAATAAATGTGACAGGCCGGGCATGGTGGCTCACGCCTGTAATCCCAGCACTTTGGGAGGCCAAGGTGGGCAGGCAGATCACTTGAGGTCAGGAGTTCGAGACCAGCCTGGCCAACATGGTGAAACCCCGTCTCTACTAAAATTACAAAAAATTAGCCAGGCGTGGTGGTGCACACCTGTAATCCCAGCTACTCAGGAGGCTGAAGCAGGAGAATCACTTGAACCCAGGAGGCGGAGGTTGCAGTGAGCTGAAATGGCGCCACTGCACTCCAGGCTGAGCAGGAGAGTGAGACGAAGAGGAGGGGAGGGGAGGGGAGGGGCCGCAGAAAAGACCACGCTGAGACCAGGTCTTCCTTACTGTCCCGCCTCCACACACTCCCAACTCACAGGGACAATAATGGCATCTTCCTCAAGTGGGTATTATGTTAATGAGGTAAAATGGGTTAGTCTGAGTTTTCCGAGAAGTAGATGTGGAGACTGGGTTTCAGATGCAGGGTGGTTATTGGGGCAAACTCCAGAAGCATTAGGGAGCCAGTGGGGAAGACCCGGGGATCTGCCCTAGGCTGCCATGCCGTCTAAGGTTCCACAAAGCCATGGGGGTGTCCTTGCACCAAAGCCAGCTGTCAGAGCCTTCCTGGGGGAGGAGGTCTGCCTGAATCCCTTCCCACCCCAGCCTCAAGCAGCGGGGCAGCCCTCGTGAAGCGTGGCCTCGCAGGAAGCCACGAGGCATTTCAGAGCCAGCAGCTGGGGCCCTCGGTCGGCTCTGCTCCCTTGGTTGAACCAAAGAATGTGGCCTTATCTGGAAATAAGGACTTTGCAGGTGTAATTAGTTAAATTCAAATAAGATTGTACTTGATTAAAGTGGGCCCTGCATTCAGTATGCAGGTGTCCTTAGAGAAGAGGGGATACACCAGGACAGAGAGAGAAGGCCACAGAGATTGGAGCCATGCAGCGAAGAAACGGGGGGGCCGAGGTATCACTCCAGAAGCTGCGAGACACAGAGGCTCCCCGCAGAGCCTTCAGAGGACACAGCCTCTGCAGCCCCTCCTGAAATCACGGCTCAGTAGGCGTTATCATTAGAATGCTTTAGACAGTACTAACAGTGCGCAATGTCATTACTTTAAAATTATCCAAGCTAAGGGAAGAGACGAGGGTGATGGAGAATTTCTCAGTATTTAGACTGGACTTCAGAATGTGTGTTTGCGAAGGTTTAGGGGGAGCAAGAGAGCTTTCGGTTTTCCTTCTTCATCGTCAGGTCACGATGGGCAGCGGGTGAGGTCTACGGGCAAGGCCAGCTGTGGCTGGGATGGGCAAAGCTCTGCCCTTACCAGGATGCCCTGTCCGCTCAGGTTCCTGGTCAAGTATTTGCACATCACAAGGCTGGGAACCAAGAACTGAACGCCGGCACGTAGGGTGGTAAAGGAGAGGTGGGCCGGGCATGGAAGCACCGTCCCTTCTCCAGCCTTCTCTGATGGGCCCAGGACGGGAGGCAGTGTTGACACAGGGAGGGTCTGGGGTCTCTACTAAGCTGACTGGGAAACCAGTGGCAGGGGTGTGTGTGTGTGTGTGTGTGTGTGTGTGTTTGATTTTTGGTTTTGGGGGGGTATTTTGTTCTTTTTTTTTAATTAATTTTTTTTTTTTTTTTGAGAAAGACTCTTACTCTGTCGCCCAGGCTGGAGTGCAGTGGCATGATCTCGACTCACTGCAACCTCCACCTACCAGGTTCAAGCAATCTCCTGCCTCAGCCTCCGGAGTAGCTGGAATTACAGGCATGTGCCACCACGCCCAGCTAATTTTTGTATTTTTAGTAGAGACGGAGTTTCGCCATGTTGGCCAGGCTGGTCTCAAACTCTTGAGCTCAGGTGATCTGCCCGCCTTGGCCTCCCAAAGTGCTGGCATTACAGGTGTGAGCCACCGCACTCGGCCTCCAAAGCCAATTTTAATTAAAAGAAATGAGATTGAGTGGCTTTATTGTGTCCTGAGCTGGAGAAACACTCTCTTATCCAGAGCTTGTCATAAAAATCCATGTCATAAAATGTCACAGAAATCCATAGGAAAAAAATGAATTGGAAATCAAAAAAGCTTTAAAAAGCAAGGGAAAAATATGGAATTTAGCATGGGAAATGGAATTGCCCAAGTACGTCACTTAATGTTTGTCTTAATGAGCTCCCAGAAATAAAATTGCTCTGGGGACAGGGTTTCTTGTAAACCAAGAAGCAGCTCTGGATTGGAAAAATCTTCAAAGAAAGGACATCCCTGTTGGATTTGCTACTAAGGAGGCCACAGACAGCCTGGGAGCGGAGGGGCAGAGGCAGCACCAGAATGCACAATGAGCCTGAGCCTGGGAACAGGTCACTCCTGCCGGAGAGAAAGCCCTGAGGCCTCTGGAGATGCAATCTGCCTCTTGTTTGTCAGAAATGAAAACTAGGCTGGGCACGGTGGCTCACGCCTGTAATCCCAGCACTTTGGGAGGCTGGGAGTCAGGGCGGGGGGATCATTTGAGGTCAGGAGTTCCAGACCAGCCTGACCAACTTGGTGAAACCCCCAGTCTCTACTAAAAATCCAAAAAAATTAGCCAAGCATGGTGGCACGAGCCTGTAATCCTAACCACGCTGGAGGCTGAGGCAGGAGAATCACTTGAATCTGGGAGGCGAAGGTTGCTTTGAGCTGAGATCACACCACTGCACTCCAGCCTGGGAGACAGAGAGACTCCATCAGATAGATAGATCGATAGATCAATAGATAGATAGGTAGATAGATAGATAGATAGATAGATAGATAGATAGATAGATAGATAGATAATGGTACCATCTTTCTGGAGGCCAAGTTGGAAATATGTACCAAAAGTCTTAAAATGCTTATTCCCGGTAATTTCCCTTCTAAGAATATATCCTAAGGACATAATTAAAGATGTGCAAAAGGACAGGAGGGAAAGATCTTCACTGGAGTTATTTATAAGAGCAAAGGGTGGAAACACCCTCAGTGCCCAACACTGGAGGACTGTCAATCAGATTAAAACTCAGATGACAGGGAAAAACTGTTCAATCCAATCAAATCCAGATGACAGGGAAAAACTGTTCCATCCAATCAAATCCAGATGACAGGGAAAAACTGTTCAATCCAATCAAATCCAGATGACAAGGAAAATAGGTTCTTTTTTTTTTTTTCCAGAAACAGAGTCTCACTCTGTCACCCAGGCCTTGGAGTGCAGTGGCACAATCTTGGTTCACTCACTGCCACCTCCACCTCCTGGGTTCAAACGATTCTTCTGCCACAGTCTCCCCAGTAGCTGGGATTACAGGTGTGCACCACCATGCCTGGCTATATTTTTGTATTTTTAGTAGAGACAGGGTTTCCCCATGTTGGCCAGGCTGGTCTCGAACTCCTGACCACAAGTGATCCACCCACCTTGGCCTCCCAAAGTGCTGGGATTACAGGCGTGAGCCATCCACCATGCCTGGCTGGGAAAAACAAGTTCTTAAATTAAGTACATGGGAATTTTTTTTCATAGTGTAGAGTTAATTGGAAAAGGCAGATTATGAAAAAGGAGAGTGAACTGATCTCAATTTTGGTGTGTGTGTGAACACATTCCCCAGGCCATATCCAAGTAGGGGGAGAGCACATAATACAACTAGCAGAAACGATAACAACACAACAGGCTATGGTCTGGATCTAGGTGCCACATCCCAATTACTGGGCTGTCACTCCCTGGCATTAGATCAGCCTTGGCAGGTTCTGAGTCTTTTTTTTTTTTTTTTTTTTTTTTTTAGACGGAGTCTCGCTCTGTCTCCCAGGCTGGAGTGCAGTGGTGCGATCTCCGCTCGCTGCAACCTCCACCTCCCAGGTTCAAGCAATTCTCCTACCTCAGCCTCCCAAGTAGCTGGGATCACAGGCGCCCACTACCATACCTGGCTAATTTTTACATTTTTAGTAGAGACGGGGTTTCACCATGTTGGCCAGGCTGGTCTTGAACTCCTGACAAGTGGTCCACCCACCTCGCCCTCCCACAGTGCTGAGATTACAGACATGAGCCACGATGCCCAGCAGGTTCTGATCTTGACTGGACCCCTTTTTAGCTGAGTGACTTTGAGCAAACTTTTCATCTTTCTGATAATTTTGTGTGCATGGAAAAGATGACTTAGCATTGGTCACATGCCCTATTCCAAGGATGGTGTTTGAGCTCCAAAGAGCAGGCCACCTGCCAGAGGACCCGTATTTTTTGGGGACAGGGATGAGAATGGGCAAGAAGAGAGCAGATGTAGGCTGGGAGCCTTGAGAACGGGAGAGGAAAGAGGTTTCAAGACATTTTTCTCTAGATTGTGAACATAATTGCACTTTGGTTCCCCCTAGAACAAATTTAAGAAGGACCTAAATTGCTTTTCAAGGCTATTTTAGGAAGTGAACTTGGATCTGACTTTGTTTTTTTTCTTCCTGGGCCTGTGCGGAGGTGGACCATGGGTGCCCATCTTTATTTGGGTTACAAAAATGTGAAGGGGGTGCAGAGGAACAGCGGGAAGAGAGCAGCCCTCCAAAGCATCCCTCTCTGCCCCACCCCAGCCACAATCCTTGGGCCTGGGGACAGTGCTCATGCCCCCACGTGAATCGCTTCCCCACAGACACTCTGACAGGAGGCCGGGGAAGTTTGCTTCCTGTTTTCTGGGGGCAGGGCGGGAGGCAGACAGGGGTGACTGGAGGTGCATGTCCATGACAGGTGGCAGCTGCTTTCCATCCCCAGTGCATCCTGCCATGAGAGCACCTACATCCCAGCCCTGCCCCTGCCACCTAAGATCTCTTCTTACAAGAAGCAGTGCCACCTTTAAAATGTTTCAAATGGTCAGGCCGGGTGCAATGGCTCCCACTTGTAATCCCAGTACTTTGGGAGGCTGAGGAGAGCAGATTGCTTGAGCTCAGGAGTTCGAGACCAGGCTGGGCAACACGACGAAACCCCATCTCTACCAAAAATACAAAAACTTAACCAGGTATGGTGGCGCACACCTGTGGTCCCAGCTACTCTGGAGGCTGAGGTGGGAGGATCACTTAAGCCTGGAGGTGGGAGGCTGCAGCAAGCCAAAATCATGCCACCGCACTCCAGTGTGGGTGACGGAGCAAGACCCCATCTCAAAAAAAAAGTTTCAGATGGTCATAGGTGTGAAAGTATATAATGTAAATAAAATGTTTTAAAAAACAATATTTTTAAAAGTTGTAGCATAGAAGTGATGGCACCAAGCTGCCTTAGTTGAAACCAAATCCTGGCTGTGCCGATTAAAAATGGTGAGGCAGGCTGGGCACAGTGGCTCACGCCTGTCATCCCAGCACTTTGGGAGGCTGAGGCTGAGGCTGGAGGATCACTTGAGCCCAGGAGTTTGAGACCAGCCTAGGCAACATAGTGAGACCTCATCTCTACAAAAAAATTTAAAAAATTAGCTGGGTGTGGTGGCATGTGCCTGTAGTCCCAGCTACTCAGGAGGCTGTGGGGGAGGATCGCTTGGGCTGGGGAGGCAGTAAGCCATGATCACACCACTGCACTCCAGCCTGGGTGACAGAATAAGACCCCATGTCAAAAAAAAAAAAAAAGAAAGGAAGGAAGAAAGGCGAGGCAAGCTCCTCAACCCTCTGGGCTTCAGTGTCATCGCCTGCAGAGTGCTGGCCATGGACACTTCAGGGACTCACAGTGAAGACAGCCCTTGGCCATGTGGCAGGCACATGGCAAACGCTGCTAACCGGGGCCATAGTGATTCACTTTCACAGCAGGGCTGGGAGCTGTGGCTGCACGTGCACGTGAACACATGTGGGTAAATGCTCCCGTCTCTCAGTGTTCCCAGCCCTTCTGCACAGAAGGTCGGGTGAGTCAAAAGGAGAATAATCGGTGATCATAATGATAGGAAACGATCGAGTTTGGGGATTGTCTCCTCCTCCTCGGGCTCGGCTGAGGATAAAGCAGTGCAGTCGGAGTCTGCCCAAGCTGCTGCTATAACAGGCTGGGGACTTAAACAACAGAAGTGCGTTTCTCGCAGCTGTGGAGGCTGGAAGCCTGAGATCAAGGGGTCGGCAGGGTTGGTTCCTTCTGATGCCTCTCTTCTTGGCTTGTCATTTCCTCCCTGCCTCATATGGTCGTCTTTCTGTGCCTGCATCCTAATCTTTTTTTTTTCTTTTGAGACAGGGTCTCGCCCAGTCACCTAGGCTGGAGTGCAGTGGCGCAATCTCCGCTCGCTGCAGCCCCCACCTCCCGGGTTCAAGCAATTCTCCCACCTCAGCCTCCCAAGTAGCTGGGATTACAGGTGTGTGCCACCACGCTTGACTAATTTTTGTATTTTTAATAGAGATGGGGTTTCACCATGTTGGCCAGGCTGGTCTTGAACCCTTGACCTCAGGTGATCCACCCATATTGGCCTCCCAAAGTGCTGGGATTACAGGCATGAGCCACTGCACCTGGCCCTAATCTTCTCTTCTTATAAGGGCACAGTCACATTGGGTTAGGGCCCACCCAGTGACCTCATTTAACCTTAGTCACCTCTGTAAAGACCCTGGGTCCAAACCCAGTCACATTCTGAGGTACTGCTGGTTAGGACTTCAAGATGTGAAGTCACATTCTGAGGCAAGGACACAACTCAGCCAGGACAAGAGCCACTTCCCCAACCATAAAAGTGTCACCCAGGGCAGTGGGCTTTTCTACCTGACCCAACACAGCCAATTTAAGCTGGAATGGAATTAAAGTGTTGTAATTCACGTGAAAAGTCATGGAAAACGGCACTGCAGTAAGGCATTGGCTACGGAAACATCACAAGATTGAATAAAGACCTGCTTTGCATCAACGCACATCATGGCACGTTCTCATTGTGGGAAAATGTGGTTTAATGAGGGAGACACGGGGAGGGGCAGAAGACCTCAGGGAGATTCCAAAGAGGATTCCCAAGCAGGTGCATTCACGGGCATTGGTGAAAGGCAGCAGGGGCTTGTCATCCCGCTTCTGAAAAATGGGCAACTCTCCACTGATGCCTGTGTTCCCCCATGGGGGAGAGTGGGGGTGGAGAGGGCAGGACCGCCAAACCAGCCTGCCGGGGAAGGTGGGGGACAAGGGCAGGAGTGCAGCCTGGGCCTGCTTCCTGAGGCCAACAGATGCCACCCCTGCAATCCCAGCACTTTGGGAGGTCGAAGTGGGCAGATCGCCTGAGGCCAGGAGTTTGAGATCAGCCTGGGCAACACAGTGAGATCCTGTCCCTACTAAAAAAATTTTTTAAAATTGAGAGAGAGACAGATGTCTGCCGGCCAGCCTCACACAGCGGGCCAGGCCGGAGAAAGCAATGGAGGAACAGAAAGGCCCTGAGCCCCTATGAAGGGGCCCATCCCTGACCTCTGCTCTCCTAGTCTTCATCAGCCTGGAGGTTATGTCCATTTTGCAGTTAAGGAGATTGAGGCACAGGCAGGTGACAACACATGCCCAGTGTCCCTGAGCGCGGGTACTAGAGCCGGAATTGGAAGCCAGCTCTCCGACTCCAGGGCCCCCAGTTCGCTAATGAGTCTCTGCTGCCCTCAGCACAGGAGAGGGTACAACCATCAGGAGCTGGGATTGGAGGAGGGGAGGGCAAGGGAGGCTGTCTGCCTCCAGCCACGTGTGCACTCAGGTGACTCACACCTGAGTGTTTGCAACTCCGGGTACCATAAACCCAGTGGGCCACCCTCTGTGTGACTCATGCCCCCTCCTGCCCAAGTTCTCCCGGGGCCACCCCTGCCCTGGAGGAGTGCCCAACACAGCAGCTGTCATGGCCGATCTCCTGGGAAACCCACCTGGCAGAGCCCAGCCCAGGGAGCCCCACGGGATGCTCTGGTTCTCCTCAGCACTCTCTCTGGCCGATCAGGTTCAAGGACAGCTCTCAGTCTTACCCGGGAGAAGAAACTGGGGCACCTCCTGTTTTCTCCGCTCTGCGTCTCAGCAGGGTTTGCTGAAAGGAGAGCTGCGTCTGCAAGTCCTGCACCTGTTTTGTAAGCCTCACCTGTGCTTCCTGGGGATGGAGTCCTGCCCTGGCCCGCTGTTCCCCAGGAAGGCTGGCAAGCTCAGCCCCCCAGCCAGGACAAGTTGTGGGAAAACCCTGGGAACATAAGGCCACCCAGCTGAGTGAGGAATCTCTGTGTGTCCCCAGAGCACAGCTCAGTCCCCAGCCCATCACAAGCTGGCCCCACGGGCAGAGCACCCTCCCACAGCCCCACTGCCCCTGCTGTCACGTTCCTGCAGCCCTGCAGCCCACCCAAGACTGCCAGGGGACCCTCCTTTCCTCCCAGCCCCCTGATTTTTAATTAAAAAACAATGATTTCCCAAACTGGTACCAATAAGCAGTGAATTCCTGTTGACGAGTTTGGAGGGGACTTTCCTAGTTCATAGAGTCCACGGTTTTAAAAAGATCACTGCTGTCTAGTTTTCCGGTCCTGGCCCCGTGGAAGGTCACGCGCAGCTGAAAATAATTTTCTGGATCAGGAAACAGGCCAGACTGACGCGTGCCCAGGCGGTTCCCTTGCTGGCCGTGGAAGACATCTGGCGGACACCTGGCTGCAGAGGCTCGACTTGGAGTCCAGCTGGGGCTCAACTAGGCTCGCTGGAGGGCAGGGGACCCTGGAAAGAAAACAGGGGCGCAGCTTGCCCTGTGGACCCGGGGCTGCCCAGCGCGATGACACGGGACCGCACGGCCCGCAGGACCCCAGACGCCCGCTAGGGGCGCGCGCGAGCCAGGGGAGCCACGAGGGCCCTGCGGGGAGCGAGCCCGGCAGCCCCGCCCAGGACGCCATGAGTTCTCCTGCTCTTACTCCCCTCCCTTTTTTTCTATCTTTTGTTTTTCTTCTTTTCTTTTCTTTTCTTTTCTTTTCTTTTCTTTTCTTTTCTTTTCTTTTCTTTTCTTTTCTTTTCTTTTCTTTTCTCTCTCTTCTCCTTTTTTTCCCTTTCCTTTCCTTTTTCTCCTTTTCTTTTAAACAAAAAGCATAGTCACATGTACAGCACAGAACAGCCAAAGAACATCTAATGCCTAGCACGTGGTACTGAAAAAAACTATTCATTGGCGTCATTAATTGTAAATAAATGTGACATACACTTCATCAGCCAATCCTCTATTGTTAGACATGAAGCTTGTTACCAATTTCCCCCTATTTCTTGTCACCTTCTTTTATTATACAAGTACATTGTAGAAAACACAGGTAAAAAAGGCCGGGCGCGGTGGCTCACACTTGTAATCCCAGTACTTTGGGGGCCAAGGCGGGCAGATCGCGAGGTCAGGAGATCGAGACCAGACTGGCCAACACGGTGAAATCTCGTCTCTACTAAAAACACAAAAATTACCTGGGCATGGTGGCATGCGCCATGTAGCCTGTAATCCCAGCTACGCGGGAGGCTGAGGCAGGAGAATCGTTTGAACCCTGGAAGCCGAGGTTGCCGTGAGCCGAGATTGCGCCATTGCACTCCAGTGCAGACAGAGCGAAACTCGGTCTCAAAAAACAAAGCAAAAAGAATAAAAAGCAAATGCAGGTAAACAAACCGTCTTAATTCCAACCATTCAGATAATCTTTAACATACATTTTGGCATTAATTTATACTTAAGTACATAGATGATAGACAGATAGATGCTTGTATTAAAAAAAAAAAAGGGGGGGCTTGCTGGGCGCGGTGGCTACACCTGTAATCCCAGCACTCTGGGAGGCTGAAGTGGGCAGATCACTTGAGTTCAGGAGTTCGAGACCAACCTAGCCAATATGATGAAACCCCGTCTCTACTAAAAATGCAAAAATTAGCTGGGTCTGGTGGTGCATGCCTGTAGTCCCATCTACTCAGGAGGCTGAGGTGAGAGAATCGCTGGAACCCAGGAGGCAGAATTCGCAGTGAGCCAAGATTGTGACACTGCACTGCAGCCTGGGCAACAGAGGGAGACTCTGTTTCAAAAATAATAATAATTATTAATTAATTAATTAAAATGGCCTCATACTCTTTTGTAAATGGCTTTATCAATTTAAAAATTACTTTTTTTAGAAAATGACTACACATTTTTTATAAGCTCTGAAGGGCAGGGGTTTCATCTGTTTGTTTACATTTTTATTAATTACTTTTTTTTTGAGACAGAGTCTCACTCTGTCACCCTGGCTGGAGTGCAGTGGCACTATCTCGGCTCACTGCAACCTCCACCTCCCGGGTTCATGCAATTCTCCTGCCTCAGCCTCCCAAGTAGCTGGGATTATAGGCGCCTGCCACCACGCCCGGCTAACTTTCGTATTTTTAGTAGAGACAGGGTTTCACCTTCTTGGCCAGGCTGGTTTCCAACTCCTGACCTCAAGCGATCCGCCCGCCTTGGACTCCCAAAGTGCTGGGATTACAGGTGTGAGCCACTGTGCCTGGCCTGTTTTGTTTATTGCTATTTATAAATAACGCTCTGATGTGCACTTCCATAATACAAATGTTTAGAAATAGAATATTTGGGTCAAGGAGATCCCTAGGCTCTGCGTAGCTGTTGCCATATCCCTCGCGCATGTTTGCATCTCCCCGACACACCAGTATTGATGCAAGTTTCTGCTTACTCCAGTACTTTAGCCAGAACTTTAGCCAGAACTGGGTATTAACTTTAACAGCTGGATCAGGAAAAGATGCTCCCAACTGCAGTTTTCATTACACACATCTGATTACAGCAAGGCCAATGTTTTCCCCACGGGTGTGGTCATAGGAAGTCTTCTTTGGTGAATTACTGCACAGGCCTGTGGCCCATGTATAAGTTATGACACTCTTCATAACAGCAGTCTGCCCCCGCAAGTTTAGGAACTTATGCACAAAAGGCCCCTGTTTTCTTGAGTATTTTCGCATGCATATTCATAAGCCAGTCTGTAGTCATTTTGCAGGGAAGGAGTCTATTTTGATCAGGCTAATTGTTTTGTATTTTTAGTAGAGATGGGGTTTCACCATGTTGGCCAGGTTGGTTTCAAACTCCTGGACTCAAATGATCCACCCACCTCGGCCTCCCAAAGTGCTGGGATTATAAGCGTGAGCCACCTCGCCTGGTCAAGAATGTATATTCTACCTCACACCATATGTGAAAATTAACTTGAAATGGGTCAAAGGCCTAGATGTAAGTTTAAAACTCTTAGAAGGAAACATAGGTATAAATCTTCATGACCTTGGGTCAGGCAATGGTTTCTTAAGTATGAAACCACAAGCACAAGCCACAAAAGGAACAAATAGATAAATTGGACTTCATCAAAACTTAAAACTTTTTTGCATCAAATGACTCCATCAAGAGAGTATTTCTGTGCAGCTGCTGAGGCAGAAAGAAAAAGAAAGTAAAAAGGCCAGGTGCAGTGGCTCACACCTGTAATCCCAGCACTTTGGGAGGCCGAGGCAGGCAGATTGCTTGAGCTCAGGGGTTTGAGACCAGCCTTGGTAACATGGTGAAACCCCATATCTACAAAAAATACAAAAATTAACCGGGCGTGGTAATGTGTGCTTGTAGTCTTAGCTACTCGGGAGGCTGAGGTGGATCACCTAAGCCCTGGAGGCGGAGGTTGCAGTGAGCCAAGATTACTCCATTGCATTCCAGCCTGGATGACAGAGTGAGACCCTGTCTCAAAAAAAAAAAATTATATATATATATATATATATATATATATATATATATGCCAGCACTCCTCAAAACTGTCAAGATCATAAAAACAAAAGAAGTCTGAAAAACTGTCACAGCCAAGAGGAACTCAAGGAAACATGACAACTGAATGTCATGTGGTATCCTGGATGGGCTCCTGAATATAAAAAGAATATTAGGAAAAAACTAAGGAAATAGGAATAAAATATAAGCTTTAGTTAACAATAATGCATTTGAATAGTGGTTTATTAATAGTAACAAATGTACCTTATTCACATAAAATGTTAGTGATAGAGTTAACAGTGTGGCGTATATGGCAGCTCTCTGTACTCTATTTGCAACTGTTCTGTAAATCTCAAACTGTTCTAAAATAAAATGTTATTTTAAAAAGATAAAAACAGTGGCTGTCCCTGTTCCATCAGTTTGGTGAGTCAGTGTCCCTGTAGGTTGTAGAATGAAAATACCCAACACTGAAATTCAAACGCAACACAGATGATTGTGGAGGTGGTTCAAAAGACAGTAATTTGAATATCAAAGTTTCTAGAGACGCACTGGAGAAAACCGATCAAGTACTTTTGCAAAAATGACCCTCTTTCTTGAGAAGGCCAAACACGCTGGGTAGGAGTTCACATGGAGCTGTCCAGCCTCCTGGCCGCTGAAACCCTGATCAATACTTGATGGATTCTTTGTTCTAGAATGGGCAGGTGGCACCAGGAAGATGATGGGTCTTCACCCCTGGAGCTGCACCAGAGCTCAACCTATGACAACCTGGCTCAGCCTATGACAACCTATGAACACCCTGTGCTCTTCCTAGGAAGGATCAGGAGAAACACCAGGACCCCAAACCCCCAGAGCTAAAAGATGGCACCAGGCTCTAAGTAGAAACCCATGGGATGAAGACCAAAGCCACTGATACCTCTGGCTCTCCCCAGGGAATTCCATGGTTACAGGTGTGCACCCCACACCTGATCCCACCAGAGGCTGGAAGAGGAAAGGGGCGGGATGGGGGCTAGGGGAAGTAGGCAGGTAGGGCAGGGCAGTCCATCTTTTGCAAGTAGCAATGGATCTCTCTCCAGGAGGCAGAGAACTAGCTCTGGGGCAGCCTCTTTCTGTGCTTTGGGAGATCCACTTTGAGGGTTACAAACCCTCAAAGCTGCTCCTACAAGTCTTCTTGGGCAAACTGGGACTTTGGCATGGCTGGCAGTGTTACCAAAACACCAGGAATTTGGTCTAGGTCCTAGTGCTTGCCACGCCCATCACTGAAACCACAATTATTGCCCTGGAAGAAGGCTTTAATTGGGTGCTGCAGCCAAGGATTTGGGGTATACGTCTCAAATCCATCCCGACTGACTACAGTTAGGGGTTGGTACAGCAGAAACGTAACCACATGCAGGAAAGCAGGAATTAGGGAGGGGTAAGGAAGAGGAGTCAGTTAACAGGGAGCAGGTGGCCAGTTAGGCAGTCATCAGAGGTGAGGGGTTTGGCTTCTCATTGTCCAAATGCAGTGACTGGTGAGTTTCAGCTTCTTGATACTATCTGGGAGGCCAGCTGCTTGGTCTCCTGAGAAAGGAGCTCAGAAAAAACAAACATAACTTTCTCAAATTTCAAGACTGGGAGGCGCAATTTCTATGTTTACTCAAAATAAACTATAAACATCAGTCTTGATTTGTTTTGTTTTGTTTTGAGACAGTTTCACTCTGTTGCCCAGCCTAGGGTGCAGTGACACCGTCTTGGCTCGCTGCAACCTGGGTTCAGGTGATTCTCACGCCTCAGCCTCCCAAGTAGCTGGGATTACAGGCGCACACTACCACACCTGGCTAATTTTTTTTAGTTTTTGCATTTTTAGTAGAGACGGGGTTTCGCCATGTTGGCCAGGCTGGTCTCGAACTCCTGGCCTCAAGCCCACCTCAGCCTCCCAAAATGCTGGGATTACAGGCGTGAGCCATTGCACCTGGCCTATAAACATCAGTTCTATGGGACAATCGGGTGGGTTTCGGCAGGAGCCTTCCAGGTTCTGGGGTGTAATTGACAGGGACTTGGCTTTGTCACCACAGAAAGTGAGAGTCGATAGCTTCAGCTGTGCATGAATTGAGACCATCTTGACCTTGAACCGAGGCTTTTTCTAGAAGATCATTTGAATGTTTTTTCCTGGGCGGGTGAGGCAGGGAACCACGCATCCACCAGTACAAAACACAATCACGAACTAACAAGCACAGCGCAGATCTGTAAATACTGATGTGGAATTAACCCCACAAAATTCTGTTAGGTGAAAGGAACATAAAAATAATCGAATTTGTCCACTGAAATTTTCTAGCAGGTCAAACGAGAAACAACATTGGTTGACTCAGAGGAAAGTTACTGGGGTACTGGTTAGGAAGGAAATTTGTGTATCCTCTTTTTTTGTTGTTTTTGCTGAGATGGGGTCTCCCTCTGTTGCCCAGGCTGGAGTGCACTGGCACAATCTCAGCTCACTGCAACCTCTGCCTCCTGGGTTCAGGTGATTCTTGTGCCTCAGCCTTCTGAGTAGCTGGAATTACAGGTGCATACCACCATGCCCATCTAATTTTTGTTTTTGTGTGTTTTTTTTTTTTTTTTTTTTTTTTGAGACGGAGTCTCACTCTGTCGCCCAGGCTGGAGTGCAGTGGCATTATCTTGGCTCATTGCAAGCTCCGCCTCCCAGGTTCATGCCATTCTCCTGCCTCAGCCTCCCAAGTAGCTGGGACTACAGGTGCCTGTCACCACGCCCAGCTAATTTTTTTCCATTTTTTAGTAGAGACGAGGTTTCACCGTGTTAGCCAGGATGGTCACGATCTCCTGACCTCGTGATCTGCCCTCCTCGGCCTCCCAAAGTGCTGGGATTACAGGCGTGAGCCACCACGCCCCGCCTTTAATTTTTGTATTTTTTAGTAAAGACAGGGTTTTGCCATGTTGGCCAGGCTGGTCTCAAGCTCTTGGCCTCAAGTGACCCACCCACCTTGGCCTCCCAAAAGTGTTGGGATTATAGGCATGAACCACCATGCCCGGCCACGTTACGATTTTTAAAGTCTAACCTAACCAAACTGTCAGAAACTTAAAATGACAACACTTTCATTCCAATTAATTGTACTAGAATGTTCCAAGCAAATATCCCCTTCCTTCCCCAGGCCAGGGCCCAGCCATGCCTCCCACTCCTCCAGGCTGCTGGGCTAGTTGCTGGGTCCTGGGGTGGCCCACAGGGACTTTGCCTACTGTAATTTCCACCAGCACCCCCAAGCCACCCCAGCTAAACACACAATTGAAGTACAAATAGCATGTTCACCATCTGAAGACGAGTCACCTATTTTCTGCTTCCAACTGGACTGTGTTCTCAAGACCCCCTGCATTCATTTATATCGCTGGGTAACATATTTCCCGGCTGGTGAGAAGTCCCGGCGTGGCCCAGCTATGTCCTCTGAGATGGCAGGGTCTCATGAGGCTGTCACCAGGTGTCCGCTGGGTCACATCCTCCTCTTGCAGATGCAGGAGGCAGACACATGCCTAGGCAGATGGGGCAGAACCCCAGTGAAACCCTACCTCCAAGACAAAGACAGTTTAAAACCTGAAAGCCAAGCTACAAGTCAAATCCACGGACCAGATTGAGAACCCGTCTTCCCGTTTGGTGCACTTTCCTCTGATTGATCCCCACCCTTCACCTATTTTACAGAAACCTACCCTACCCTAATTGGTTTTTTACACTGTCATGCCCACCTTTGAGCAGTGCCTTTGTTTTAACCTTTTTTGCATACTCACAAACCAATCAGCACACACTCCCCATTCTGAGCCTATAAAATCCCAGACCCAGCCACACTGAAGGAGAGACCACCCAACTTAGAGTGGAGGACAACCCTTGCATCCCCTCTCCACTGAGAACTTTTCCATCACTCAATACAGTTATTATCTGCCCTCCTCATCCTTCGATGGTCAGGGTAACCTCATTCTTCCTGGACATGAGACAAGAGTTCAGGAACCACCAAATGTGGGTAGGAGCTATAACACAGGCAGGCTGGGGCACACATGGCCCAGCTACGGGCTGAGCTGGTGCACAAGCTCAGTGCAGCCCAGTGGACTGAATGGGTGGGGCATGTGACCAAGGGGCCCTGGCTTTTGCTGGCCTCTGACTGAAGGTCCCCCTCAGGTCCTTGTTAGTGGTTTTTTGTTAGGTGAACTTATAACATAACACGGTCCTTATTTCATCAAGCCAGGAAGGAGAATCTCCAATGTGTGCTGGTAAGATGGAGGCTTGTCTAGGTATCTATAGTAACTCAGTCATGGGAGTGACATCCTGTCACCTGTGCTATATTCTACTGGTTATAAGCAAGTCACAGGTCCCACTCACACTCAAGAGGAAGGGATTATATAGGGCATGAACCCTAGGGTCTTTCTGCCATACCCTCCCACAGGGAGATTTTTGAGCTGGCACTGGCAGGGCCCTGGGGAGGAGTTATGGGATGCTACACTGCCAGGAGCAGAGGAACTGTGCAGGGTTTGTGCCCTCACAGGCACTCAGATTCACAGTGACTGGCCCAGAAAGACGAAAGGCATTTAACATGGTAAAGCCACAGGGCTGTACCTAATGGGACCTTTTGCCATGTGCCATTATGTGTGATGTTAACGGTGGCCCTGAGTTGTGCAGCGCACACCTGCGCAACTGTTTGCAGCAGCCCGGACCCCCACCTGTGGATGAGAGGCTTCTTCAGAGCACTGCCTCGCTGATGATCATTATCTGGTCGGACTCCAGTTCCACCAACAGACCATATGTCTGTGCAGCTGAGTTTACTTTACACTACATCCTCTTTTCCAGCTATTCTGTGACTTCTCAGTTCCTCAAACACACCCGAAGCTTGAAATATTTTCTCTGGAACTTTTGGCTCTGGTTTTACCCTCTGCAATTCAAAACTCACAGCCTCTCAGAGTTTGTTTATTTTCTTACACTGCTGGGTGAGTCTCTAGAAACGAAATATCAAAGCCAGCTGGAGTCTCAAATGAGAATCCTGATTATTCCAGAGCAATGATTGTCACAGTTGTCATGTAAGTGGGGGCAGCCCACCCCCCACAATGCATTGCAGTGGCAGTGCCACAGTTACAGGTTAGGCACATGCTCCAAACAGTTCTATTCATCCCCAGGCATCCTTGGCACAGCTCAAGACTGTTTTTCAATTAACAATAAACGTAGAAGGTGCCGGCCGGGTGCGGTGGCTCATGCTGTATTCCCAGCACTTTGGGAGGCTGAGGTGGGCAGACCATCTGAGGTCAGGAGTTTGAGACCAGCCTGGCCAACATGGCGAAACCCCGTCTCTTCTAAAAATACAACAATTAGCCAGGTGTGGTGGCACGCACCTGTAGTCCTAGCTACTCGGGAGGCTGAGACAGGAGAATCGCTTGAACCCAGGAGGCAGAGGTTGCAGTGAGCCAAGATTGTGCCACTGCACTCCAGCATGGGCAACAGAGCGAGACTCTATCTCAAAAACATAAATAAATAAATAAACAAACAAACATAGAAGGTGCAGAATTTTAGAACAGCAATTGCTGAGCTTGTATCTGGACCCATTTACAGAGATAGACCATATTCTAGGCCAAGCTTATCCAATCCGCAGCCTGTGGGCCACTTGTGGCCCAAGATAGCTTTGAATGTAGCCCAACGCAAATTCATAAACTTTCTTAAAACATTATGAGACACTTTGGGAGGCTGCGGTGGGTGGACCACTTGAGGTTAGGAGTTCGAGACCAGCCTGGCCAACATGGTGAAACCCTGTCTCTACTAAAAACACAAAAATTAACTGGGCATGGTGGCGCATGCCTGTAGTCCCAGCTACTTGGGAGGCTGAGACACAAGTATCACTTGAACCCTGGAGGTGGAGTTGCAGTGAACTGAAATCATGCCACTGCACTCCAGCCTGGGTGACAGAGTGAGACTCTGTCTCAAAAATAATAATAATAATAATAATATGTTTATTGCATTTTTTTTTAGCTCATCAGCTATTGTTAGTGTTAGTGTATTTTATGTGTGGCCCAAGACAATTCTCCTTCTTCCAAATTGGCCCAGGGAAGCCAAAAGATTCGACACCCCTGTAATGCAGGTCATAAAGTCTCAAAAATGTTTTTGAAGAATGCAAGCTGTACTAAGTATGTTTTCTGACCACAGTGGAATCAAATGATAAACCAGAAACAGAAAGATCTCTGGAAAATCCCCAAGTATGTGAAACTGGATATCACACTTCTAAATAATTCATGAGTCAACCAAAAATAAAATTAGAAAATATTTTGAACTGAATAAAAATGAAAATGCAACATACCAGGCTGGGTGTGGTGGCTCATGCTTGTAATCCCAGCACTTTGGGAGGCCAAGGCGGGCAGATCACGAGGTCAGGAGTTCCAGACCAGCCTGGCCAACACAGTGAAACCCCATCTCTACTAAAAATACAAAAAATTAGCTGGACATGGTGGCAGGCATCTGTAATCCCAGCTACTCAGGAGGCAGAGGCAGGAAAATTGCTTGAACCTGGGAGGCGGAGGTTGCAGTGAGCCGAGATCATGCCACTGTACTCCAGCCTGGGTGACAGAGCGAGACTCCGTCTCAAAAAGAAAAATAAAAAAAAAGGAAATGCAACATACCTAAGTTCACAGGATGCCCTTAAAGCAGGAATCAGGGAAACGTAAAGCCTAGATTGTAAATGAAGAAGAAATGCCTGTACTTTGAACCACCTGAAGAAACTAAAGAACAAAGTGGCGTCTCAGACCGTGCATCCAAAGCCCACTTTTTCTTTTATTCCTTTTTTTTTTTTTTTTTTTTTTGAGACAGTTTCACTCTTGTCGCCCAGGCTGGAGTATAGTGGCACGATCTCGGCTCACTGCAACCTCCGCTTCCCGGGTTCAAGCGATTCTCCTGCCTCAGCAGGAGTAGCTGGGATTACAGGCACCTGCCACCACGTCCGGCTAATTTTTGTATTTTTAGTAGAGACGGGGTTTCACCATGTTGGCCAGGCTTGTCTTGAACTTGTGGCCTCAAGTGATCTGCCCGCCTCAGCCTCCCAAAGTGCTGGAATTACAGGCGTGAGCCACCGCGCCCGACCCAAAGCCTGATGCTTCGCGTGCTCCTCCTCTCTGCCTCTCCCCTGCCTCAGCAGCGGCACCGCCATCCTCCAAATCACACAGACCACAAAACTGAGAGTCCAGCTCAACTGGTCTCTTCCCCTTCTACCCCTCTCCACCCCATCAGTCCATCGTGTCCACTCCATCTTCACAGTCAGCCCAGAATCTGATCACTTCTCATTGCCTACACCACAAAGACCACATTCCGAGACACCAAAACAGCTGCTGTAATCCTGCTTTTACTCTCCTTACTTTTCACCTTTCTTCCTTACAGTCTGTTGGAGCCCTCAGAGTAATCTTTTTAAAAGAGCAGCTATACCATGTCTTCTCTGCTCAGATCCCGCCAGTGGCTTCCCATCCACTTCAGAGTAAAAGCCCAAATCCCTGCAGTGGCCTGCAAGGTTCTACATGGCGCAGGTTTGGCATCCACTGTGACCTCATCCCATTCACTGTCTGCCCCTCCTACACCAGGCAGCTTGCCTACCACCTCATTGTCCTCAAGTGAGCCAAGCACAGCCCCAGGGCCTTTGCACCTGCAGTTCTCTCTGTCTGGAATGACTTCTTCCACCCTTCACCATCCTCAGGTCTGTGCCCAGCGTGAAGCCCTCCTTGGCCATCCAGCCCCAGCCCTCCCTGTGGCCCACTCGGCCTGCTTCCTTCCCCACCACGCCTCCTCTGAGTGCTCATTCCCTGCTGGCTGGCCTCCTCTACTGCCGTCTAAGACCCATGAAGAAGGGATTTGGCCTGTTTGTTTTCTGCTCAGAGCACCCATGGCCTTGTACAGACGCTGGATGTTGAATGTGTTCAATAAATATATTTTGGGCCCCACGCAGTGCTCATCGCCTGTAATCCTAGCACTTTGGGAGGCCTAGGCAGATGGATCTCTTGAGTTCCAGAGTTTGGATCAGTCTGGGCAACACAGAGAAACTCTGTCTCTACCAAAAATACAATAATTAGCTGAGTGTGGTGGCCCATACCTGTAGTCCCAGCTACACAGGAGGCTGAGGTGGGAGGATTGCCTGAGCCCACAAGGTTGAGGCTGCAGTGAACCATGATCATGCCACTGCACTCCAGCCTGGGCAGCAGATCAAGATCCTGTCTCATTTAAAAAAGAAGTTTTGAATGAATGAATAAATGTAACATCATTTAAAATTTTACTTTTAGGAAATATTTTCTTCCCTCCTTTTTTGGAGAAAAGATGTCACGATTTTTTTTTAAACAGAATCAAGAATTTAAAATAGGGCCAGGCACAGTGGCTCACACCTGTAATCCACGCACTTTGGGAGACCGAGGTGGGAGGATTGCTTGAGTTCAGGAGTTCGAGACCAGCTTGGGAAATGTAGCAAAACCCCTCCCATCTCTGCAAAAAACTACAAAAATTAGCCAGGTGTGGTGATGCACACCTGTAGTTGCAGCTGCTCAGGAGGCTGAGGTGGGAGGATGGCTTGAGCCCAGGAGGCAGAGGTTACAGTGAGCCAAGATCACACCACTGTACTCCAGCCTGAGTGACAGTGTGAGAACCTGCCTCAAAAAAAAAAAAAAGGTTAAAAAAGACAAGCTTCCTATAAGAACATATTTATAAAACAAAACCAGCTACAGAGTCGACTGCCATTAATTATCTTCAAACAGGGAAAAGAAATAGGGAGTATTTATTTACAAATTACAAGCTGAGGTTATTTTCCTCTTGTTTTGGTGCTTTTGTTTTTCCTATTATGAATTTTGAGACATACAGAGATGTCCTTTTACATATGCATGTAGTCTAATATTGCTTATTTACAGGAACAATTAAACAAATAAATGCTTTAGTTAACAAACGGACCTAAAATTCAGCAGTTAAAAAATTGTGGGGGGGGAAAAACTCAGTTTAAAAGTGACAATGATTGTTTGCTTGACCATACTTTGGTTAGGCTTCTAAACCTTCCTTCCCCTGGGCCCCTCTGTGCACTTCCTCAGAAAATCCAGTTTTAGCAAAAGAACCCTCTGCTAAATCAGTTTAGCCAGAACTCCTGCCCTCTCGAGAGCCGATCACCCTCCACATCTGAACAGGTTCCTCATCTCCCACCATCCCCCAGGGGATGTCTGATTGCCCTGGCCTGTCTTCAGCAAGCATCCTGTGAGGTCAGTTGCTCCAGAATCCTTGTCACCTGTGACATTTCCTCTTAGTCATTTTCCATCTGCTGACCCCACCCTGCTCCTTGGCTACAAGTCCCTGCTTGCTGGTGCTGCAGTCGGAGTTGAGCGCAGTCTCCCTCCCCCACTGCAAGTGTTCCCTACAGTGATCCCGATGGTCCTGAATAGAAGTCTTCCTTATTGAGCTTTAATAAGTATTCTTGGATTAATGTTTTCTTTAGCACAGGGAAGTCTGTCTACTACTTTTATATGATTACCAAATTGCAAGAAGAAGATCATGCCCTTTGTTTGATTCCATCTTCTCTTTGATGATGCAACCATCAGGATCAAGACAGCACACACAGCCTGGGCACGGGGGCTCACGCCTGCAATTCCAGCACTTTGGGAGGCCAAAGCGGATGGATCACTTGAGGTCAGGAGTTCGAGACCAGCCTGGCCAAAAAGGTAAAACCCTGTCTCTACCGCAAATACAAACATTAGCCAGCATGGTTGGCACGTGCCTGTAATCCCAGCTACTCTGGAGGCTGAGGCACAAGAATTGCTTGAACCTGGGAGGCAGAGGTTGCAGTGAGCCCAGATCAAGTCACTGCATTCCAGCCTGGGCAACAGAGCCAGACTCTGTCTCAAAAAAAAAAATCAAAAACAAAAACAAAAACGAAAAACAAAGATGGCAAACAGGTGGGGGCAGGTTCCTAGGGCCACCAAGATGCTTTGCATGGAACCCAATGTGCTTGGCACCCCTGGAATTCTGAGTCATTTTGGGACCTGGTGGCAGTGGGGGCATGTTAATTCTTTGCCATCCCTTCAAATCAATATTCTCTAAATTTGTCAGAATTTAGGTGACAGAGGGCTGGGTGCGGTGGCTTACGCCTATAATCCCAGCATTTCGGGAGGCTGAGGCAGGTGGATCATCTGAGGTCAGGAGTTCGAGACCATCCTGGACAACATGGTGAAACCCTGTCTCTACTAAAAATACAAAAATTAGCTGGGTGGCATGCGCCTGTAGTCCCAGCTCCTCAGGAGGCTGAGGCAGGAGAATTGCTTGAACCCTGGAGGCGGAGGTTGCAGTGAGCCGAGATGGTGCCACTGCACTCCAGCCCAGGCAACAGAGTGAGACTCTGTCTCAAAAAAAAAAAAAAATGGCCGGGCGTGGTGGCTCATGCCTGTAATCCTAGCACTTTGGGAGGCCAAGGCAGGCGGATCACAAGGTCAGGAGATCGAGACCACCCTGGCTAACACGGTGAAACCTAGTCTCTACTAAAAATACCAAAAAAATTAGCTGGGCGTGATGGCAGGCACCTGTAGTCCAGCTACTCAGGAGGCTGAGGCAGGAGAACGGCGTGAACCTGGGAGGCAGAACTTGCAGTGAGCCGAGATTGCACCACTGCACTCCAGCCTGGGTGACATGGCAAGACTCTATCTCAAAAAAAGAAAAAAAAATTCTCAAAATATTAGTAAATTGAATCCAACAACACATGAAAAGAATTAAACATAAATCAAATGATATTTATTCCAGGTATACAAGACTGATTCAGCATTCAAAAATAAATTAATGCAATCCATGACATCAAAAGTCTAAAGAAAAGAAATCATATGATCATATTCATTGATGCTGAAAAAGCATTTGACAAAACCAACACCCATCCATGATAAAAAAAATTCAGTAAATAAAACCAGAAAGAGGAGGGAACTTTGTCAGTTTGTTTTTTTTTAATCTACCCAAAAACCCTACAACTAATATTATACCTAATGAAGAAAAGTTGAATGCTTTTCCCCTGAGAACAGGAAAAAGGCAAAGATATCCCCTTTTACCACTATGATTCAATATCATACCAAAGTCCTAGGAAGTGCAATAAAACAAGAAAAGGAAATAAAATGTATACATATTGGAAAGTAAGAGGCAAAATTGTCTTTGTTCACAGATGAGATGATTGTCTGTGTAGAAAATCCCAAAGAATAAAGACTCCTAGAATGAATCAGTGTTTACAGCAATATTGCAGGATATCTGTTAATAGTTGAAAGTCTATTACTTTCCTACGGATATTATAATTTAGGAGGTTGGGGAGGGGGCTCTCAGGAAGGAATGCCGACCGTGACAAGAGAATCTAACTGTTGTTGATTTTAAAAAGTCAAACTCCAGATGGGCACAGTGGCTCACACCTGTAATCCCAGCACTTTGGGAGGCCGAAGCAGGCCGATCACGAGGTCAGGAAATCAAGACCATCCTGGCTAACACAGTGAAACCCTGTCTCTACTAAAAATACAAAAAATTAGCCGGGCATGGTGGCAGGCGCCTATAGTCCTAGCTACTCGGTCGGGAGGCTAAGGCAGGACAATGGCATGAACCCATGAGGCAGAGCTTGCAGTGAGATCGCGCCACTGCACTCCAGCCTGGGTGACAGAGCGAGACTCCATCTCAAAAAAAAAAAAAAAAATACAAAGATTAGCTGGGCATGGTGGTGCACACCTGTAATCCCAGCTACTCAGGATGCTGAGGCAGGATAATTGCTTGAACCTGGGAGGCAGCAGTTGCAGTGAGCCAAGATTGTGCCATTGCACTCCAGACTGGGCGACAGAGGAAGGCTCCATCTCGAGAAGAAAAAAAAAAGAAAAGAAATATATTTGGGGGCCGGGCCCAGTGGCTTATGCCTGTAATCCCAGCACTTTGGGAGGCTGAGGCAGGTGGATCAGCTGAGGTCAGGAGTTCGAGCCCAGCCAGGGCAACATAGTGAGACCCCATCTCTACTAAAAATACAAAAATTAGCCAGGTGTGGTGGTGGATACCTGTAATCCCAGCTACTCGGGAGGCTGAGGCAGGAGAATCACTTGAACCCAGGAGGTGGAGGCTGCAGTGAGCTGAGATTGCACCACTGCACTCTAGCCTGGATGGCAGAGTGAAACTCTGTCTAAAATATATATATATATATATATATATATGGATAAATATTTTGATTTCTTTCAGGAACACACTATCTGTCAAGTGATGTTATACTAGAATCAGGTTGGAATTTGGTATCTTATTACTATAAAGAGTCTGTTTTGTCACTCTTAAGACCTCTGTTTTAATGTTAGTGTTGGTCAGTTGTGCCTGAACTCCAAAGGGAGGAGAATATAATGAGGCATGTCTGACCCCTCTTTCCTGTCATCACATGAAGTAGTTTTTCAGGTTTCTTTGGACCCCCTTGGTAGAAAGGAGGGGTCTCTTCAGTCAGTTGGGAGGCTTAGAATTGTATTTTTGGTTTACGCAACAAACTGTATTACAAATGCATGCAACAACTTTGCTGGAGGGGATGGAGGGGTGGGGGTGGAGGGGATGGGAAGGTGCTGACCTAAGTAACTTGGAAATGAGTTGCACCTCTAAGACTAAAGACAGAAGGAATTGCACAAAAGCACTGTAGTCTAGTTAATAAAGTTGTTTGCTATGGAGGCATGAGCTAATAATTCAGATACTGCTCTACAAATATACTGGAATAGAGCAATTATGTAAACAGTGGCAGATGGTAGAAGCTACATTTCTCAGTGTGTTTACACAAAAGCAAGGGGAGGAAGCTAGAATGATCCATGTGGTGATGGATTATACATCAGTATGAATTCATTCTTAGCTTACTATAGATGCAGATAGCTACATATAGAAATAGTTGTAGATACATGCTGCTGGTTACATATGTGACATGAGTTAGTATGAACACATATACAGGTATGTGTCACTTAATGGTGTTAGAGTCTCATCAATGCACCACAATGGAGCAGTCTCTCATTGTGAGGTATCACCCAGAGTTCTTTGTCTTACAACCAAGAGAGTTGAGGAGTATGGACACAAAGGATGAGTTTGAAGCAAAAGTTTAATAAGTGAAAGAAGAAAGCTCTCTGCTGCAGAGAGGGGACTTGAAGAGGGTTGCCATTTTTACAACTGAATGCCAAGGCTTTTATAGGAAACTGAAGAGGGCCGAGTGTCTCATTTGCTTAAGGCACAAACTTCTGGTAGCTCTACCCCATCCTCCTAACGTGCATGTGTGCCCTTGGCTTGAGTTACTCCATATTGCTTTGTAACCCTTACTGCACATGTGTCAGGGGACAGAATTTTCCATTGTGGGCATGTCTGGGCAAGTCACCTATGTAGGCTTTCTTTTTTTTTTTTTTTTTTTTTTTTTTGAGACAGAGTTTCACTCTTGTTGCCCAGGCTGGAGTGCAATGGTGAGATCTCTGCTCACCGCAACCTCAACCTCCTGGGTTCATGCAATTCTCCTGCCTCAGCCTCCCGAGTAGCTGGAATTACAAGCATGCAGCACCATGCCCAGCTAATTTTGTATTTTTAGTAGAGATGGGGTTTCTCCATGTTGGTCAGTCTGGTCTCGAACTCCCGACCTCAGGTGATCCGCCCACCTTTCTTATCAGTGCAGCTGTGGGCATGTCTTAGGCAAGCCCCCCGTGCAAGTTCCCTTATCTATGCCTGCAGGCTGTTCTTTTGTTTGAAAGAATTCAACCAAGGACCCACCCTAACTGCCTGTCTGATCTGTTTCTTTCTCCTCTCTCAATGTCAGGGATACCTTTTAAGAAATGTGTCAGGTGATTTTTGTCATTGTGCAAATATCAGAGAGTGTACTCACACAAACATAGATGGTGCAGCCTACTACACACCTAGGCTGTACGGTATAACCGATCGTGCCTAGGCTACAAATCTGTGCGGCATGTCATTGTACTGAAGAGTGTAGGCCATTGGGACACAGTGGTATTCATGCATGTAAACATATCTTAACATAGAAAAGTTCAGTTAAAAACATGGTATTTGCTTCATAGCAGTCCAGTCCATGCAAACCTACCCCCAAAGTCCAAGGAAGCTGAGGGCTAAAGAAGAGGCTGACAAATCCAGCTCCTCAGAAAGAAGCATTTAATAAAGACTTATGAAGAGAAGCCATGTCTCAGGTAGCCAAAAGTTGGTGGACCCCCACACCATTCCTACCATAGGGGAAGGAACAGGTAGGACAAGTGAAGCTGATCCCTAGGGAAGGGCAAGAATGCTATGTGAATCTGCCTAAGGGCAGGATTTATGGCCAAGGTCATTTTGACCCAAGGCCAGGGTTTATGGTAATAGTAGATAAAATAGAAATCTTAGAGGCCTCCCTGAACAGGGGTTAATGAGAAGTCACCATAGTGGATTAGAGTCCAAGATGGAATTGCTTTAGCCTCCACAGTCTTATAATCTTATGAGACCACCATCAAATATATCATCCATCATTGACCCAAACATTGTCATGTGGTTCATGACTCTATTTTTTTACCCTGCTAGCTGAAAGGGCCTTTAAAAACCAATACCCTGAGCTGGGAATGGTGCATGAGTCTGTAATCCTAGCTACCTGAGAGGCTGAAGTCAGAGGATCACTTGAGTCCAGGAATTCAAGACCAGCCTGGGCAACATAAAAAGACCCCCATCTCAAACACACACACACACACACACACACACATATGCACACACACACATGCACACACACGTGCACACACACACATGCACACACACACACACACAAACACCTTAGTAGCAATAAGCACACTGAGCACTCAAATACTTGTTTTGAACACCATTTCCAATTAAAGGAAGAATTTCAATTATTGTTTTTCTCAACTGTTATCTATTGCCTCGGGCAGCAACAACTAAAGCCTTTGGCTATAAGTGTTTTCCACAAACACTCCCTGCGTAAGTCTTCAACACTGGGAAAGTTCTGGGTCAAAAAAAAATAAAGTGTTTTGAGCTGGTCTTCCAGGGAAGACAGGTCAAATAATGACAGTTCTTTGAGAATGAGGTCTGTTCTGCTCTCTCTGGTGCTGGGGATGTGTGCTGTTACCTGTATGGAAATAAGGAGAGAAGCAAAGGCTATTTATCTACTCAGAGCTTGCTATGACAAGGGAGGAAGCCACTCTCCTGTGTTTCAGCAGACACTCAAAAGCAGGCAGGGGAGTGGGGAAGCTTCGTGCTGGAGAAAAGGGAAGGCTCAGGTGTGTGCAGATTGGAGGCTGTTGACCTAGGGAAGCTGGAGGGCTCGCTAGAAATGGGGCTTCTATATGATTGCTTAGGGGAGCAAATTGACTTTCTCTGGTTGGTCCTCAGCTGGAAGCAGGGACAAAAATTAGGAAAGTGTCTAGTTATTAACCAGTCAACTGGCTGCGTGGGGCCAATTGTCACAGAAGTAATTGTTTTTACTTTGTGGATTGTTTCTAGAGAGAGCAATTGGACCTCCAACAAGTCTGACTTGTAGCATGCTGGCTTCCTGAGTTGTTATGTGCAGATAAGGGTTTGGCTTCCTTCCTGGGCTTGTTGTTACCGGTTGTGGGTGAGAGTTCTGTTTGTGTATATGGCCTGGCCATTGTCTGTATATTTGGTCTCTCTCTTTTTTTTTGAGATGGAGTCTCACTCTGTCACCCAGGCTGGAGTGCGGTGGCGTGATAGCTCACTGCAACCTCCACCTCCCAGGTTCAAGCAATTCTTGTGCCTCAGCCTCCTGATTAGCTGGGATTACAGGCACACGCCATCAGGCTAACTTTTGTATTTTTAGTAGAGACGGGATTTCACCACGTTGGCCAGGATGGTCTCAAACTCCTGACCTCAGATGATCCACCCATGTCGAACTTCCAAAGTGCTGGGATTACAGGCGTGAGCCACTGCACCTAAACTGGCCTCTCATTTTCAAGTTTCCTGCTTTGCTGGGGAGCCAGGGAGGGGAATAGAGTAAGTTAACTGCCACAAAGCCTGCTGCTCTTACAGAGACTCCAGCCCTTCCTTCAGCTCTTCCTCTTATCAAGTGCTTCCTGACTTCTTACAAGTCTTTGTTTAATTTCCAGAGTTCCAAGAAATTAACTCCAGCAGTTTGGGCCAATGTTTTGTTGCTTCTTAGAATGCACAATAATTTCAGGGTTCCTTATTGTATTTTCACTAACATCACTTGCCATATTAATTTTTTTCCTTTTATTATATTAGAAACGGGGGTGTCTCACTATATTGCCCAGGCTGGTCTCGAACGCCTGAGCTCAAGTGATCCTCCTGCCTCGGCCTCCCAAAGTGCTGGCATTGTAGGCATGAGCCACCACACCTGGCTATAAGTAGATTGTTCTTCAGAGGTTATTTTCAGCTGACTTTTGGTTTCCTATCTAATTTTGTAATGGTGGGTAATGAAGCCCCTCTGAACCAAGAAGTTTGTATGCAGCTCATTCTTGTCTTCTGTGATTTTCTTTTCTCTCTCTCTCTGTCTTTCTTAAGTATAATTAGAGAGTTTATTTGGGCCAAATTTGAGGACTGCAACCCAGGAGACATATAGTCAAGTTACCCTGAATATATGTTCCCCTCTTCCATTTTCATCTGTCCTGCCCAGCTCCTGTTAAGTACATAAACTGCCAGTCCCATGGCGTTATTTAAGGGGAGGTACATTTAATACCTTGTCTTTTTAAATCAACATAGTGGCCAATCATAGCACAGGGCCTGGCATAGGGTATTAAGCCTCCTCTTGGCTGACACATTTTTTTTCTAGAGACACAGCAAACACCAGTCATGTGGACAGGGAGCAAGTAGACATCATTGGCTTTGATGGCAGCAATGGCCCATCTGGAGAGGCCACTGTGAAAATGCCAGCTGCAGTGGGGGAGGTGTGGTCAGGGCGGCATGCTCCACAGAACAGGCGGGAGCCCCGGCCCCTACTGAGTCGGCAGGACAGAAGCCCCATGCTCCCAGGCGCAGCTGCAGCCACTCAGCCTCAGCTCCAGACCCAGGCATCCGTGCACTCTTGGGGGCCCAGGAAGCCCCTTACCCCTGCAGGCTTGAAAGTGTCTGCTCCTGCTGCCTGGCTTCCCACTGCTCCCAGTGCCCACTCTATGGTAGAGCAAAGCTGTGGCCCATCCTGGGCACTGTCATGACCTGGCTGAGTGCCTGATTTTGGGATGCTGCTGACATGCCAGCCCCCTGGAACCTTGCCCCCTCTGGACTTTGGGTGTCAACCAGCATGGGAGGGAAGCCAAAGGGGTGCTGAGGGCAGCTCAGTGAGGGCCTGCAGGTGCCCCTCAACATGAACAGCTTGGGTGCCGTGGATGGCACATTGATGGCAGCAGGAGGCAGACAGGCTCCTGAGTGGGAAGAGGAGGGTCCCCAGTGAAGCCCCACATTCAAGCCAGGGACAGCCTGAAGCCTAGGGGCTGGGCTGTCAGTTACAGATGGAGTCCACAGCCTGGAGTGAGAACTTATGGTACTTTTTCCAGGCCCACCTATGGCTGCCCACGGTCAGCACACACTTCCTCCCTTCTAAGCCCATAAAAACCCCAGACTCCCACAGACATCAGGACTACCAGCTGCAGGAAGGAAGGGACGACCTACTTTGGGTCTCCTCAACTTGTCGGGACAACCTGCCTGTGGACAGGAGCTACCCACCCTGGGTCTCATCTCCATTGAGAGCTGGACACTCATCAGGATGCCCTGCCTTCAGAAAGGAGCTACCCACTCCGGATCTCCTCTCTGCTGAGGGCTGCATTCATCAGAACTACCTCCCTGTGGAAACAAACTACCCACTCTGGGTCTCCTGAGAGCTGTTCTGTCACTCATTAAAATTCCTCTCCATCTTTCTCACTCTCCAGTTGCCAACGTACCTCATTCTTCCTGGACATGGGACAAGAACTCACCACATGGTGTGACTGAAAGAGCTGTAACACAAACAGGGCTGAAACATGCCCCCCAACCCCCCACTCACCGTGTTGTGGGCAACAAGAAGGAGAGAAGACCTGTGGCCCTTCAGGAAGCCCAGACATAGGGGGTCCCTGAGCCAGGGCTGTGACACCTTCTTTGGAGCTCTGTGGTTCCTGGTATTGCCAAGCTTCCAGGCACCACCATGCTCCCCTCGTCCAGACATAGGTAACCACAGAGGAAGCCGCCTGCAGTACATCTTATCCAGATGCAGCCTTGCACAGAGTTGGTGCCTGTGCCAGTGCCTGGAGCTGCCTGTCCCATAGCAGCAGCCAGTTCACCTGGCTGTGCACAGTGGCTGGACCCCACACTCACTCCACTTTGCTACTGGCTCACCCTTGTCAGGTGTAAGATCCCGGCCAGTAGCACGAGCTGAGTGCAGCCTGCCAGGCCAAGTGGGCAGAATGAGCCAAGTGGGCCTGAGCAAAAACTCAGGCAAAGGCACCACCAGCCACAGAGGTTTCCAACTGCAAAAGCAACAACCTAAGGATCCTGAGGCAGCTTGAGAGACAATGGAGAGTAAGACAGCAATAGACAGAGGCAGGGCTGTGGAGCGACGCAGGCCTCCAAAGAAGAGAGAAGTTTCCATTCCTGAAGCCTTCTGGAATCTGAAGTTTGCTGCCTGGACTGCCCGGTTTTAGTGGAAGAAAGCTTGCATGGGTCTCTGTTTGTTGCTACCAAAGACTCTTGGCTAGAGCAACGTGGATGAAGGAAGGTTGAACCAAAGACATGACAGTGGTTCCGAGGGGCTGGGCAGCCTTTGTGGCCTCCCACCACCACCTCAATTAAGCCAAGCGGTGGATGAAGAGAAGCTTCTGGGCTGTCAAGTGCCTGCTTCTTAAAATCACTTTGGAGAACCCAGGGAGTGCAGGAGGCAAAGCAGCGCCCCCTGCGTGAGTCATCCCCATTTGAGCAGCCTTCCCACCCCGACCTGAGACACAAGGCCACACTTAGCATCGAGGGAGACCAAGTGATGTACCCAGCTTCAAGCCAGGCTTTGTTACAGAGAAGAAAGGAAGGGTAGATGTTGGCATAGCAACCAGCATTGTCTGCAACTCTCTCTGCTGCGTGTCTCCCCATCAGATGCCCCCTGGGAACAGGGTGCCTGAGTGCGACTCTTAGGCCTGTATGATAAAACTGGACTTCTAATTCCCTCTTTCACGTAAATCAGAGCCAGTCATATCATTTCTGCCCACAACCCAACAGCCGTAGCGAGCCACAGGGCCCTACCTGACTGCAGATGGCTGGACGCATGGGGAGCAGAAGGAAGGTAATGAACAACACCACCTCCACCAGCCTTTAACAGGAGTGACGTGGCTCTACGTGCGCTTACAGAAAAGGCCTTCAAGACCTGCCGTTAGCTGGAAAAATAAGAAGAGCAAGCTACAAAACTCACATAGAATATGATCCCACTTGGGTAAGAAATGGTTCAATTAACCCTTAATAGGCCAGGCATAGTGGCTTGTGCATGTAATTCCAGCACTTTGGGAGGCCAAGGCAGTGGGTTGCTTGAGCTGACGAGTTTGAGACCAGCCTGAGCAACATGGTGAAAACTCATGTCTACAAAAAATACAAAAACAAGCCAGGGGTGGTGGCACATGCCTGTGGTCCAGCTACTCAGGAAGCTGAAGTGGGAGGATCACTTGAGCCCAGGAGGTGGAGGTTGCAGTGAGCCAAGAATGTGTCACTGTACTCCAGCCTGGGTGACAGAGCCAGACTCTGTCAAGAAAGAAAAGGAAGGAAGGAAGGAAGAAAGGAAGGAAGGAAGGAAGGAAGGAAGGAAGGAAAGAAGGAAGGGAGGGAGGGAGGGAGGGAAGGGAAGGGAAGGAAGGAAAGAGAGACAGAGAGATGAAAGAAGAAAAAAAAGAAAGAAAGAAAGAAGAAAGGAAGGAAGGAGAGAGGGAGGGAGGAGGAAGGAAAAAGAAAGTGAGAGAAAGGAAGGAGGGAAGGAAGGAAGAAGGAAGGAAGGAGAAAGAGAAAGAGAGAAAGAAGGAAAGAAAAAGAAAGAAAGAAAGGGTTCAAGATGCAGATATGGACACATGGCTATATTAGCTTCCAATTGCTGCTGTGACAAATTACCACAAACCTGGTGAAAACAACACACATTTGTTATCTTACAGTTCTGGAGGTGAAACATCTAAAATCGAGGTGTCACCAGGGCTGCATTCCTTCTGGAGGCTTCAGGGGAATCTGTTTCCTGTGTTTTTCAGCCTCCAGAGGCTGCCCGAGTTCCTTGGCTTGTGGCCACTTCCTCCATCTTCACTAGCAGAGGAGCATCTTCAGAGTACCCTCCCTCCCTCCCTCCCTCCCTCCCTTCCTTCCTTCCTTCCACTCTCTCTCTCTCTCTTTTGACAGGGTCTCGCTCTGTCACCCAGACTATCATAGCATACTGAAATATGAATCCACTGGGCTCGAGTGATCCCTGTCTCAGGGGATCACTACCTTCCGAGTAGCCAGAACTCCAGGTGTATGTCACCATGCCCAGCTAATTTTTCAATTTTTGGTAGAGATGGGAGTCTTGCTTTGTTGCCCAAGCTGTTCTCGAAATCCTGGGTTCAATCAGTCCTCCCACCATGGGCTCCCAAAGGGCTTGGATTACAGGTGTGAGCCACCACACCCGGCCTTCACATCTCTTTCTTTCTGACTCTGATCTCCTGTGTAGCTCATAGGAATATGCCACCCCAAAATACACTATGCCGGCATGAAGATTAATTTGAGCTAGAGGCAAATGATAATCAGTAGATGAAGAAAAACATCTTCTTGGTGCTTCTCTTACCTGACAAAAAAGCAGAAACTTCTGGGGAATGAGGATTGCTATACATTTCCTCTCCCAGGGAAGCTTTATGGCCATGTAGAAGATGGAAAGTCAGCATCCAGATGGACCTGCCCAGGTAGCCCTACTCTTCTGTTAGCTTCCCTCATCTGGTCACCTTCTCACAGTTTGTCACCCTTGGAAGCCTAAAACCCTCTTCCTTTGTCTCATCGCTTCTCTAAAAATGTATTGTTCCTTTGCTAAAATGCTGCATAAACCCAGTTCTTCTTTTTTTTTTTTTTTTTTTGAGATAGAGTCTCAAGCTGTCACCCAGGCTGGAGTGCAGTGGCACAATCTCGTCTCACTGCAAACTCCACCTCCTGGGTTCAAGTGATTCTCCTGCCTCAGTCTCCTGAGTAGCTGGGATTACAGGCTCATGCCACCACACCCAGCTAATTTTTGTATTTTTAGTAGAGATGGTGTTTCACCATGTTGGCCAGGCTGGTCTCAAACTCCTGACTTCAGGTGATCCACCCACCTCGGCCTCCCAAAGTGCTGGGATTACAGGCATGAGCCATCATGCCCGGCCTACATAAACCCAGTTCTAAATATCCCTCTGAGTTACTCATCACTAAGGTTTCTCCCAAGTGATGTGTACTGCACTTTCTAACAATCTGTTTGTTTTTCTCTTGTTAGTCTGTCTTTTGTCAGCCTAATTTTCAGGACCCCAGCTGGAAAACTTAAGATGAGCAGAGGAAAAAGATGCCCTCACACACCTGCCTCACTCTTTTTTTTTTTTTTTTTTTTTTTTTTCAGATAGAGTCTCGATCTGTCACCCAGGCTGGAGTGCAGTGGCACGATCTCGGCTCACCGCAAGCTCCGCCTCCCGGGTTCTTGCCATTCTCCTGCCTCAGCCTCCCAAGTAGCTGGGACTACAGGCGCCCGCCACTGCGCCCAGCTAATTTTTTGTATTTTTAGTAGAGACAGAGTTTCACGTGTTAGCCGGGATGGTCTCAATCTCCTGACCTCATGATCCGCCCTCCTCAGCCTCCCAAAGTGCTGGGATTACAGGCGTGAGCCACCAAGCCCCGCCTGCCTCACTCTTATAAGGACCCTTGTGACGACATTGGGCCCACCATATAATACAAGATAATCTCCCAGCTCAAGGTCTTTAAGTTAATCACATCTGCAAAGTCCCTTTTGCCTTGTGAGGCAACATATTCACAGGTTCCAGGGATTAGGATGTGGACATTTGGGAGGAGGGCATTATTCTGCCCACAACAATGGCCCGTGGCCATAGAAACTTCTGGAGAGGTTTGTTATACAGCTTTGGGGTGGGGAGAGTTCCTTTAAGGAAAAGTATACTCAATTTTGACTACAAGTTAAGGATGAAAGTAAATATTATTGGTGGTGAGAAAGCAAATCACAAATACCACAGACTGGCCGGGGGTGGTGGCTCACGTCTGTAATCCCAGCACTTTGAGAGGCTGGGGTGGGCAAATCACCTGAGGTTAGGAGTTCAAGACCAGCCTGGCCAACATGGTAAAACCCGTTTCTACTAAAAATACAAAAATTAGCCAGGTGTAGTGGCGCACACCTGTAGTCCCAGCTACTTGGGAGGCTGAGACAGGAGAATTGCTTGAACCCAGGAGGCAGAGGTTGCAGTGAGCCAAGATCACACCACTACACACCAGACAGAATGAGATTCTGTCTCAAAAACAAACAAACAAATATGACAAACTTCAAAAAAAATAGGAAAATATTATATACGTCACACATTATATATATGATATGGTTTGGCTCTGTGTCCCTCCCCCAAATCTCACCTTGAATTGTAATAATCACCATGTGTCAAGAGTGGGGCCAGGTGGAGATAATTGAATCACGGGAACAGTTTCCCCCATGCTGTTCTCGTGAGAGTGAGTGAGTTCTCATGAGATCTGATGTTTTTATAAGGGGCTTCTCCCTTCACTGGATCCTCATTCTCTATTGCCGCCCTGTGAAGAGGTACCTCCACCATGATTATAAGTTTCCTGAGGCCTCCCAGCCGTGCTGAACTGTGAGTAATTAAACCTCTTCCCTTTCTAAATTTCCCAGTCTCAGGTATGTCTTTGTTAGCAGCACGAGAACAGACTAATACAATATCATTATTATTTTGTAAATAATATTACATATCATATATATTATGTGATTATAGTTTTCTGCATTTTGTCATTTTTATGCTATTTATTATTTTCTAACTCTAAATAAATATTGACTTTCATCCCTGACTTTGCATTCTTTGAATATACAGCACTTTGTTTTTGTTTTGTTTTGTTTTGGTTTGGTTTGGTTTTTGAGACCAGGTCTCACTCTGTCGCCCAGGCTGGAGTGCAGCAGCATGACTGCAACCTCCACCTCCTGCGTTCAAGTGATTCTCCTGCCTCAGCCTCCTGAGTAGCTAGGACTACAGTCACATGCCACCACACCCAGCTACTTTTTATATTTTTTGGTAGAGATGGGGTTTCACCATGTAGGCCAGGCTGGTCTCGAACTCCTGATCTCAAGTGATCCACCCGCCTTGGCCTCCCAAAGTGCTGGGATTACAGGAGTGAGCCACGGCACCCAGCCAAGTATATAGCACTTTGTATAATCACTTTATATAATGTTCTTTCTTAAAGAGGACTCCTCATCTACGTATCAAGACAGAGATCCACAAAACTGGATCTGTTCTGGAGTACAAGAGCTTTTTTCCAAAGAAAATATGACTGCTTATTTGCCAGAGATGGACTTGAAAAAAAACAAAAGGCTGAGCACAGTGGCTCATGCCTGCAATCCCAACACTTTAGGAGGCTGAGCTGGGTGGATCACTTGAGGTCAGGAGTTCGAGAAGAGCCCGGTAAACATGGCAAAACCCCATCTCTACCAAAAAAATACAAAAATTAGCCAGGCATGGTGGTGCACACCTGTAGTGCCAGCTACTTGGGGGACTGAGGTGGAAAGATCACTTGAGCCCAGAAGGTCAAGGCTGCATTGAGCCAAGATCGTGCCACTGCACTCCAGCCTGGGAGACAGCCAGTTAAATTTCTTTCCTTTATAAATTACCCAGTCTCAGGTAGTTCTTTATAGCAATGTAGGAAAGAACTAATAAAAAGACATAGGCCGGCTTGGGCGTGGTGCCCCGCCCCTGTAATTCCAGCACTTTGGGAAGCTAAGGTGGGCAGATTGCTTGAACTCAGAAGTTTGAGACCAACCTGGGCAAGATGGTGAAACCCCATCTCTACCAAAAATACAAAAACTTAGCCAGTTGTGGTAGTGTATGTCTGTGGTCCCAGCTACTTGGGAGGCTGAGGTGGGAGGATTGCTTAAGCCTGGGAGGCAGAGACTGCAGTGAGCCAAGATTGAGCCACTGCACTCCCATCTGGGTGACAGAGTGAGACTCCATCTCAAAAAACAAAAACAAAACGAAACAAAAAACTATAGGCCAGGTCCAGGGGCTCACAGCTGTAATCCTAACACTTTGGGAGGCCAAGGCAATTCCATGGCTTGAGCCCAGGAATTCGAGACCAGTCTGGGCAACATGGTGAAACCCCTTCTCTATGAAAAATACAAAAAATTAGCTGGGCATGGTGGAGGATGTCTGTAATCCCAGCTACTTAGGAGGCTGAGGTGGGAGGATCACTTGAGCCCATGAGGTCAAGACTGTAGTGAGCCGAGATTGCGCCACTGCACTATACCCTGGCACTGTCTCAAAAAAAAAAAAAAAAACAAAAAACAAAAAAAAAAAAACTGGGAGGCCAAGGTGAGCAGATTGCTTGAACCCAGGAGTTCAAGGCCAGTGTGGGCAACAGGGCAAAACCTCATCTCTACAAAAATACAGTTAGCTGGGCATGGTGGTGCGTACCTGTGGTCCCAGCTACTGGGGAGGCTGAGGTGGGAAGATTACTTGAGCCCAGGAGGCAGAGGTTGCAGTCACACCACTACACTCCAGCCTGGGTGACAGTGAGACTTTGTCTCAAAAAAAAAAAAAAAAGACAGAAAGAAGGAAGGAGGGAGGGAGGGAGGGGAAGAGAGAGAGAGAAAGAAAGAGAAGAAAGAAAGAGAAAGGAAAGAAAGAAGGAAGGAAAGAAAGGAAGGAAGGAAGGAAGGAAGGAAGAAAAAACGAAGGAACGAACAAAAGAAAGCAAGAAAGAAAGAAAGAAAAGAAAGAAAGAGAAGAAAACTATAAACAAAGCTAAGGCTGTGTTCCGTGACTCATGCCTGTAATCTCAGCATTTTGGGAGGCTGAGGTGGGCAGATCACCTGAGGTCAGGAATTCGAGACCAGCCTGGCCAACCTGGTGAAACCCTATCTCTACTAAAAATACAAAAATTAGCTGGGTGTGATGGCGTGCGCCTGTAATCCCAGCTACTCAGGAGGCTGAGGTACGAGAATCGCTTGAACCTGGGAGGCTGAGGTTGCAGTGAGCTGAGATCATGCCACTGTACTCCAGCCTGGGCAACAGAGTGAGGCTGTCTCAAAACAAAACAAAACAAAACAAAAAAACAAAGCTAAGGAACCAGCCACTGAACAGAAGATTTTGTACTATATACACTAAGTCTTATGTATTAGACATAGGATTTGTTCCAGAATGCCTAAAGAACGTATAGAAATCAATAAGAAAAAGATAACTCAGCAGAAAAATGGGCAAACAATATGAAGAGGCCATTCACAGAAGGAAAATTGTGAATGGCCAATAGACAACAGGAAAACTGCGCACACTTGCCATTGAGAGATATGCAAAGGAGAGCCACAGGCAGATACCATTTCATCCCCATCACATTGCTGAAATCAGCCTGTCAATGCCAGGAGGTTACGGGGAAGTGCAAATCCTCACATACTGCTTGTAGGCATGTTAAGTAGTATGGCCACTCTAAAGACCAATGTGGCAATTCTAGCGAAGCTGAAAATGTGTATACTCTATCATCCAGCTATTTCACTTTTTGGGGCAGGCTTTAGAGAAACTCCTTACCTTATGCCAGGCGAGGTGTCAGAGGCCGGGCAACAGAAAGTGATTGACTCTCAGGTAGTAAGAAGAATTTACCAATAGTATAGATTTTAAAAGGAGGCCAGGCGCAGTGGCTCATGCCTGTAACTCCAGCACTTTGGGAGGCTGAGGTGGGCAAATCACCTGAGGTCAGGAGTTTGAGACCAGCCTGACCAATATGGTGAAATCCCAGCTCTACTAAAATACAAAAATTAGCAGGGTGTGGTGGTGCATGCCTGTAATCCCAGTTACATGGGAGGCTGAGGCAGGAGGATTGCTTGAACCTGGGAGGCAGAGGTTGCAGTGAGCCAAGATTGCACTACTGCACTCCAGCCCGGGCAACAGAGTGAGACTCCTTCTCAGAAAAGAAAGAAAGAGAAAGGAAGGAAGGAAGGAAGGAAGGAAGGAAGGAAGGAAGGAAGGAAGGAAGGAAAGGAAAGTTTTATTAGATAGAAACTATGCTGTGGAAGAGTACAGTGGGCACTTCAGCAAGAGGGGACAGCACACAGCAGTGGATTTTCCTTAGGGCTATTAATGGTCCTTAAAGTGTGAGCTTAAGGGTAATTTGGACCATATTAGCCAGGTAAGACATGACAGATAAATGATTACCTTTGTAGACATTTTGCTGCCTTACTGCCAGCAAGGGTTGCACAATGAGTTTTGACATCTGCATTCCGCAGATGTATAGAAATTCGAATTACTTATACATTTTAGGGAAAGAAGCCTGGAACTGGATGCTGGCTTTAGATAATAGGGAAGTCTAATTTACTTCTAAGCTTCTTAGATAAGGAGTTTTGCCTCTGGACCTTACTCCAGTTTACTTTCACCAGGCAGTGTGTTTGCTGCAGCAGTGTTTGTGATTGCAAATAATTGGAAGCAATGAAATGGAAACAGGAAACTGGACAATCATGAAATATTCTTTTTTAAAAAATTATTATTATTTTTAATTTATATATATATACACACACACACACATATACACACACATACATATACACATAATTTCTTTTTGAGACAGAGTCTCACTCTGTTGCCCAGGCTGCAGTGCAGTGGCATGATCTCGGCTCACTACAACCTCCACCTCCTAGGTTCAAGCAATTCTCCTGCCTCAGCCTCCCAAGTAGCTGGGATACAGGCATCCGCCACCACGCCTGGCTAATTTTTGTGTTTTTAGTAGAGATGGGGTTTCATCATGTTGGCCCAGGCTGGCCTCAAACTCCTGACCTCAGGTGATCCACCCACCTCGGCCTCCCAAAGTGCTGGGATTACAGGCATAAGCCACTGTGCTCGACCAATTTTTATATATTTTTATTTATTTATTTATTTGAGACAGGGGCTCCCTCTGTCACTCAGGCTGGAGTGCAGTGGCACAATCATGGCTCACTGCAGCCTTGGCTTCCTAGGCTCAGTGATCCACCCACCTTAGCCCCCCAAGTAGCTGAAACCATAGGCGCATGCCACTACACCCAGCTAGTTTTTGTATTTTTGACAGAAATGGGATTTCACTATGTTACCCAGGTTGGTCTCAAACTCCTGAGCTCAAGTAATCCACCCACCCACCTCGACCTCCCAAAGTGCTGGGATTACAGGTGTGAGCCACTGCATGTGGCCAATTGTAAAATATTCTTAAGAATGAATAACATATGCACTTATTAAAAGGAATAATATGGCCAGACACGGTGACTTACACCTGTAATCCTAGCACTTTGGGAGACCGAGGTGGGAGAACTGCTTGAATCCAGGAGTTAGAGATCACATCTCTATAAAAAATTTAAAAATTAGCTGGGTGCAGTGGCTCACCCCTGTAGTCCCAGCACTTTGGGAGGCCAAGGCAGGCAGATCACTTGAGGTCGGGAGCTCGAGACCAGCCTGACCAACATGGTGAAACCCCATCTCTACTAAACATACAAAATTAGCCAGGCATGATGGCGCATGCCTGTAATCCAGCTACTAGGGAGGCTGAGGCAGGAGAATTGCTTGAACCCGGGAGGCAGAGGTTGCAGTGAGCCGAGATCGCGCCATTGCACTCCAGCCTGGGCAAGAAGAGTGAAACTCCGTCTCAAAAATAAATAAATAAATTTAAAAAAATTAACCAGGTGGCACATGCCTGTAGTCCAAGCTACTTTGGAGGCTGAGTCAGAAGGATTGCTTGGGCCAGGAGGTCAAGCCTGCAGCGAGCTGTGATTGCACCACTGCACTCCAACCCGAGTGACAGTAAGACCCAGTCTCAAAAAAAAAAAAAAAAAAAAAAGAGGAACAATATGGATTTCTATATATCAATATGAATAGATTTCAAAGACATAGTATTAAGTTAAAGAACTAAGTTGTGGAATAAGTACTTTTTTTGGTGAGTATATGTATACATACCTAAGAGTGAAATTGCTGGGTTGTAAACATTTCTTCAACTTTAGTGGCCGCCACCTATTTTCCAAAGCCAATGTATAAATATTCACTCCCATCTGCAGTGTATAAGAGTGCATTTGCTCCACATCCTTACCATCTTTTTCGTTTTAGCCATCCTGACAGGTGTGAAGCAATGTCAGATGGTTTCTTTTCCTGCTGACTAGTGAGTGGCCAATGGCTCGCTGAAGCCTGAAACTCCTGGTCTCAAGAGACTCTCGGCCTGAGCCTCCAGGTAGCTGGGACTGCAGGCGCCACCCTTCCCAGGTTCACAGGCTTCTTGCCATTTGGCTTACCTCATTTGTGAAGTGCCCAATCAAATCATCAGATGATTTTTCTTGGGGAATTTCTGCCTTTTCTTGTTGACTTACAGACTACAGTTCTGGCTATGAATTCTTTGTGAGATACATGTGTGCCAAATATCTCCTCCCACCCTGCGGCTTGTCTTTTGATTGTCTTGATGGTGTCGTTTTATCAAGAGAGGTCCTGAGTTATAGCGTAGTCTTTTTGTCCTTCATGACTAGTCCTTTTTTGTGTTCTGCCTAAAGAAGCTTTGCCTTCTCCATGCAACAATTTTCCTATGAGCTCTTCTAAAAGCGTAGTCTTACCTTTTACATTTAGAGCTACAATTCATCTGGAATCTGAATTCCTTTGTAATCTTTCCTTTAAGGTGGTACGCAGTGGTGGGACGGGGCTGGGAGGGGGTAGCAGGCCGCTCCGTGCAAAGGCAGCCCTGCCCCGCAGTGTACCAAGCCTTTCCCCTCACTATTTTTCTCTGCTTTGCTCTGACCTTGGCTCCTCAAGATGCCCCCCTTGGAGGCTGGCCCTACCCTGCAGTCAGCTCTTCGGGCTTCCTCGAAGGCTGGGCACTGCCCCGCTGCCGGTGCTCAGCCTTCAGGGGGCCCGCCGGGTTCCAGGAACAGCCAGGACCACCTGTCTGCGGGACCCGCGGAGCCAGGACCCCTGCAGGCGGAGCCTCACCCGCAGCCCAATGCCCGGGTGTCGCCCCCACCCAACTCTCCTGCCCCGGGAGGACCCGGCTTCGGGGCTTTGGGGAACCTGCGGCGCCTGGGCCACCCCCTGCGTGGACCCCTGGACCCCAGGCGAGGCCACCAGCGCCCACCATCCAAAGGGCGACAGGGAGGCGTCCCCCCAACCCCGGCGGCGATGCCTCCTGAGTCCTAACCACACGCCGTGGACCCCCGCACCCTCAGTAGCCCCGCGCCGAGTGTAACCGCGCCCCGTGTCCTGGGATCCCGCGGCCCGGGTAACCAGGTCCCATGTAACCGCAGCCTGGTGAAGCCGTGCGCCCTGGGCGCGGCTACTTGGCCCTCACGGCAGGGCGGAGATGCGAGGCCCCAGGGTTCGGCCCCGCAGCGCCGCTGAGTCCAAGGACCGAGCTGGGAGTGGGGGCGGAGCCAAGAAGGGGCGCCCCTGCGCCCACAAGCCGCAGCGCCCAGGAATCCCCTGGGCGCCTCCGCGTCCCCCGCGGGCTGTCCCGGCAGGCAGGCAGCCCACCCCAGGGCTCCCCTCGTGGAAGGACACCCCTGCTGACCCTGGCCCTGGTTCTGGCGGTGTCTCCACTCAGCCCTCGGAGGGACGCCCACCTCCCGCGGAGCTGGGGGACTGTGGCTTCCTCCTGCGCGGGGAGGTCGGTGGGCGCCGTGGACCCGTCCCGCCCCTGTCTGAGGAGCCGAGTCGGCCACAGAGGGGCAGCAGACTAGGGAGGGCTGATGGGCCGTGCACTTAGCTCCCTCCGGGCTGCTGGCCGGGGCCCTTGAACGGACAGATGCCAACTGGCAGATGAGGGGGCTGCGTCCACCCCCACCCCACCCCCGCCCCCAGGCCGCTTCCAAAGGTTTCTCCCGGATTCCCACAGGCGGCCCGCCAGGCCCTGCTTGGCAGCTTGTTCCCTCGCATCCCACCCCCGTTCCACCCCCCAAAATCAAAACGGTTCAGGGTTCTGTGAAGTGAAAAGACCCCTGTTCCCGCCCAGAGCAGCAGCTGGTGTCTGTGGGTTAGGGGTAGGATTGCTGTCCCCTCGAAATTCATATGTTGAAGCCTTAACCCCCAGTACCTCAGAGTTGCTTCCCCCTAAGTTTTATTTGGAGAGAGGTCGTTAAGGTGGGCTCTAATCCCATGTGACTGGTGTCCTTATGAAAAGGGACATCCGGAGGTGGAGGTGGAGGAGCACACAGGGAGAAGACGGTGGCGTCCACAAGCCAAGGAGAGAGGCCTAGGCCAGACCGCAGCTGATAGCTTCAGAAGGAAAGCCTTCCACTTCTCCATTCCGACTTCTGGCCTCCCCAAAGAAGAGACCATACATTTCTGTTGTTTAAACCACTTAGTTGATGGTACTTTGTTTCAATAGCCCTAGCAAATGAACACAATATGCAGCTAAATATTTTCTAATAGTTCATAGACTTATCTCTATCCAAACAGACCATTTTATTTAAAAGTTTTTTTCTTTCCTTCCTTCCTTCCTTCCTTCCTCTTTCTTTCTTCTTTTCTTTCTTTCTTTCTCTTTCTTTCTTTCTTTCCTTCCTTCTTCCTTCCTCTCTCTTTCTCTTCCTTCCTTTCTTGCTTTCTTTCTCTTTCTTTCTTTCTTTCTTTCTTTCTTTTGACAGGGTCTCACTCTGTCACCCAGGCAGAGTGCAGTGTGTACTTATAGCTCACTGTAGCCTTGAGCTCCTGGGCTCCAGTGATCCTCCCACCCCAGCCTCTGGAATGGCTAGGACTAGAGGTTCATGCCACCACACCCAGCTAAGTTTTCTTTTCCTTTTCATTTTTGTAGAGACTAGGTCTTGCTGTGTTGCCCAGGCTGGTCTTGAACTCCTGGGCTCAAGCAATCCTCCTGCTTCTGCCTCCTAAAGTGCAGGGATTACAGGTGTGAGTCACAGGGCCTGGTCCTACTTATTTTTTCATTTTATCATGTGTGATGGATACTTTTCCAGCAGGGAATGTGTGTTTACCTTGTTTTTGGAGCAGCTGTGTAGACTCTCTCACTAATGCCCCATCACCTATTCCCCAGGGCCCTTACAGGGACTACTCAGCTTGCTTCTGGGATGTTGTTACTGACGATACATCATTGATAGGATATTTGAACCTGTTCCTCTGCTGGGCAGGCCCATTCTGAATGGTGGCTCCTCCTCTTTACAAATAAGACCTGTAGCATCACCATCACCTGAATTATCCTGGACTCTAGTCACGTGGGCTTCGAAAGGAGTTATGGAATGTTGGTTCCCCCTAAGTCTCTAGCAAGAGCTGTGGCTGCAGGGGAAGGGACTACCTTGATGTGCCAGGTGACTGTTTTAGGTGGCCCCAGTAGGACCCCGGGGGGGCAGCCTGAGATGGAAACAGCGTGGATGCCGTCCCGACCATCACTGATGCTCCAAATTTGGGATGGCTGCTCCTGATCATGTTCTGCCTTGTGCACTTAAGCGTTCCCATGAACTCGCAGATACACATTTTCAGCCGGGTTTTTAGGGAAAAGTGTTTTGTGGTATTTTCCACACAGCACCCACTGGAGTGCACAATGTCAGATAGTGAGAACAATGAAGACTATAGAGGCCATGCCAAATGAAAGTACAGCTACGGTACTTGCCTGCAAGAGCGGCTCCAGCATCCTGAGTGCCTGTGAAAAGCACCTTGATGTGCCCTCGGGTGATGGCAGTGCCTCTCCCTGCAGCCAGGCCTTCCTGAGCCCAGACCCCAGGCTGCAGCCCCAGCCGCCATCCACTGGGAATGCTCTATGGGAGACACGGTGCATTCGCTTCCTGTGGAGGCTGTCACAAATGGTTGCTCAAAAACGACACACATTCTCTTACCTTTCTGAATGTCAGAAATCTAAGAGCAAGGTGCTGGCAGGTGTGTGAGTCTGCTCGGGCTTCCATAACAAAACTCCAGAGGCACGGCAGCTTAAACCACAGAAATTAATTATTTCCGTTCTAGAAGCTGGAGTCCAAGATCCAGGTGTTGGCAGGGCCGGTTTCTCCCAAGGCCTCTCTCCTTGGCTTGTAGGCGGCCATCTTCTCCCTGTTTCTTCACCTGGTTTTCTCTCCATGCATGTCTGTATACTAAACTCCTCTTTTTATAAGGACACCAGTCTGTATTGGGTTAGGGCCTTCTCTAATGACCTCTTTTTTAACTTAATTACCTTTTTATTTATTTACTTTTTACATTCAGAATTTTTTCTCGCATACCAGCCTTCTTGGATAACTTAATTACCTTTAAGGGCCCTCTCTTTAGATAGAGTCACATTCCAAGGTCTTGGGGTTAGAGCTTCAATGTATATATGTGGAGGAGGACACAATTTAGCCCATAACAACAGGGCTGCATTCCTTCCGAAGGGTTCAAGGGAGCACCCCCTTCCTTGCTTTCTGCAGCCTCTAGAAGCCACCTGCATTCTGTGGCTTGGGCCCCTTCCTCGAATGCCCCCAACCTCTGCTTCCATCCTCACATCTCCTGCTGACAGATCTCTGGCCTTCCTGGCATAAGGACCTTTGTGATTACCTTTGCCCTACCTGGATAATCCATGATAATCTCATCTCAAGATCCTGGATTTACTCACATCTGCAAAGTCCCTTTACCATGTAAAGTCATATATTCACTGATTCCAGAAATTAGGACAAGGACATCTTTAGGGGCCATTATTCAGCCTTCCACATATGGTTGTGACCTGTCATACCACACACATCTACCACGTAAGACCTCTAACAGAGCTAAACCATAAAAGGTGGCACTTTTCTTTAGCTGCATAGAAACACCTGAAAACTTAGCCGGGCGCAGTGGCTCATGCCTGTCACCCCACCACTTCGGAAGGCCGAGGTGGGCAGATCACTTGAGGTCAGGAGTTCAAGACCAGCCTGACCAACATGGTGAAACCCCATGTCTACTGAAACCACAAAAAATTAGCTGGGCGCAATGGCACGTGCCTATAATCCCAGCTACTCGGGAGGCTGAGGTGGGACAGTCGGTTGAACCCAGGAGGCGGAGGTTGCAGTGAGTTGAGATTGTGCCATTGCACTCCAGGCTGGGTAACAGAGCAATATTTCGTCTCAAAAATAAATAAAATAAAACCCCTGAAAACTTGAACTAACCTTGGTTAGTGACTAATCCAAAAGAACATGCAATACAAAATGGGAGACAGTGTGACAAAGGCAGACAACTTAAATCCATTTCTGCAAGAAAGTAAAACCAAAAAGCCCCCAGAGGAAGGTGGCTTCTCTCACATTTGATGGTCCTGTAGGGCTTTGCCAGTTCTGGGGTCACTTGATGGGCAGCCAGGAAGGAGGAAGAACCACAGGACTACCATGTCCCTATTCCAGTCCCCATGCACAGACCTTATTAAAAGGAGCCCATTGTTGCTGTAGGTGAATGATGACGATCTCAATCCTATCATCAGATTTAAAACACCACTCTGACTCAGTCCCTCTCCAACAAAGCCATCACAGCCCACTGTATTATTTTTTTTTAAGAAATAAAAAGAAACAAGCTGTATTCCCTGGAGGCCAGTTGCAAAAGCAAAACTTAATTATACCAGTTATGTAATTAAAATTATACTACTTAGAATTTTCAATTGTCTGCTTCCTGGATGACCCCTTACTAAATAATAATAACGATGATAATCTGAGCCCCCATCTGCCCCAGCTATGGGAAGTTCATCCCTCCCTCATGCCACGGAGGACCCCAGAACTGGGACTTGGGTGTCACCTCTCAGCTTCTGCCCCTCAGACAGCCTCACAGCACTCCACACCACCTCCGGCTGCTTTGTAGTCTCATCTTTGTCCTCCTCTCCAGGTTAGACCCCAGGCCCCAAAAGGCCCAATAAAGCTTTTCCTAACAGAAACACCATTTACCTGTCTCCCCTTTTAGCAAGAGAATGAGCTAGTGGGACATGGGATTTTTGGCATTTATTTTCAGCTTCCTCAGTTGAATTCTAAGGCAAGGCTTACCGTCAGCACAGTTCTCTCTCCCTCCTTTCCCCAGTGATCCCTAAACTCATGTGGGTCAGTGGAGGCTTTGTTCCCCCCTGTCTGGAACAAACCTTAGCGGCCACAGTTGTATCCCTGCCCCTATTCTGTGGTGGTTTACTAAATGCTAGTTTCTCCCATTAGCTGAGGCTTTTGGAGGGCAGGGTCTGTCCCCAACGACACTCAGCCCTTGACAGGTACTTATTATATAGTGCCTGATTTGGATTGAAGTAGATTTGAGAAGGCTCCACAGGGACATGGGGCCTGTATGTGTCCAGGCCTGCACTTGAGTGTCCTGGGCCTTGCTCCCCAGGAACACCAGATGAAGCCGGAGGGCAGATGCACACCTGGGAGTAATCTAGAACAACACAAAACAAGTGGAGCAAGGGCTGGCCAAGGGCTGTGTTGCACCCTTTCTCCCATGTCTACTCCCACGGGAGTTCAGCATCCCCTGGGCTGTTTCCCAATTCACACAACAAGGGCTTGCACCTGGAACATGGCTAAGGTCTTGCCTGGGGTAAGGACACTGTGTCTGGAGGAAGGGGCATGAGCACTGGACCCACTGGGCTTGGTGATGCCAGCTCACCCAGACTGCAGATCGTACCTCTGGAGGCCAATCTTCCACTGAAGCCCGGAGCCAGGAATGCCTACCCCAGTGGGGAATGAATGGAGTGTGCCCCACCCACAGTGAGGGCAGGAGGGAAGAGTGGAGTGGACGGCTAAATGCAGTGGATGCCCCTCCAGGGCTTTCCTGGAAGCAAGGGACACAATGTTTGTTTCTCCAAAATTCATATGTTGATGCCCTAACCCACAGTGTGCTGTATTTGGAGATGGGGCCTCTATGAAAGCAATTAAGGTTAAATGAGGCCCTAACCTGGGGCCCTGACCTGGCAGGATTCGAATCCTTATAAGGAGACAACAGAGAGCTCTCATGCTTGCGTGCCCACTCTCTCTCTCTCTGCCCCAGCACACAGAGGCCGTGTGAGCACAGCCAGATGGCGGCTGCTTACAAGCAAGAGGAGGCCTCAGAACGAACCCTACCTTGCCAGACCTTGATCTTGAACTACCCAGCCTCCAGACTGTGAGAAAATAAACATCTGTTGTGTAAGCCACCCAGTCTGTGGTATTTTATGGCAGCCTAAGCAGAATAAGATGCTGGCAGAGGCCACTTTTCCTGCCTGGGAGACCCTTCCCTCACCCCACAGGTTCCCAGGTCCCTGCACCAGCCCAGGCCAGAGTGCTGCCAGCCCTGGACCAGGCTGAAAATATAGATAGCCCAGGCCATCTCCCCTTCCACATCCTAGCTGGAAGCCTCTGGGGTTGAACTTACAGGGGTGAGGGAGGAAGGGATGCGAGGACATTGTCTCCCCCTGCCCTTCCTTGGGCAACAACACTCCTCTGTGAGGCTCACAGTTGAACTTCCACCCCACTCCCACACACACACACAGTGGTTCTGTGACTGAAGCAGAGCCAGTCCCTCCCAGAGAACATGAAAGTTACAGTTAGGGGCACCAGCCCCCTTTATGTCCTGGATTGTGGAGATGTCTGAGCCCAGGCCCTAGCTCCCTGGAGGCACCTGGTAGGGCAAGGCCAGCCCACAGAGGCCAGGACTCAGGTGACAGGCCTGCAGGCAATACACTCATGGCACCATCTCCAGCTTCCCAGAGCTTACCTCAAGTTCTTTGTATCAGCTGCCTCAAGGTGTGCTGGCTGAGGGCAAATCTCAGAGTCAGACTGCCTGGCTTTAAATCCTAGCTCTGCCATTGTTGGAAATGGGAGTTCGGTGTGGCAAAATCAACACTGAGACAAAGGATCTCTCAGCAAGGCTAGTTTAGTTTCTGCAGAAAGGGTGCCGCTCGCTAGCAGTCTTGCCATGAGAGCACACCTGAACAAAGGAGATGGGGACATTTATAATCTTTGTAACCTGATGCAATCGTCCTATGGCTGTGTCCCATTTCCATTGGCCAGAATGGGACCTCACATTCTAAGCTTGACCTGATTGGCTAACAGCTTGAAACTTTTCTAAATAGGTAAAGAGGAAAGAGGACAAAGGAAAGAGGAAGCTAGTCATGAGAGGGTCAGGAGGGTTTCCAAATAAGCTATGGCAGGCACTATGGTCCCGGGCTGCCTTAACCCTGTCCAGGCATGCCAGGTCAAGTCAGAGCAGCTGCACTGGAACATATATAGATATGCATAAAGCAAAGAAATGACAAGCTCTTTATGGTTTTAAGAAACTTTGAAGAACTTCTCTATTCCTCACAGCCATGTTGGACATGTAAACCAAAAATAAAATTCTAAGCCCCCTAATCGACAGAATGGACCCCTCCTCTTGAACAAGGGGATTCTGAAGAAACCTAAAAAATTAGTTCAGGCCATGATGGGAAGGAGGGGTCAGACATGCTGCATTATACCCTCCTCACTTTGGCATTCAAGCACAGCTCACCAGCATTAACATTAAAACAGAGATCATAAGACTGACAAAACAGGCTGTTTGTACTAATAAGATGCCAAATTCCAACTGACTCTAGTATAGCATCACATGACGGTGGGCCCTGAAAGAAAGAGAAATATTTCACCCCAAAATATATTTCTTTGAGTTTTTTTTTTTTTTTTTTTGTGACAGAGTCTTGCTCTGTCACCCAGGCTGGATTGCAATGGAGCAATCTTGGTTCACTGCAACCTCAGCCTCCCGGGTTCAAGTGATTCTCCTGCCTCAGCCTACTGAGTAGCTGAGATTACAGGCGCCTGCCACCACACCTGGCTAATTTTTGTATTTTAGTAGAGATGGGGTTTCACCATGTTGGTGAGGCTGGTCTCGAACTCCTGACCTCGTGATCCCAAAGTGCTGAGATTACAGGCATGAGCCACCGTGCCCAGCCTTCTTTGACATATTTTGAAATGGCCTTGCAAAGCTGTCTCTTGTGGGGAAAATCTACGTTCTGTAGATTTCCCTTTCCAGATCTTTTTCTGATCCAGGAGAGATTAACCAAGAGTCTGGCATCTTTTTAGGTCTGATAAGAAATACTTACCATCTATTTCTCTGAAGCCTGCTACCAGGAGGCTTCATCTACATAAGAACATTTGTCTATACAACACCTTATCTTATCCCAGACACTCCTTTCTATTCATTCCAGTTCGTTAGACAATAACTATTTCAACCAAATTGCCAATCAGAAAATCTTTGAATCTACCTATGATCCAGAAGCTCCTGCCTACCCTTCCCTGCTTCCAGTTATCCTGCCTTTCCAGACTGAACTAATGTACATGTATTGATTGGTGTCTGCCTGTAACTTCTGTCCCCCTGTTACCAAAAAGGGGTCCTGATCCAGACCCCAAGAGAGGGTTATTGGATCTCAAACAAGAAAGAATTCAAGAGGAATCCATTAGAGTAAAGTGAAGCAAGTATATTAGAGAAGTAAGGAAATAAAAGAATGGCTACTACGTAGGCAGAGCAGCCCCAAGGGCTGCTGGTTGGCCACTTTTATGGTCATTTCCTGATTATATGCTAAACAAGGGGTTGATTATTCGTGAGTTTTCCAGGAAAAGGCTGGGCAATTCCTGGAACTGAGGGGTCCTCCCATTTTTAGATCACATAGGATAACTTGCTGTCTTTGCCATGACATTTGTAAACTGTCATGGCACTGGTGAGAGTGTCTTTTAGCAACAGATACATTATAACTAGTGCGTAATGAACAGTGAGGATGAACAGAGAACACTTTCGTCGCTATCTTGGTTTTGGCCGGCTTCTTAATGGCATCCTTTTAACGGCAAGCTCTTTGTGACCTGTACCTGTGCCAACCTTCTATGTCATCCTGTGACTTAGAATGCCTAACCTCCTGGGAATGTAGCCCAGTAGGTCTTAGCCTCAAGATGGAGTTGCTCTGGTTCAAACGCCTCTGACACCCCTAAAATTTATAAAAATCGAGCTGTAATCCAACCACCTTGGCACATGTTCTCAGGACCTCTTGAGGCTGTGACTCAGGCCTTCGTCACTCATATTTGGCTCTGAATAAAATCTCTTCAAATATTTTACAGTTTGACCTTTTTTGCCAACAGACTACTTAACTTCTGTGTCAGTTTCCTCATCTATAAAATGGGGATAATACCTGTTTCATGGGGTTATTGTTTGGATTAATTGAGTTAATAAACTAGGAAGTCCTAAATAAGTCTTAGTGAAAGAATTAGGCAGCCTCATGAAATGGAGCTAGAAATGACTTCATTCATCCACAGCGGTGGAATTTGGGCCTACGTGGGCCAATGTGTGGTGCAATCCATTCTGCAGACAGTGACGCTTATGAGTAAGACAAGTGCTCACGCCATTCCGGCTGCACCTTCACACACTGCAATCTTCAAGCCCTTATCTCCTCTCACCAGGACTCATGCCGCCAGCGCATGCAATCTCTATCCAGCAGATGTGTTTTAATCACCTGCATGTTCCAGGATGGGAAAGGGGGTGGCAGGAGGTGACGCTGGAGGAAGAAGGAAGAGGAGGGCTGAGGAGCTGAGCTTAGTCAGGGAAACAGGCCATGACAATAAGGAAGAGGGAAGTGCAGGGCTCCAAGGAAGACACAGAGGGCACCTGCACTGCCCCACCCCACCCCCAGGCTTTGAGGCCTATCAGAAGTTGGTGTCTTAGCTTAGGAAAACTTGAGAGTTAGCCGGGCAAAAAAGGGAGAGACATGGTCCCAAACACAAGAAATAACACAAGTTGTGTTCTTTCTTTTTTCTTTTTTTTCTGGAAACAGTCTTGCTGTGTCACCCAGACTGGAGTGCAGTGTCAGCTCACTGCAACCTCCGCCTCCTGGGTTCAAGCAATTCTCCTGCCTCAGCGTTCCAAATAGCTGGGATTACAAGGGCGCACCACCACGCCCGGCTTTTTTGTATTTTTAGTAGAGATGGGGTTTTGCCATGTTGGCCAGGCTGGTCTTGAACTCCTGACCTCAGGTGATCTGTCTGCCTCGGCCTCCCAAAGTGCTGGGATTACAGGCCTGAGCCACTGCGCCCGGCTGAGTTGTGTTCTTGACCAGTTTTCCTGACTCCATTCCCACCGACTCACTTAGAGCCAAAGCCTTTATTATTATTATGGGGACAGGGTCTGCCCTGTCACCCAAGCTGGAGTGCAGTGGTGCGATCACGGCTCACTGCAGCCTCAACCTCCTGGGCTCAGGTGATCCTCCCATCCCAGCCTCCTGAGTAGCTGGGACTACAGGCGCGCGCCACCACGCGGCTAATTTTTTTTTTCTTTTTTTGTAGCGATGGGGTCTTGCCACCATCAGGAGGCTGGTCTTAAACTCTTGGGCTCATGGGATCCTCCCACTTTGGCCTCCCAAAGTGCTAGGATTACAGGCGTGAGCCACCGGGCCCGCCAGCCTCCTTTAGGAAGAAAACCTGATAGTCACTCCACTGTTAGAAACCTCTCAGTGGGGTTTTTCGAAATGAAAGTCTAACTCCTTGTCTCTTTCTGACCGTTTCCATGCTGAACCTCATCTTTCTAATGGCCCACTCCTCCAGGGGCCTGCCTGACGCCCAGGACGGCCCCTCGTCAATCACACAGGACGCTAATGGGCGCGGGATGAATCTGGGCGCCCAAAAGAGGACAAGTTGAAATGGATTTTTAAGGTACTTTAAACACATTTAAGAGAGAAAAGAAGGAATAAAAGGGACATGACAAGAACAGTGGGGCCTGTGGGCGCAGCACACGGTTTGGGGTTGGTCGTGGCTTGCGTGTCTGACCGCCCGGTCTCCCTCACCGCCTGCACTGCAGGCTGCGGGGGCCTGTCCAGTCCTTTGCACTCCAGGTGCGGCGCTGGACAGCGGGAGCTCCAGCCACGGAGGCCGCTCCTTCAGGGAAGGATAGCCCGGGCTCCTCCGTGCCCCTAAACCCTGCAGACCACGAAGTGAACCCGTGTTGGAACCAGGTGCAAAACCCCCAGCCCTCCGGCGCTCGGGCTCCAGAGCCAACTCGGAATCCCCGCCCCTAACGCTACTCGCCAATCAGCGGCGGTTGCGAAATCCGTGCCCGCCCCCTGGCCGCGCCCTCTGCCAATGAGCGAGGTCCGAGAGGCCCGTCGCCCAGCCCAGTCCCGATCGGCGCACGCCGCTGTTCGCGTGTCTGGTTCCAAATAAAGTTTTTCGCGACTTTGAATTTTTTTTTTAAAGCGCCCGCTGCTGTCTCGGCTGCCGCGGGCGAGAGCGGCCGAGTCCCCGCCCCGCCACTTCCGGTCCCGCCGCCGGGAGCCGGTGCGGCTGTGAGGGGCCGCGTCTCGCAGCAGCCGCCCGGACCGGGCATGGTGTTGGGCGCCGGGCCCGCCTCGCCTGTCTCGGGGAGCCCAGGTGAGGAGCGACCGTGCGGCTCTGCGGCGGGGCGAGGTGCGGCCGCCGGTGCACGGGCTGGCCTGCGGGCCGGGCGGAGGGCGCGGGCGGTGGCGGGGCCGCCTCGGGCCCGCCGGGTTCCTCACGCCGGGGGCCTGGCGGGCGCGGGCACCCGGACGCGAGGCCGAGCGGCGTGAATGGGAAGGGGCCGCGGGCCGCGGGCCGCGAGCCGGGGGTCGGAGGCGGCGTCGGCGGCCGGGGCGCTGGCCTCGCCCGGCAGTGAGTGACCGCGGCGGCGGCGGCGGGGGACGGCCCGCGCCGAGCACCTGGTGTGAACCAGGCCCTGGGCCGAGCGTGGCACAGACCTGGCCGCGCTCACGCCCCACTCGCGGGATCGGCTGCCTGCCTTGTACGGAGGAAGCGGGGCGTCCAGCGCCTGGCCAAGGTCACCGGCCCGACGTGGCCGCAGAAACCGGGACTGGACTCCCGATCGGGGCAGGAGTCGCGCTAGGCCGTGAGGAGCGGGGGAGGTGAGGGGAGTGACAACTCGCGCCCGGTCCTCGTACCTGCAGCGGGAAGAGTAAGTATGGACGCTTACCTACAACTGGGGGCGGCCAGGCTAGTTTGGAAAATTTTTACCACAGCAAAGGAGACGAGGAAGGAAGGGCATCTTGGAACAATTAGTGCAGCAGAGTCTTGGTTCCAGACCTAGTTCTGCTGGTGTGTCATCTTGGGTGTGGCCTTCCCCTCCCTGGGCTCAGTTTCCTCATCTGTCACAGGAGAGAATTGGGTCCCCCCACTCTGCATTCCCGACCGCCTGGAAGTGGGGGCAGGATGGGTTGGAATAGCCAGAGAAAGCTTCTTGGAGGAGGAGATGTTGGGATGTAGGTAGGAATCTTCCCCTTAAGGAAGGGGTAGGATTCGTTTGTGAAGGGAAGGAGGGCATTCTAGACCTGGGTATCAGACTGAATAGAAGCTTCTGGAAATGAACAGGGTGTTGTGAAGGAACAAAGAGGAAACTGGCCTGCCTGGTGCAGAGGAATCCTGGCTGAGGAGTGAGATGAAGGCAAGGGGGAGCATAGAGGTGGGAGAGAGAGAGAGATTGAGAGACAGAATCACACCAAGCTTAGTGCTGTGGGGCTTGAGGACCCCCCACCTGGACATACCTGCCTTTCAGGTAGTAGGCAGTGCAGGAAGGGGCAGGTTTACTGCTGAACGTAAAAGGGGCTGGGCTCCAAAGATGGTCGGTCAACCAGCGTACTCCTGTGCCGAGCAGGAGGTTCCTGGGCACTGGCATTCTGTAGAAGAGTGGGATGTGGACTTTGTTGTGCCCTGATCGGGGCCCCTTTGGCTGGGGAAGTTGAGTGTCCCCTAGTGACCCGCAGTCCCATCCTTTATGCTTGGATTGAGACGTCTCCATTCGGAAGGAATTGTAAATAAGTAGCCCCCTCACCTTGAGCTGACTGGCCCCTGGTGTCCCTGCACAAGTGACATGGCCTGGTTTTGCCATTGCTTGCAGGGATGCTGAGTAAATATCACTTGATGGCACTAGTAAGTTGCACACCAGATGCTCTTCTCCGGGCTGTCTGAAAGCAGGTCCCACCCAGAGGAGGAACCTAACTGGGCCAATTACAACTTGTGGAATTTAGAAACTGAGAATGCTGTTCAGAACAGCTGATCTGTTACCGAAATGCTGCCTTAGAGCGTAATTTGCAGGAAAGAGGAAGTTTTGTTTTAAACCAGATCTTCAAGAGTTGAAGCATATTGAAGAAGGAAAAGAATTCTGAAGCAACTGCAGGTATTCAGCTAGCCTCTTGACAGTTTGAAGACTTACTTTTTGATAGAATCCTTTGGTTTAAATTTAATTTTACAGCTATGGCAACATTCCCAAATTAGGCCTTGGGTTTATTCTTAAAGTGGCGTGTGAAAATGATACACACGATAGAAAAATAGATGGTCACTATATTAGATTTCTTAGAATGTTAGAGAAGTACATTTTTTATTACTTTCTATGGAAAACAAAGCACCAGTGTTACATTCTTTTATATCTTGCAAGTCACAGACTTGAAGATAGTAAACCAGCAATCTGACTCTTCAGTGGAATTGAATGTTGGAGCGTCTTCTGCCCACAGAGAAGACTTCATCGTGGCGTGATTGGGGGTATAAAAGCGTTAAGCGTAGCCTGCGGGCTGTAGTGGTGCAGAAGAGTTTCTTGGTGGTTGGCCTTTGAGTGCATGAAGGATCTCTCTCCCCAGGCTTCCCTGAGCCTCCTTCAGGGAGCTGCATGTGGCCCTGGTGCTTGCTGTTCTGTGGGACTCTTCATTCTGACTTTCCTAGGTTACTGCCTGCTGAACTCATGTTCAAGCAGTTGTGCTTTTATTTTTCACTCTTTGCTTCATTTGCATTCCCAAGGTCAGCCAGAGACCTGGTAGTCCTTGTGTAGGGCATCTGGTGCGTCCAGCTGACCCCCAGGTGATGGATGGATGCACGTCTTGGTCCATTATTGGGTGACTCTGACGATGTGGCAGGACTGATGTGCTCGAGTCTGCACACGGGGCAGCAGACTTGGCTGGGAAGGGAGACACTGTTCCATGACAAGGAATCCTTGTGAGGGATTTTTGACAAGATCATTCCAGGTAGGGGCTGAAGCAGGAGAGCTTGGCTCTAGATGGTGCTGCTGTCTGTGGTAGCTAAAGCCCCTACAGGTGTTTGTGACTATTTGCCTGTGAAGTAACTTCATCAGCTGAACCCAGCTGCTTTGCTCTGGGCGAAGCTGTGAAGATGTGCTCTTATGGAGGGCCACCTGAGGAGATGGCACAGTAGCGTAACAATGAAGAAACTAATGTTGGTTTATTTTCACATTTTTGTCAACTTTATTGAGGCGTAATTGAAATACACTAAATTGCCCATATTTAAATTGTGTAATTGATCAGTCTGAAACCATGACCACACTCGAGATAAAAACATTTCCTGCCCGGCATGGTGGCTCACGTCTGTAGTCCCAGCACTTTGGGAGGCTGAGGCAGGTGGATTGCTTCCGCTCAGGAATTCAAGACCAGCCCGGGTAACATGGTGAAACCCTGTCTCTACAAAAAAAATTAAAATTAGCTGGACATGATGGTGCCTGCCTGTAGTCCTAGCTGCTTTAGGAGGTGGAGGGTGCTGAGGTGGGAGGATCTCTTGAACCTGGGAGTTTGAGCCTGCACTGAGCTCAAGTCACGCCACTGCACTCCAGCCTGGGCTACAGAGCAAGACCTGTCTCAAAAAACAAACAAAAAACATTTTTGTCATCCACAAGAGGGAAACTAGTGTGTCTGTGGTGACAGCTTCTAGCAGCTGAGTGGCTTTGGGCAGCCTACCTTCTGGGCCTCTGTTGTCCTGGGGTCCACATGTTAAAATGGAATGGGAGTGAGAGAAGTCCATTCCAACTTTGCAATTCTGAGAGCTTATGACCGTGAAAGTGCAGAGCTGTCTTTGAAACCTTTAGACCAGTGCTTCTTAAGGGGTTTAGGGTATGTGTATGTCCGTGTCCTCTAGTGGAAAAGACTGTGCAGTTCAGAAGATCGTATTCTATGTATTGTTTTCGTTTTGAAAAAATTCTTTAAATTTTTTTATCTTTTGAGATGCGGTTTCACTCTTGTTGCCCAGGCTGGAGTGCAATGGCACAATCACTGCAACCTCCACCTCCCGGGTTCAACCTATTCTTCTGCCTCAGCCTCCTGAGTAGCTGGGATTTACAGGCACCCGCCACCATGCCGAGCTAATTTTTTTTGGTATTTTTAGTGGAGATGGGGTTTTGCCATGTTGGGCAGGCTGGTCTAGAACTCCTGACCTCAGGTGACCCACCTGCCTCGGCCTACCGAAGTGCTGGGATTATAGGCATGAGCCACCATGCCTGGCCTGTACTGTTTTCATGGTACAAACAATAGAAAATAAAATCTGACAGCATTTAGGGGATATGCAGAAGATGGTGTGAGAAACTGTGTAAGAGACCTGGGTGAAAAATGGTTTCAAATGCCAATGAGGAACGGAGTATTCTTATTTGACTTTCAGGATCTTAGCCTCAACCTAAAATTTCTGTGCTTAGGTCAAGCTTTTCACATGGAATTTTTAGATCATTTTCTGTTGAAACGATCAGAGTGGTATTGAAATAAAATGATACGAAAGCAACAAAGGAAATTATGGAAATATTGAACTGGTGACAATTTATTTTGTTTTATTTTATTTTATTTTTTTGAGTCTCACTCTGTTGCCAGGCTGGAGTGCAGTGGTGCAATCTTAGCTCACTGCAACCTCTGCCTCCCGGCTTCAAGTGATTCTCCTGCCTCAGCCTCCCAAGTAGCTGGGACTACAGGTGTGGGCCACCACGCCCGGCTAATTTTTTTGTATTTTAGTAGAGACGGGGTTTCACCATGTTGGCCAGGGTGGTCTCGGTCTCCTGGCCTCATAATCCACCTGTCTCGTTCCCCTAAAGTGTTGGGATTACAGGCATGAGCCACGGCACCTGGCCCTGGTGACAAATATTTGTCCTCAGTCAAAAGAAGTTCCAGTGACCCTCTCTGACCATGGCAAGGAGGACGATTAATGTCAGTTTATGTTAGAAACAGAAGGCAGAGTCTAGCGGATAGTTACTTTGTTACAATTAGTGGGATCATAATGTAAGCTGTGGACTTTGAGTTATAATGTGTTAATGTGGGTTCATTAATTGTAACAAATGTACCCTCTGGTGGGAGATGTTGGTAATAGGGGAAGGATGTGCATGTGTTGGGGCAGGGGGCGTATGGGAAATCTCTGTACCTTCCTGTTAATTTTACTGTATACTTAAAACTGCCATTAAAAAATAAAATCTTAAACAAATTGTGGCATTTCTTCAACCGTCTCCCAGATAGCAAGGGGCATCACCTGTGTTTGGTCTTTGTTGTCCCTACTAGTGAGCTTGCAGCAGGGGAACCTGCAACACAGATGGGGTGGAAGCCACCAATGAACATAATCTACTTTGGGACATTAATTTTAATTTAGTCTTGATGTTGAAATTGCCAAAAAATATAAATAAAACACAAATGTAAGTAAATGCAACACAGCATGAATAAATGAGAAGATGCTTATTAAGGCTCTATCCACACCTTTATTAAAAGAGGAAGGAGAGCAAAGAGTGGTGCTCCTCTTCCACCAGAGGCTGTGCTGCTTCAGTTGGTGATGGGCCAGAACCTGGGACCGTACCATGTGTGTGCATGATCCCCTGCAGCAGGGAAGGGCCAACTTACCAGTGGGCAGTAATGGACTCATGTGGAACCCATTGGTGAGGGCATGCTGGTTGAGAAACTGTGGAGGCCACCCTAGACCTTGTGTTCCACGGGAGCTTTGTCACAACCACATCCCAGGACCTGGCACCCAGTGAGTGTGAAATGCATGACTCTTTTTAATTTTAAATTTTTTTTTTTTTTTTTTTTTTTTTTTGAGACAGGGTCTTGCCGTGTCACACAGGCTGGAGTGCAGTGGCACAATCACGGCTCACGGTATCCCCAATCTCCCAGGCTCAAGGGATCCTCCTACCTCAGCTTCCCGAGTAGCTGAGACTACAGGCACACACCACCACTCCTGGCTAATTTTTTTATATTTTTTGTAGAGACAGGGTTTTGCCATGTTGCCCAGGCTGGTCTTGAGCTCTTAGGCTCAAGCAATCCTCCTACCTTGGCCTCCCAAAGTGCTGGGATTATAGTTGTGAGCCACCGTGCCCAGCCATGACTCTCTTTTTTAAAAAATGTTAATTCATAATTTTAAAAGTTAGGCTTATAGAGGATGGCATAGAGCTTCTCAAATGTATTATGAAGGAATCCAATCTTATTAATGTGTACAAATTTTTTCCATAACTAAATTGTGGGAAAAAATCAAAATACAAAAGCACTTATACATTTTTCTCAGTGTCTAATTAGTCTCTGGAGACCTGGTCCTTAACCCTGCTTTCATTGCTGTCTTTCAGGGTAAAGGCAGCAGTAATGCTAACGCTAGCAAGTAAACTGAAGCGTGACGATGGTCTCAAAGGGTCCCGGACGGCAGCCACAGCGTCCGACTCGACTCGGAGGGTTTCTGTGAGAGACAAATTGCTTGTTAAAGGTAATGATCATTCGTGTGAACTGTTTTTATATCCTATAACAAAAGGAAGTTTGACTGGAGAGTCTTTGGGGATATAAAGCAACCTACTGCTGAATAGAAATACCTGTTTAAAAGATTTTAAAATATAATTGCTTATCTCTTATAGTGAAGGACATTGTACCACGCAGGTGATATGAGCACACTGTTGCAAGGAGATGGTATTAGAAACTGCAGTGTGTCTTATACACTTGGGATGTTCTTTGTCACGTCTGCCAAAATGCTAGCAGAAAGAATAAGGTGCTGAGAGTCAGCAAAGCCTAAGACTGGTTTCAGAGCTGCCATTATCTTCCTTTCTTTCTGATTCTCAGCACCATAGTTTCTGCTCTGTAAAGGGGAAGGAGTCAAATTTTGTAATCTCTTAGGATCTTTTCCTGTTTTATTCAGGTCAAAGCCTACGGCGAATCTTGTGAAAAATTAGTTCTCTTCACGGAATTAATAACATATAGTGTTCTAGAGTTTTCGTGACTTCTGCTATCCATGTTGGTGAGGAGAAACTTTATCCTTGGAGAAGGGTTGGTAAAATGTATGAGAGTATGCGTGCATGCAGATATGCATTCATTTGTATGTTTGAGCATAAATTTTGCATTTATTCATTTAGCAAACTCTTAAAATTTTCAAGTGCTTTGAAGTCGGTTTCTTGGGGGTCATAAGACCTATAAAAGATGAAGAAACAGTTGCAACCTTTAAGGAGATTATAATTTGCTTATTTATAATAAAGTTAACTTTGTATTTTATTTATTTATTTTTTTGAGACAGAGTCTCACTCTCACCCAGGCTGGAGTGCGGTGGCACAATCTTGGCTCACTGCAACCTCCACCTCCTGGGTTCCAGCAATTCTCCTGCCTCAGCCTCCTGAGTAGCGGAGATTACGGGCACCCGCCACCACGCCCAGCTCATTTTTTTTTTTTTTGAGATGGAATTTCGCTCTTGTTGTCCAGGCTAGAGTGCAGTGGTGTGATCTTGGCTCATCACAACCTCCGCCTCCCAGGTTCAAGCAATTCTCCTGCCTCAGCCTCTCGAGTACCAAGCAATTTTCCTGCCTCAGACTCTCGAGTAGCTGGGATTACAGGCATGCGCTACTACACCTGGCTAATTTTATATTCTTAGTAGAGATGGAGTTTCTCCATGTTGATCAGGCTGGTCTTGAACTCCCCACCTCAGGTGATTTGCTCGCTTTGGCCTCCCAAAGTGCTGGGATTACAGGCATGAGCCACTACACCTGGCCAAATTTTTGTGGTTTTTTTTTTTTTGTTTTTTTTTTTTTTTTGAGATGGAGTCTCGCTCTGTCACCCAGGCTGGAGTGCAGTGGTGCAATCTTGGCTAACTGCAACCTCTGCCCCCAGGGTTCAAGTGATTCTCCCGCCTCAGCCTCCATAGTAGCTGGGATTACAGGCGCCTGCCACCACGCCCAGCTAATTTTTTGTATTTTTAGTAGAGATGGGGTTTCGCCACGTTGGCCAGGCTGGTCTCAAACTCCTGACCTCAGGTGATCCGCCCGCCTCGGCCTCCCAAAGTGCTAGGATTACAAGCATGAGCCACCGTGCCCAGCCATTTTTGTATTCTTAATAGAGACGAGGTTTCACCATGTTAGCCAGGCTAGTCTTGAACTCCTGACCTCAGATAATCCACCCGCCTCGGCCTCCCAAAGTGCTAGGATTGCAAGTGTGAGCCACTGTGCCCGGCCATAAATGGAGACAGAGTTTCACCATGTTAGCCAGGCTAGTCTTGAACTCCTGACCTCAGGTGAGCCACCCGCCTCTGCCTCCCAAAGTGCTGGGATTACAGACGTGAGCCACTGTGCCTGGCCTTACTTTATCACAGGTGTTTACATTTCTTTAAAATTTTTTTTTTTTTTTGAGACAGACTCTTACTCTATCACCAGCCTGGAGTGCAGTGGCGTAATCATGGCTCACTGCAGCTTCAGCCTTCTGGGCTCAGGCGATCCTGTCACCTCAGCCTCCTGAGTAGTTGGGACTACAAGCGTGCACCACCATGCTTAGCTAGTCTTTTTATTTTTTATTTTTTTGTAGAGATGGGGTTTCATTATGTTGCCCAGGCTGGTCTTGAACTCCTGGGCTCAAGTGATCCACGCACCTCGGCCTTCCCAAAGTGTTGGGATTACAGGTGTGAGCCACTGTACCCGTCAAGTGTTTACATTTCTTACATGTAGAGCAGCTAGAAAGCAAAGGGTTGATTAGTGTATTCGAACTCCCTGTTTTCATGTTGTATTAGGTTGACAACATGGAGATTGCAGGCATTTACGTGTCCTGAAGAATCTAACAGCAGAAGAGCTGGTGTATGTAAATGTGCTGTGCTTGGCCTTCCCAGACACAAATCACTGTTAAACTGGGGAAGGAATGGGAACTGTGAGGGCACTGGGTTTGTGGGGACTTAACAGTGTCCTCTTTTTCTTTTTTAAGACAGAATGCAGTGGCATGATCTCGGCCCACTGCAACCTTCACCTCCTGGGTTCAAGCGATTCTCATGCCTCAGTCTCCTGAGTAGCTGGAATTACAGGCACACACTACCACGCCCAGCCAATTTTTGTATTTTTAGTAGAGACGGGGTTTCAACATGTTGGCCAGGCTGGTCTCAAACTCCTGACCTCAAGTGATTGCCTGCCTTGACCTCCCAAAGTGCTGGACTAACAGGCATGAGCCACTGTGCCTGGCCTGTACTCTTTTTCTTACTCTCCTTCTGCCCCTGAGTTTGGACTTAGTTTTGGATTATCCAGCCTGATGATTGGTTGAAAGTGGAGTGAGAATGGTATTTCACATTTTGGCCTTACCTACTAAGCCTGGGAGAATAGTAGATTGTATTCAGCGTCTGTTGTGCTGGAGGCTTTACCCTAAGAGGCCCAGAGGGCGGGGCAAGAGCTGGAGCACCTTACTTGGGTGTGCCTGATAGGACTTGAGTGTCTTCTCAGATTCCGGGCTCCATCTGCAGCACAAGCCAGGAAAATGGTGTGTTGTTGCTGTACTTGGAGTAGACAGTGAGTGCTTCAGTGCCTGAGGAGTTGCAGCAAGGAGGGCCTGGATGTCAGCTGAGGAGGAGTGGGTAGAAGCTGACAAACAGACTGTCCCATCTTCTTTACCCAATCATTGTCATGGTTAATAGTAGCTAATAGGAGCTTTTGTATACTGAGCACTTAGGGCCAGGCCCTCTGTTGGGCACCTTCTTAGTTCATTTGTGCTGCTGTAACAAAATGCCACAGATTGGGTAATTTATAAACAATAGAGTTTTGGAGGCTGGGAAGTCCAGGATCCTAGTAGGATTGGTATCTGGTACAGGTAGTTCTCTGCTTCAAAGATAGCACCTTGTTGCCGTGTCTTCACATGGCAGAAGAGATGGAAGGGCAAAAAGGGCCTAAGCTAGTTTCCTCCTGCTCTTTTATAAGGCCCTGATCCATTTATGCGGCAGAGCCCTGATGACAATCACTTCCCTAGAGGCCCCACCTCTTAATACTACCACAGTGGGGATTAAGCTTCAGCATGAATTTTGGCCCCATTCGAGCCATAGTAGGCACTTAATGGGGTAATTCTTGTTTGACTTTTCAAAGCCTTGCCAGATTGATCCTTCATTTTACCCATAAACTGCTGAGACTCAGGTTAAGAAACTTGCCCAGTTTGCGGGTTTATTGCAGCAAGACAGCCAGACCCACATACTGGGGTAGGACAGGCTCTGTGGGGGCAGATGCGACAAGCAGAAACCAAAGTAGCAGAATAGAAGTGCAAGTCCACAGAAAAGAGAGTTCAAGGAGGCTCTGCGTCTCCATGTCTCCTGCCCTGCTCAGGAACTCACCCTGGAGCTCTCTGCCGGCTCCAGGGCTGACAGAGCCCACTAAGACCTACCAACCTGGGCGCCCCTCCAGCTCCAAGGAAGGAAATATCTTTGGCTGGGTTGACAGGGCCCAGCTGAGGTTCTCTGACCTTGTGCAACCCATCAAGAACAAGAAGGTCTCACAAGGAGAAGGGTCTCACAAGGAGAGGTGCAGAGCCAACGCTTGAGGCTACCATTTCCATCCTCCCCAGGCACTGGTAGCGATTAAGTTTCAGAGTCCAAAGCACTGGCGATAAATGGCAGTAGAACTCAGTGTAACCTCCCCTCTCGTGGCCTTTCCTTCCACTCACCTCAGGGGCTGCAGGCCAGGCTGAGTGGTGAGTAGTTTGGGCTTGTGGTGGAGTTTGTGAGGTGAGGGTAAAGAGAAGGGTGGGCCTGATCTGAGAGAGGTGGCTGTACACACAAAGTGCAACAAGAGTGCCTGATGGTTCATGCTTGTGGGGTCCGCCCCTAGAGTGCTCCTTTGTTTAGCTTGCTTTGTGGGTGGCTTGTTGACCCTGGTGGCAGTCTGGCCTTCTATCCTCTGGGGAGTTATGGCGGAAGTGGTGCTGTGGAGGCTGCTGTGGCTGTTGGAGGGCATGGCAAGGCACTTTGAGGGGTGATAAAGTGAGAATCCTTTCCAGGTGAAATCCAAACTCCCTTTTGGGACTTTGAGAAAAGTAGAGTGTTGGAGTTCAGAAAGATTACTATAGTCAGAACTGTCATCGGGTACTGTGGCTTGTGTAAGGGTGTTATTCACAAGCATCCATAGGTGGTAGAAATTTGTATCAATATGTCTGGGACTTCATGCCATAGGCTGGGTTTCCTGAAGAGGAGGTAGGGAGTTTGTCATGCAGGATCCTTACTAAGGGGTACCTTTGGGACAATACCTGTGGGGTAGGCGAGGGAAGCAACAGCAGGCAGAGGGAGACTCAAGCAGCAAGGAAGGCCCCACGACAGCCTCTGCTTTGGAGCAAGAGCAAGCGCAAGCACAAGCACAGCCCTTCAGAGCTGTCCCCAGTCTGGTGAGATAGTCAGGTTTTCCTGCTCTGCAACTGTCATTCGTTAGATGAGGGTTGCCTGGGACAGGTGTGGTGTGGAGTGCAGGTCTGTGCAGCCACCAAATCCCTGAAAGGGCTGATTGCTGAAGGCTGCCTGCCCACAGCCCTCACTGAGGGGATCTGGGTGCTGCTGCATCACAGCGCCTGGCTCATTGCCTTGCTCACCTGTGATGTGGGCTCTGATGTGGTGCAGATGGCAGTAGGGCTGAGCTTATAGGAGGCAGGAGCTTGTCCCTGGGGAGGGGTGCGAGGAAGGGCCAGTGGTATCTGCACAACAGAGGCCCCTTCTTTTTCTTGGAAGAGTGAGCCCAGTTCTGAACAGTGATGGGAGGCCAGAGTCAGCTCTCCTGGCTCGATTCCAGGTCTCTGGAAACATGTGGCCTGCTTTGGAGTGGCCGGCCATGGGGAGGCCTCCAGATGGCCGCAAGGGCTCCCCGCTCAGCCACACCCACATTTCCTCAGCATCCTCAGTCCAGTTCTGAGGGCACCCTCTGGGCTGGAGCTGGAGTGATGCTTGTAGCTGCATTGCCTGGAGGGTGTAGAATGATGAGTGTTTTGGGCTGCTGTCTCTCCTGACTCCAGAAGCTGGGGTCACTGAGGAGAGAGAGTCAGATCTGCATTTGAGCTGGCCCTGACTTGGGTCCAGGCCTGACTGGAGGGCTGGCCATTGCCAGTGTTGTTGTTGGCATTCCCTGTGAACCTCTGTGTGACTGAGTCCATCAGGGTCTGAGTCCATGGTGCTCCCTACCCCCCAAACACCCCTCAGGGCAGAATTAATTGCTTTCTTACCTGTCTGAAGTTTGGCACTGTTTCCATCTAATAGCTCAATGCCTGTCTGTCTCCCTGTTCTTTCACTTGTTCACCCAACATGCATTGTAGTGCCAGCATACAGTTAGTGACCCCCAAAGACCTCAAGGGTCTCCAGGAGGTCTGACAGGACCCTTTGCCTGTGTCAGTCTTTGTTAAATGTGGGGATTTGGAATTGAGCCATTTCAGGGTCAAGTCTGGAGTTAGGGGAGCTAAAGGGGGTTGATTCTGTGCGTACCCCTTGTCCCAATCAGCCCCTGAGTCCCAGGTGGTTTCTAACCTTCTCTTGTTTTGGCTGATGGGAGCTGGGGCAGTGGGAGGGTCTGGCTGCCCATCTGCCTGAGCTTCCCAGTGTCTAGGATGCAGGGGCCTCTCTCTGTGAGGGTGCCTGTGTCTGCCTGAGCAGTCCAGTCACAGGTGGGACCCCTCACCTTCCTATATGAGGTCTGCAACATGTCCCCATTTCAGTGTTGGGGGAGAAAGAGAAGCATTTACTATTTTCTGGAACCACTGTCTCCAGCGTGTCCTGGCGCGGAAGTCTAGCAGGGCGGGCTCAGGGTGTGGCATGCCACATTGTCAGGGTAGTCACAGCATTTAGCAGTGTGTGCCGCTGGGAGGTTCTGTGCTACAATACATATTTTAAAAACTAGAGCAGTGGCCCAAGGGGAGGATGTAAGGCAGTTGGCCACAGGCTGACCTTTAGATGCTTTGTTGGAGGGTTAAATGCCAGTGGAGCTGCCCCGGGAAACTTGGCAGCCCCTCAGGTGTACCACATAGCCCACTGGGCAGGGAGGACCCTGTGTAAGCATAGATGAGGGCTCAAGTTGACATCATCTGCATTTGTGTTCAAAGTAAGTGGTAGGAGACCTGTGGGCTCCATTCTTAGTGATACCAGGCTCTGCTACAGGGGCTGTGACTGCTTTTCAGAGCTACAGCCTTGCTCCTCCAGAGCCTGGAGGGGACCATGAGCACTGTGGGCCTGCACTCTGTAGTGTGAGGCCTCAGCCCTGGTGGTGCTCTCTCTGGAGGGGCTGAGGCCCTGTGTGTGAGTCGAGTGTCTCCCAGCTGTGAGGCATGCAGAAAAGGTGGATTTGAGGATTTTAATGCATGAAGGCAGTGGGAAGCTAAGAAATAAAGTTCTAGTTCTAGAAATCTGTGAGGCAGTGCTTCAGGTTTAAGGAAGTAATCAGGTCACCTGGAAAGTGGCAGCTGTCTCTACCTAGGTTGAAGGGCTCAGCAGCTCTGCCTAGTGTTGTCTGATGGGGCTTGGAGCTGGCTTTTGCCAAGAGTCCTCTGCCTGTGTGACCAGCCTTTTGTCTTTGTCAGCTTGGGCTGCTGTAACAAAGGACCATAGATGGTTTGGCCTAAACAATAGGCATGTGTTTCCCTTCTGGAGGCTGGAAGGCCACCTTCAAGTTCCTGATGAGAGCTCTCTTCCTGGCTTGCAGATGGCCTCTTCCTGGCTGTGTCTTCACGTGGAGGAGAGAAGGGGAGCTCTGGTCCCTCTTTGTTTTTTGTTTTTGTTTTTTTTAAATAACAGCATGAATCCCATCATGAGGCCTCCACCTCCATGATCTGATCTAAACCTAATTACCTCCAAATACCATCACATTGGGGGTTAGAGCTTCAACATATGAATTTGGGGGTGGAGGGCATAAATTCAGTCCACAGCGCCTTTGGAATGCCTCCTCAGTTCCCAGCTATGTGAAAAGAAACATTCTTGGGTCTTAGAGGAAACTCATAGCAGGGGCACTGCCACCCTGTAGGCAAGTATGCTTATGTGTCCCCCTTTTCCTGAGCACCCCATGTGTGCCCAGCCCCAGTGCCAGGTACTGAGCTCATAGGGCTTGGGCAGATTACATGGCCCCTGCCCACAGGGTATGCAGGGTCAGGGAGCAGGCGGCAAGGAGCCAGCAGGAGCCCTGTGTTAGGGCCAGGGCAGGAGAAGGTGAGTACGTGCTGTGTGGGGGCCTCTGTGGTGATCAGGTGGATTTTGCAATCTGATATTTCAGTGTAGTCACGCTTCAAATGGGTCCTGTGGTTTGATCTTTAGTTAGAAAGGAAAAGAGTCTAATCTATCAGAAGGAAGTTATGCGGCCACGGAATTGTGCAAGCTGTCAGCCAGGTGCCTCCCAGAAATGCCGGGTCACATCTTGAAATGGGCAAGACTTGAGCAGTTTTAAAAGTATCTTCATTTCTCATTACCTTGTAGGTGGGTGGCGTTCTTCAGGTGGTGAGGGTGTACAGAGAAGGGCCACTGCTTTGCCCAGAGGCTGCCAAGCTTTGCTAATAGTCTTACTGCACCTTGACTCTAAGGTGATAACTGTTGATGTTAGTGAATTCTAATTTGCCCTCGTTGGAAGTGCAGCAAAACTTCTTACCATTTGTGACAACTCCCTGAGATGAGCACTGTGGGAGTGTGCCTGGCTTATTTTCTGCCCTGGTGGAACTAAAATGCCAAGCATCTTTATTGAAATCCTGTGCCCCAGGATTGTAGTCCTTGCTTGCACTATCTCTTGGACCAGAAGCCTGTGGGGACTGTGACTGTGGTGGGATCATTGGTAGGCTGGGTCCAGGAGCTCCCTCAGCCTGCCCTCCTTCCGTGAGTGAATTGCACTGAACATGCAAATGTGAGCCTGATGCTCATCTTGGAATTTGAATTCTTTTTTTTTTTTTTTTTTTTTTTTTTTTTTGAGACAGGGCCTTAGTCTGTCATCTAGGCTGGAGTGCAGTGGTACGATCTCAGCACACTGTAACCTCTGCCTCTTGGGCTCAAGTGATCCTCCCACTTCAGCCTCCTGAGTAGCTGGGAGTACAGGTGCATGCCACCATGCCTGGCTAATTTTTGTATCTTTTGTAGAGACAAGGTTTCGCCACGTTGCCCAGGCTGGTCTCAAACTCCTGAGCTCATGCGATCTGCCCTTCTCAGCCTCCCAAAGTGCTGGAATTATAGGCATGAGCGCTGGGAGAGAATTTTAAAAATTCAGAGACCTAAGTTCTACCTGAAACTCTTGATATAATTGGTCAAGGTTAGGGCTGGGGCATTAGGAGTTTTAAAAGCTCAGCAGGTACTGGATTGTGGTAATGGATCCATAGCTCCAAAATGTACTACAATTTATTGAATCATTTACTTAAAATGGGTCTATTTGATTGTATGTAAATTGGTCCCTGACAAAGCTGTCAAATGTCAAACCAGCAAAACACTCCCCGAGTGGCGAATGTGCAGCCAGGGCTTCCATTCCTTTCTTTATCAGGTGTTGTCTGGCATCTTCCTGGCTGTCACTTTGCTGGCCCCTGAGTGCCTCTTGCTCCCGCACCCCTATCCCCGTAGGAGAAGGGGCCTGGCTCTGTTGCCCATTTCTTCCCACTCCTCCGCCCTACCACATCACAGTCTTAGCACTGGTCAGTGGCCTCACTCTTCATTGTCCGTCTGTGCCCAGACCTCACCTCTTCCCTTGTCACTAGACTGTCCTCTTGAACCTTTTGCTTGTGTCATGCTGGCCCCTCTGCTTGCAATCCACAGTCGCTTACCATGCCGTCTGGACACATTTCTAAATTCCCGTAGGAAAAGCTGGATGACAGGAGTTATCACCCTCTACTGAGGTGGCTTGGGCCACTGCCAGAGTCATGCCAGGGAAAGCTGGATTCCAGTGGCCAGCATCAATCTCTCAAAAGAAGGGCCCTCAAGAACAGTTTCTTGTAAATTCTAATCAACAAAATATAAATAATACAGAATAAAATGTTAGTATTTGCTTTAAGATCAAGTTTAATTATATAGGTAACCCTTATTTAAAAGTGATCATTATGAACAACTCATTTGCTCTTCACCTGTGTAGGTCACACCTGTGAGATGTGACCAGTGTTGGGTGGTGTGGTCCGAGGTTCTGTTGTCTTTCTCCATCCTCTGCCTTTCCCATACATTGCTCTAAGGAAGGGCAAAATCTGGCCCATTGGAAAGGCAGCTATGTATCAGTGTGGGCATGAGAAGAATAATGGTAAACCTTTCCTAGGATCACCATCATTATATTTTGTTAAGTAAATATATGTATATATTTTATGTTTTTGTAGTGACAGAGTCTCACTATGTTACCCAAGCTGATATGAAACTCCTGGCTTCAAGCGATCCTCCTGCCTTAGCCTCCCAAAGTGCTGGGATTACAGATGTGAGCCACTGCACCCAGTCAAGGGAATATTTTTTAATGTAGGGGCCACCACATAAGACTGCCAGGAAGATAGGCTCCCAGGGTTGTATTTAGTCACAGAACTTGCTCTATTTCTGATCATGGCAAGTGGGTGAACTCTTTCTCCTCTTCTCCCCACACTCAGCTCCGCTGAAGAGATCTGTCCTTTTTCTCAGTGTGAGAAGGCTTGCCCTGGCCAGAGCATGTCCTGGCCCTGAGAGGGAGTGGCTGTGGGTGGGCTTCTCCCTTTCTCTAGCTCCTCCACTGTCTGTCTTCACCTTTGGTGCCCATTCCATATACCTGGGCCCTAGAATGAGTGCATTTAATGGGCCACGTGCCTCTACACAGGTGCTTAGTTGTAGCATATAAATAGCTGAGATCAGAGGCCTGCAGGTCTCCTGAACCCTGAGCCTCAGAGTAGAGCCCTCAGCTAGCCTTTTCATTCCTCCACTCGGTGGTCAGCTTTGTGAGCATTCTGGCCTCCATTGCCCCTTCCCGTTGCCTCCTTTCCCCACTTCACTTCTTGAAGGAATTGTGCTGCAGCTGTTTTGACCTCACATTTGCGTCTTCACTTCGTACTCTGGGTTCCATCTCTCTTCCTGCTTTCCTGCTGTTTTGAATGCGAATCAGCAAGGTCTGATCCACTTCCAATGGCCTTTCCCCTTGGACCCTCTGTGCTCTTTCACTGAATCACCACATCCCCGATGGCTGTCCTGCTTTTCGGCATGTTTCTCATCTGTAACTTTCCCTGTTCCTTGGCCGTTGCTTTCTCCAAGGTCCTTTTTTCTCCCTTTTGTTGACCTTACCCAGTCTCATGATGACAGGTGGCATCACTTTGCAGGAACCCCTCACCTTTGCCCTCATTGTGCTCCCAGCCTTGTTCTCCTCTTCTTCCCCCTCCCCTACTCCTCCTCTTCTTACCCCTTCCCTACTCCTCCTCTTCCTACCCCTCCCCTACTCCTCCTCTTTGTCTCTCGTGGCTTTCTGGCACTCCCGCATCCCAGCACATCACCTCTGGGTGCCATCTTTGACCCCCTCCACCCACTCAGAGTTGCTGGAACCTCTCCATTCTGTTTGCTCTGAAGCCCCCACACTTTTCTGCCTTTGCCAGGTGCTTGCTGCCCATCTCTTAGGTCACTGGCCTCCACTTTGCCCTTTCTAAGATTGTCCTCTTTAAGCAAAGTTTAGAAACTTCTGTTCAGAAATCTCCAATGGCTCCCTCCACGCTCCTGTTTCTGTTTTTCTACTTTGTTTCCCAGTGCTCTGCTGTTGTTTTGGGACCTTTGTTCTGGCCACACTGGATGCTGTCTGGTTTCTGTGCTTTTCCATGCACTGTGCTTTCGCACATTGCTAATTTATCTGCTTGGAATACTCCTCTTTTCCCCTAACTCTGCAGGACTAAATTTTACTTACTTGCCAAAACCCAACTCAGAAACTTCCTCTTTCCTCAGTCCCCACAGCTGGAGAGAATCTCCCTGTCCCAAAGACCCCAGAGCACACTACTTTCTGTCTGAGGCACAGAGGACGTTGCCGGGTCAGTTATTTCAGAGGGTACCCTTCCCCATGCCCTGCTAAACTGCAGGTTTTTGTTTTTAATTAATTAGCTGTTTATTGTAAATATTTAAGGTGTGCAACAAGAAGGTTTTTGTTTTGTTTTGTTTTTTTGAGACAGGGTCTCACTTTGTTGCCCAGGCTGGAGCACAGTGAGGCGATGATTGCTCATTATAACCTCAAACTCCTAGGTTCAAGTGACCTTCCCACCTCAGACTCCTGAGTAATTGGGACTACAGGCATGCACCACCACGCCTGACTCTTTTTTGTTTGTTTATTTGTTTGAAGAGGTTGGGAGGTTGTGGAAAAAGGCAAAAAAAAAAAAAAAAAATAGAGATGGTGGTCTCACTGTGTTGCCCAGGCTGGTCTCAAACTCCTGGCCTGAAGCAATCCTCCTGCCTCGGCCTCCCAAAGCACTGGGATTACAGGCATTAGCCACAGTGCCAGGTCCAATATGCTGCTTTGATAAACATAGTAGTAGGTTGTTTACTACAGTCAGGTGAATTAATATATTCATCTTCTTGTATAGTTTACCTTTTTTAAAATGGTAACATCTGAATCTACTCTGTTGGCAAATTTCCAGCATATAAAACAATATTATGAACTATAGTCATCATGCTGTACTTTAGATCTCTAGACTTATTCATCCTATATGCCTGTAACTTTGTATCCCCCCATTCTGCCCCCTTCCCCACTCCCATGCCCTAGTCACCACCGTTTTCTGTTCCTTCATTTTGACTTTAGATTCTACATATATGTAAGATCATGTAGTATTTGTCTTTGTGTGTCTGGCTTATTTTATGTAGCATAATGTCTAGATTTACCCATGTTGTTGCAAATGACAGGATCTCTTTTTTAAGGCTGAACAATGTTCCAACATATATACTGTGTGTACCACAATTTCTTTATCCAGTTGTCAGTGACACTTAGGTTATTTCCATATTTTGCCTATTGTGAATAATAGTCCAATGAGTATGGAAGTGCAGATATCTGTTCCACATACTGATTTTGTTGTCTTTGGGTAGATAACCAGAGTGGGATTGCTGGGTGATATGGTAGTTCTATTTTTAATTTTTTGAGGAACTTCCATACTGTTTTCCATAATGGCTATACCAAGTTTACAGCCCTGCTATCAGTATACAAGGGTTCTCTTTTTTCCACCTTCTTGCCAACATTTATCTCTCTTTGATAGCAGCCATTCTAACAGGTGTGAGGTGATTTCTCATGATTTTGATTTGTATTTCCCTGATGTTCAGTGATGTTGAGCACCTTTGCATATATCTGTTGGCCATTTTTATTTCTTCTTTGGAGATATGTCTATTCATGTTTTTTGCCCATTTTTAATTTTTTTTTGCTATTGAGTTGTGTGATTTCCTTATATATTTTAGATATTAATCTGTTTGTCGAATATATGATTTGTAAATATTTTCTCCCAATTCATAGACTACCTTTTCTTTTCTTTTTTTTTTTTTTTTGAGACGGGGTCTCACTCTGTCACGTAGAGTGAGTGGTGTAGAGCGCAGTGGTGTGGTCCCGGCTTACTGCAGCCTCGACTTCCCAGGCTCAGGTGATCCTCCCACTTCAATATCTTGAGCAGTTGGGACTACAGGTGTGTGCCACCACAACCCATTAATTTTTGTATATTTTGTTTAAAAAAGAAAGGTTTTGCTGTGTTGCCCAGGTAGGCCTTTAAACTCCTGGGCTCAAGCTATCTACCCACCTGACCTCACAAAGTATTGGGATTACAGGCAGGAGCCACCATGCCTGGCACATAGGCTGCCTTTTTATTTTGCTGATTGTTTCCTTTATTGTACAGAAGCTTTTTAGTTTGATGTAATCCCACTTGCTTATTTTTGCTTTTGTTCTCTGAGCTTTTGGTGTGATATCAAAAAAATCATTGCCAAGGCCCTTGTTAAGGAACTTATTCCCTATCTTTTCTTCTAGGAGTTTTATACTTTCAGGTCTTACATTTAAGTCTTTAATTCATTTTGAGTTGATTTTTCATGTATGGTATAAGATAAGAAGCCAATTTTATTCCCTTGCATGTGAATATCCAGTTTTCCCAACACCATTTATTGAAGGAACTATCCTTTCCCCATGGTGTTTTCTTGGTACCTGTGTCATAAATTAGTTGACTTTTATATGCTTAGGTTTACTTCTGGATTCTATTTTCTGTTCTGTGTGTCTGTTTTTAAGCCAGTACTGTGCTATTTTGATTTCTATAGCTTGAAATCAGAAAGTGTGATGCTTACAACTTTGTTCTTTTTCAAGCTGCTTTGGTTTTTCGGGGTGTTTTGTGATTCCAGACAAATTTTAGAATTGTTTTTTTAATTTCTGTGAAAAATGCCATTGGAATTTTGATAGGGATTGCACTGAATCTGTAGATTGCTTTGGGTAGTATGGACATTTTAACAATATTAATTCTTCAAATATTTGAACAGAGTATATATTTCCATATATTTATTTGTGTCTTCTTTAATGTCTTTCATCAATGTTTTACAGTTTTCAGTATACAGATCTTTTATCTCCTTAAATTTATTCCCAATCATTTTATTCTAAAGTGGGTGTGTGTGTGGGGAAGGGCAGGGCAGTCTTTAGGGCTTTCTGCATATAGGATCTTGTCACCTGAAACTGGGATAATTTTATTTCTTTCTTTCTAGTTTGGATGCCTTTTATTTGTTTTTCTTGTCTGATTGCTCTGGTTTAGACTTCTAACACTGTGTTGAATAGAAGTGGTGAGCAGGATTGTGGCGAGGGTTTGCAGTTTTGTCCTGCAGAGGGGGTGCTGGGCTTAAACACCAAATGAATGGCTCGTGGAAGAGGGACTGCGATGTCTGAGGCCCTGAGGCAGAGGACTGGGGCCAAGAAATGCAGCTATGAGGGGGTAACTGGAAGATAGCACTGGGAACAGACATAGACACAAGGTGCATATAGATCAGGTTTTGAGAGGAATCATTCCAGTACTTGGAACCACTTTTAAAAACACTGTAGTGACTGGCTACCTATAGGTCATTTCTATGTTAATTTAAAATGTTTTTCTTTTACATTAAAGTGAATATTCAAGGACTTTTGACTGAATTTGTTGGCATTCTGCAAGTCACTTTGTATATCGAAAGCAGCTAAATGGCTTAAAGTCTAAACTTTAGACCAGGTTTTATTCAGTTCATCCTTTTTTTTTTTTTTTTGATTCAGTGTTCTAGAGGAAATTGCCAATTTAGAACTGGTGATTTTATGTGGAGTAATTGACTAATATTAATAATAATTTCTTTGTTTCTACAGAGGTTGCAGAACTTGAAGCTAATTTACCTTGTAAGTATAGCATCCCCAAACACTAAGTACTGTGAAATAATTGCATGAAGAAAACTTTTTATGTTTTAATAACCTTGTATAGTAAAAAGCCTATTTTTCATGTATGTTAGGAATGAATTTTAATTTTCTGTGAAAAGGTAGGATTTTTTCAAGTGTCTAATAAGAACAAGGTAGGCCAGGCATGGTGGCTCATGCTGCTAGTCTCAGCACTTTGGGAGGCAGAGGCAGCTGGATCATTTGAGGTTAGGAGTTCGAGACCAGCCTGGCCAACATGGTGAAACCCTGTCTCTACTAAAACTACAAAAATTAGCTGAGCATGGTGGCGCATGCCTGTAGTTCCAGCTACTTGGGAGGCTGAGGCAGGAGAATCACTTGAACCTGGGAGGCAGAGGTTGCAGTGAGCTGAGATCAGGCCACTGCACTCCAACCTGGGCAACAGAGCAAGACTCCATCTCAAAAAAAAAAAAAATTGGATTAGCTGGGCCTGGTGCTGCATCACTGTAGCCCCAGCTACTCGGGAGGCTAAGGCATTAGAGTCGCTTGAACCCAAGAGGCGGAGGTTGCAGTGAGCCAAGATTGCGCCATTGCACTCCAGCCTGGGTGACAGAATGAGACTCTGTCTTAAAAAAAAAAAAAAAAAAAGAGCAAGGTTCTGCCACCTTTCTGAGTGCTATCTCTCCTTAGCATAGCAGAGGTGCATTTGGTTAGGTTTTTGCCTCTTCCAGATGCATTCTGTCCCGCATCCACTTTGAGTGAAAAAGTGTATAAATCAATAACAGTTCCACTTTTGTTAGGGATGATACCAGCTTTTTGGCAAAGTTCTCATTTGTAACTTGTCTGCATGTTTGAGGGGTGGCTGCACTGCCTTGCTGCTGTCAGTGGGAGTCCATCTTGCTTGATTGTTTCTGCCCCAGACACACAGGGTCAGCATGCAGTCTTCACTCATGAGCACCGTACATTCGGAAAGCTATCTATCAGGCAGTTCACTTTTGTAATACATGTCGTATTCTCTCTATCATTAATCTTCCAAACCCTTGATTATTTCAAAAGATCATTAAAGCCTGAAAGCTTTGATCATTTTAGTATTTTTTGAATTACAACTTTTTATCATTGTACTTCCCTTAAAATTAGTTCTGGGGCTGAGGATGTCTGTGGGTAATGGTGAAATATTTTATAAGTGGGTCTGCTGGTTTGGGTGAGTGCTAGAGAGAACTTAGGATTGGATGTGGAGATATCTCTGACATGGGGCAGGACAGGGCCCATTCCAGCCTCCATCTGAAGTAGGAAAGATAATGGTGGATTGCAACCTCTCCATGGTTGTGAAATCAGTTTGAGAGGGTAAGTATGTAATGTTTCTTAAAAAATTATTATTATTTTCAAGACAGAGGCTCACTCTGTCGCCCAGGCTGGAGTGCAGTGGTGAGATCTCGGTTCACTGCAACCTCTGCCTCCTAGGTTCAAGTGATTCTTGCGCCTCAGCCTCCCGAGTAGCTGGGACCACAGGCATGCACCACCACGCCAGGCTAATTTTTGTATTTTTAGCAGAGATGGGTTTTTGCCTTGTTGGGCAGGCTGGTCTCAAACTCTTGGGCTCAAGTGATCCTTCTGCCTCAGCCTCCCAAAGTGCTGGGATTACAGGCGTGAGCCACTGCGCCCAGCCAAAAGATTATTTTCAGCATATAGAATTTATGGGTAGGTATCGTGAGTTGTGATATAAAATATGTTTCTTACTGTGGATCTCAGTTGAAAGTGTTTTGAAAGACACTGGATTGCTTGACCTCAAAGTTTTCTTCAACTCGGAAATGAGGCAATATCTTGAGATTCTGTTAAAAGGTTATCTTTCTGGCTGGGTGCAGTGGCTCACGCCTATATTCCCAACACTTTGGGAGGCTGAAGCGAGTGGATCATTTGAGCTCAGGAGTTCGAGACCAGCTTGGTCAACATGATGAAACCCTGTCTCTACTAAAAGTGCAAATTTAGCCAGTTGTAGTGGTATGCACCTGTAATCCCAGCTGCTCGGGAGGCTGGGGCAAGAGAATTGCTTGAACCCAGGAGGCGGAGGTTGCGGTGAGCTGAGATTGTGCCACTGCACTCCTGGGCGATGGAGTGAGACTGTCTCAAAAAAAAAAAAAAAAAAAAAAGTTATCTTTCTACCCACTGAAGTATTTACAGATGAAGTAGTTTGCTTTAAAATGCTACAGGAAGACAAACAATAAACAAATAACTGTGGGGGGGCAGGATAGACAAGCAAAATTGGCAAAATGTTGAAGCTGGGGGATGGGTTCATTATACTCTTCTCTTTTATTAGGACATTTTCCTAATAAAAATAAAATAAAATAATCCCTCTGCTTTCCAGTCCCATCTTATCTTCCCACAGGCCCCCAACTTGAGCCTGTATATACATGTAAACCTTTTTTTTTTTTTTTAATAGACAGGGTCTCTCTTTGTTGCCCAAGTTGGAGTACAGTGGCATGAGTGTGGCTCACTGCAGTCTCAACCTCCTGGGCTCAAGTGATCTTCCCACCTCAGTCTCCTGAGCAGCTGAGACCTCAGACCTCAGGTGCATGCTACCACGCCTAGCTAATTTTTAAAAATTATTATTATTTTTTATACAAAAAATCAGCCAGGCATCATGGTGGGCGCCTGTAGTCCCAGCTACTCGGGAGGCTGAGGCAGGAGAATGGCATGAACCCAGGAGGCGGAGCTTGCAGTGAGCCGAGATAGCACCAGTGCACTCCAACCTGGGCGACAGAGTGAGACTCTGTCTCAAAAAAAAAATAATAATAAAATTATTATTATTTTTTTGTAGAGATGGAGTCTCCTGTGTTGCCCAGGCTGATCTCAAACTCCTGGGCTCAAGTGATCCTCCCACCTTGGCCTCCTAAAGAGCTGAGATGACAGGCACGAGCCACTGTGCATGGCCAACACATGTAGACATTTAATCAAAACCACAGAAAAGGTCCCACTTATAAATGGTTCATTCATCCTTGATACATATCTTACAGAGATTGTTGGTTTTTAACCCATAGAGTGTACTTTAAAAACAAGAAAATTTTATGACTGGCTTTCAAATCAGGATTGTAACTGCATACCTTAGGTTTGAAAGAAGTATGGCACATCTCCTAGCCCTATAGCTATGGTGTCAGATAAAAAGACAGCATGCTCCCTGCCCCTTCTTTCATTCTTTCTCCCTACCTTCTCTCCTAATCGAAGAGGGGGAAATTATATCATTTTATTCAAGTAAGCCATGCTTTCCAAAAGTATGTCTCATTATGCTAAAGAGAAAACAAGAAACCACCAATGAATAACCCTTTACTATCTATTTAATTATCTTTCTAAAATATTTACAAAGGCAAACAAAATAACTTGCCTTGTATCAGTACCACTTAGTAACTATTCGGAACTAGTTTGGAGCTCTGCACATGCAAGTTTTTAGCGGTTTCTCTGCAAAAAAATTTAAAATGTTTCTTTCAGATAGACTGAAATATTAGAGGCTCAGATAGTGCATGCCTACATGTAGATAAAAAGCTTAATTCTGGTGCATTGAACTGGAACAAAAACCTGTTAAATTTTTTTTTTTTTTTAGAACTTAACCTTTCTTTTCTTTTCTTTCTTTCTTTTTTTTTTTTTGAGACAGTCTTGCTCTGTCACCCAGGCTGGAATGCAGTGGCGCGATCTCGGCTCACTGCGACCTCCACTTCCTGGATTCAAGTGACTTTCCTGCCTCAGCCTCCTGAGTAGCTGGGATTACAGGTGCCCGCCACCACGCCTAGCCAATTTTTGTATTTTTAGTGGAGATGGGGTTTTGCCAGGATTACAGGCGTGAGCCGCTGCGCCTGGCATAGTTTTATTGCTTTGTAATCCACTTTGATAATTTCTTTTTTTTTTTTTGAGACAGAGTCACGTTCTTTCACCCAGGCTGAAGTGAAGTGGCACGATCTCAGCTCTCTGCAACCTCTGCCCCCGGGTTCAAGCAGTTCTCCTGCCTCAGCCTCCCCCTCAGCTGGGATTACAGGCATGCGCCATTACATCCGGCTAATTTTTTGTATTTTTAGTAGAGAGGGGGTTTTACCATGTTGGCCAGGCTAGTCTTGAACTCCTAACCTCTGGTGATCCACCTGCCTTGGCCTCCCAAAGTGCTAGGATTACAGGCATGAGCCACTGCGACCGGCCGATAATTTCTTTATTCTTGATGGGCCAGCTTTTTGGAGCTATTGATTTCCGCATCTGTCTATTAAAACAAAAGAGAATGCCAGATATTAAAAACAAATACATGATGCCAACTTCAGTGAATCATTGAAACATTTCCCAAGTCAGAATTATATGTTTTTGTTACTTAGAACTCACTAGAAGGATGGCATTTATCTTTGCAAGTTAAGATTAGGAAGAATAAAGCCCATTTTAAGTATTTCACACATAGTTCTAAATGTGTAATTTTGGGGAAAGTCTTGAACTCTTTGGCTCCAGTTTGTTTATTTCTCAAGTAAGGACTGTGACATTGTCATCTCTAAGACTGCTTCTTGCTTTTCTAGACAGTTTTCACTCTGGAAAGGAAACCCCACTATCAGTCCTGTGTTATTTGCTGCTTGTATATACAGGTGTCCCATGTCTTAACATGGTCATTAAGTACTGAAAGGAAATGAGGCATGAGGTAGGGGAAGGAGTCATGAACTAGTTATTAATGTAGGAATTAACCTTGCTTCTGTTGATAACCTGTATGATCTTGGGCTAGTCACCAAGCCTCTCTAGACCTTCTACTTATGTCTCCTAATTGAGGACGTTGGACTAGATCGTCTCTAAGGTCACCTCTGAGTAGAAATTTGAATTGTCCTGTTTTCGATAAAAATTTTTATCATTGTCAAACTAAGCAAATACTTTTGGTGGAACTTGTAAGAAAACTTTAAACAAATTTTTAAAAAGTCTTCTAAAAAAACTTTAAAAACTTAAAAAGACAAAATATCATAGTAAATTCTGGGTGGGAGCTAACTCCTGGGCAGCACTCTTTTTTTTTTTCAGATGGAGTCTCGCTTTGTTGCCCAGGCTGGAGGGCAGTGGCGTGATCTCAGCTCACTGCAACCTCTGCCTCCCAGGTTCAGGCAATTCTCCTGCCTCAGCCTCCCAAGTAGCTGGGACTACAGGCGCCCGCCACCTTGCCCAGCTAATTTTTGTATTTTTAGTAGAGACGGGGTTTCACCACGTTGGCCAGGCTGGTCTCAAACTACTGACCTCGTGAACCGCCTGCCTTGGCCTCCCAAAGTTCTGGGATTACAGACATGATCCACCATGCCTGGCCAGCACTCTTCTTTTTAACTTCCATTTGCCGTGGTGACTGTGGATGTCTGTGGTGCTAAGAGAACAGAGTAGAAATTTGACCTGGGTTTTTCCTGGTTTTTCCATGTTTAGTTCACCACCAGTGGTGAACTGAGAAGTTTAGCATAGGCCTGGTGTGGTGGCCCATGCCTGTAATCCTAGCACTTTCAGAGGCCAAGGTGAGTGGATCACTTGAGCATGGGAGTTCAAGACTAGCCTGGGTAACATGGCGAAAACCTGTCTCTACAAAAGATACAAAAATTAGCCAGGTGTGGTGGTGTGCACCTGTAGTCCCTGCTACTCAGGAGGCTGAGGTGGGAGGATCACCTGAGCCTTGGAGGCAGAGGTTGCGGTGAGCTGGAATCATGCCACTGTCCTCCAGTCCAGGCAACAGAGTGAGACCCTGTCTAAAAAAAAGTTTAGCATAGTATTTTCTGATTTTATAGATGTAGAAAATTTCTATATATATTCCTTCCAGATTCCTTGGGTATTTTTCCTATGGGTAATTAGCTGTGTGTCATTTGTTTGAAGGAGATGGGTGGGATGCAATCAACTTCCCTGGCCTGCACCAGCAGCCAGTAGCTTCTCTCCCAGGGGAACACTTTGTCCTGATTCAGGCCTCTTATGATTTGGACCAGTGGGCACAGAACATTGCCATCTGGGTCAGTAGAGCATTATTTTACCAATAAAGCAAGCTGATTTACCACTTAGGTAGTAAAGGTATTTTTTAAAAAGACAAAAGATTATGGTAAACTCTGGCTGGGTGGGAGCTAAGTCCTGGGCGCACTCTTCTTCTTCTTCTTCTTCTTTTTTTTTTTTTTTTTTGAGGCAGAGTTTCACTCTTGTTGCCCAAGCTGGAGTGCAATGGCGCGATCTTGGCTCACTGCAACCTCCATCTCCTGGGTTCAAGTGATTCTCCTGCCTCAGCCTCCCAAGTAGCTGGGATTACAGGCGTAAGCCACCATGCCTGGCCAGCACCCTTCTTTATAAAGAACTTCCATTTACCATGGTGACTGAATGTCTGTGGTGCTAGGGCAACAGAGTTGACCTGGGCTCTTTCCTGGTTTTTTCGTGTTTAGTTAGCCTTTGCCTGCATGTATTAATCTCCCTGAGATATGGTTTCTTCTTGTCAAAGTACAGTAGCATAATTCTTGAAATAAATGGTTTAGTGACCACTTAAAGGTTGAAGGAAAACATCTCTATTTGGAATTAACTAGTAAAACACTGTAAGGAGAAAAGCACATGACAAAAACCACTGGTTTGCAATTTTAGAGTATTGGCACGATTATTATCAGACAAATAGGGAGGGAGATCTACCAACTTTCCATAAACCATACGAATCCCTGTAGCACCGCTAACTTTACACGTGTTCAAAGGTTAGCGTCAACATATGGACTGCTGCTCACTGCCAGACCTTCCTGATGTGCTGTTTCTTTTGCAGGTACATGTAAAGTGCATTTTCCTGATCCAAACAAGCTTCATTGTTTTCAGCTAACAGTAACCCCAGGTAATATTCTTACATAAGTATTAAAGTGATTTCAAACAGCGAATTATAAAGGCTGCCCAAACCTGTAATCTTTGCTTTGGTTTGTCCTCTAGCTTTTAAAAGATTAACACATTAATAACAATTTCATATGAAGATAAGATATATACTTCATAGTGAATGAAATAAAGCATATTAAAGTGAATTTGAGGCATTCAGTGTACACTCTCAATAATGATGTATAAATATAACTAAAGTTAATGACAGCTGAGGCAGTTGGTGTATAGTGAAGAGTGTGGGCTCTGAAGTCATAAGTGGGTTCCAATCCTTTTCCCTTACGTAGGAATAGTGTGACCTTGGTTAAGTTGCTTAACCTTTTAGCCACAGCCTGCCTATCTACAAAGTGGGATCAAATAGGACCTATCTCATAGGACAGTTGTGGGGATTAAACAGATAGTGTGGGTAAAGCACTTAAGCCCAGGGTCTGGCACACAGAAGCAGACAGAAGATTACCAGCTGTCCTCAGTAAGACGGATAAGTGTCTAATCCCTAAGCTGCCCCAGCATGGCAACATATTTCTTCTTGGTCAAAGTGACAGCAAGAGGAGGACTTGTATATTTTCTAGTTACAATGCAGCTCCAAGAGCTGCAGATTCCCACACTTCACAACCCACTGGTGTTTATGTTGGACAGTGGGTGGCAACCGGTCGATGCTGTTGTGGGGAATTAACAAGAGGGAAGGACGTTTGGTGGTGGAAATATAGGGTGTTATTTTATTTGGGGGATGGAAAGGTAGTGAGAAACTGAGAATTATTAGTCACTAGCTAATTAAAATGTGGAAAAGAATACAGGATTTTGGTAGGTGGCAATGAACCCACAAATAAGTCCCGGCCTTGTCTCTCTGTAGGTAGGATGGGCTTTTTCTGTGGAAGATGTTTGATAATAATAGCACAAGAAATCCTGGTTTCAAAATATCAAAATATGCTTGAAACCTTAAAAAAAATTCTATTTTATCTATGTGATGGTTCCACAAAGGGCTCTGGAAGTATAAATCAGTCTGATACTGATTCTTCTAAGATAAGGAGAGTACTTGGGTATAGGAGTTAATACTAGAACATCATCATTATGTATATATTTTTCTTTTCTTTCTTGTTTTTTCTATTAGCTGTACTTTATGCCAAATAGAACACCATCATTAGAAAGCAGAGTGTTCCACATGCCTGACATCTATAGATAAATGTAGTGAAGGGCTTTAAACTGTGAAATGATGAAAACTCTAACGATCCTTTGGCTGCCTTCCTAAAACACATTGCATATTGTGCTGTTTTTTACGAGAGGTATTGAGCACACTCTAATGCTTTCTTGGTGACTCAAGGTCACTGCTATGGACATCATTTACTATTCTGTTAAGTAATGTAGGGTATTCTCAGAAATCATTGTAGTGATTAAGATTGGTTCTCTGTTTACTAATTTCAGACTTGTGTGTTTATAGTAAAATATTTTCTTTCATCTGCCTTTCTAGGGCATTTTCAATGGCTATCAGGGATTCTGTGGCTCTGCCCATCCCAAGCATGGGCTTTGTGGTCCTTGGCCACTCAAAGATGTTTGTTGATTTTTCCAGGCTCTTTACTGTCATGTGATTGGGTTTCTGGCAAGTCTGGATAAATGTTTCTTCCCCGCCTCCCCTCCGCGTTTTTTTTTTTTTTTTGAGACCAAGTCTCACTCTGCCACCCAGGCTGGAGTGCAGTGACGCAATCTCGGGCTCACTGCAACCTTCGCCTTCCGGGTTCAAGTGATTCTCCTGCCTCAGCCTCCTGAGTAGCTGGGATTACAGGCATGCGCCACCATGCCCAGCTAATTTTTGTATTTTTAGTAGAGATGGGATTTCACTGTGTTGGCCAGGCTAGTCTCAAACTCCTAACCTCAGGTGATCTGCCAGCCTCGGCTTCCCAAAGTGCTGGGATTACAGGTGTGAGCCACTGCGCCCAGCCCCCCTTATTTTTTAACTGAAATTTTTTACTGAATCACTTTAATGTTGTGATTATTGTATATATGACAGCATCTTTGATGTTGGTCTTAGAATTGTCCTTGAAAATGGAGCATAATTGTTACAGTTTTTGTACTCACTGTTCTATCAGATTAAAAAGTAACCTGTGGCTGGGCCCGGTGGCTCATGCCTGTAATTCCCGCACTTTGGGAGGCCCAGGTGGGTGGATCACTTGAGGTCAGGAGTTCGAGACCAGCCAGGCCAACATAGTGAAACCTCGTTTCTACTAAACATACAAAAAAATTAGCCCGGTGTGGTGGTGGTGCGTGCCTGTAATCCCAGCTACTCAGGAGGCTGAGGCAGGAGAATTGCTTGAACCCAGGGGGTGGAGGTTGCAGTGAGCTGAGATTGGCCCAGTGCACTCCAGCCTGAGCGACAGAGCTGTCTCAAAAAAAATAAAAAAAATAAATAAAAAGTAACTTGTGTCTTGGTACCTGTAAATACTTAATGCCTGAATATTCATATTTTTAATAAGTGTACTTCAGGGACATTAACATTGAGCTGTGCACAGCATGCTTTTTAGATACTGTGTATATGCCCTTATTTTGTGATGTCTGTGAATTAGAAAGCTGTGGTGATGCCTGCCCTTTGATTATTAAGAGAAGTGTGGCCGAGATATGCCAACCGGAAAAACTTGCTTCATATCATGGTTTTTAAAAAAAATTTTAGAATCCTGCTCCTCTTCATATTGAAAACAAATTACAGTGATATGTCTAAGTTGTGAAGTTTTAACAATATATGAAATAAAATGATTTTGAAATGGACTCATTTGTAGCCAGTAATCCTGGAGCTAGGGCTGAAAACTCACTAATATCTATGATCTGGGGGTTAGAATGGTCAAGAGTGGAAGAATTGCGTCTGCATTTTCAGCTCACACCTCTTTATCTGGCTCCTGTTCACACTTGCTAACATTTTGATAGTTTTGTTTGCTTTTGGAGTGGTTGCTCATGCTTGGGAATAAATACACTCTTTAGAGAAAAACATGGAAATGTAATTTGGTGATGGGGAAAAGAAAGGGACCGAATTTAGAAAAAAAGCGTCCACATCATCTCGCAAAACAAGAAAAAGTAGTAATAAGTGAAATGAAACAAAACAAAAACGTAAAAGATAGCCTGAAATATCCCGTGGAGGCTTCTGTGAAGTTAGTGGGACAGTTTGAAAAACTGGACCTGTTCAGTGAGTGGCCTGGCTGACATGTTGATGAAGGTCACCTCAGCCTGCCCTGCTGTGATGGTGGTGATGGTTTTAGGCTGAAGGGAACATGGCTTTAAGTAACAATGACAATTTTTTAAATTTAAATTAAAAATTTTATAATCAGTTTTACTGAGGTATAAAATTATAAACAATAAAATGTACTAATTTGAAATGTATAGCTTACATTTGGAAAATGTATACACATATGTAACCATAACCCCAATAAAGATGAAAAACATTTCCATCATTCCCAAAGTTTCCTTCTGCCTCTTTGCAGCCAGTTCCTTGCCCCCTACACCACCATCCAAAATTCCTTTCTGATTTTTATTTCCATAAATTAGTTTTTCTTGTTCTTGAATTTTTTATATGTAAATGGAATCTTATATATGTACTCTTTGTCTCTGACTTCTTTCACTTAACATAGTTTTAAATTTACACATGTTGTGTGAATCAGTAGTTTATTCCCTTTTTATGGAATTTTAATGAATATGTCATAATTTATCTTCCTAGTGATAGACATTTGAGTAGTTTCTAGGTTTTGGCTAGTATCAATAAACCAAAAGCTATGAGGTTTGACTGCCGTGAGCTTTTTTTTTTTTTTTTACAAGCTTTTCGTGTTCATAGTTTTCCTTTCTCTTTAATTCTACCTAAGAGTGGAATTTTTGAGTCATAGGAAAGATAACATGTTTAACCTTTTAAGAAACTTTCCACTGTGGTTGTGCCATACCCTGACCAGCACTGTATGAGAAGTTTCCATTGTTCTACACATATATCAACATTTGGGTGTGAAATGGTATATCATTGGGGTTTTTATTTGCATTTCCCAGTGACAGATGATGTAGAGTATCTTTTCATGTATTTACGGGCCATTTATACATCGTCCTTTCTGAAGTGCCCCAGTCTTTTGCCCTAAAAAAACTTTTTATTTTGTGCTGTGGTCTGAATACAAGTCTTTTGTCAGATGCATGAGCTGCAGATATTTTCTCCCATTCTGTGACTTTTCTGCTCATTTTTAAAAATGCTGTCTTTTGTTGAGGAGGAATTTCTTTTATTTATTTATTTATTTTTTTTTTTTGAGACAGAGTCTCGCTCTGTCACCCAGGCTGGAGTGCAGTGGTGCAACTTCACCTCACTGAAATCTCTGCCTCCCAGATTCAGGCGATTCTCAGGCCTCAGCCTCTTTTACTTAACGTAATGTTTTTGAGTTTCATCCATTGTAGTTTTAGTAGAGACGGGGTTTTGCTGTGTTGGCCAGGATGGTCTCAAACTCTTGACCTCAAGTGATCCGCCCACCCTGGCCTCCCAAAGTGCTGAGATTACTGCCATGAGCCACCACATGTGGCTGAAGTTTTAATTTTTATGATGTGCAGTTTATCAGTTTTTTAATGGTTTGTGCCTTTTATGTCCTGTCCAGAAATTTTTGCTTACCTGAAACTTATAAATATATGCTCCTATGTTTTTTTCCTAGAAGCTTTAGGATGGTAGGTTTTATGTTAAGGTCCATCAGCCATCTTGAATTGATTTTTGTATGTGGAGTAAGACAGAGGTTGAGATTTACTTTATCTATCTAGATATCCAGCTGTTTCAATGAAAAGACTTTCCTTTCTTCATTGAATTACCTTGAAAGCTTGACCAAACAGCATTGACTGTATATGTGTAGTTCTGCTTTTTGGACTTGATTCTGTTCCATTGGTCTGTGTTTACCCTTAGGCCCGTACCACACTGTTTTAATTGTCGTAGCTTTATATAGTACTTATTTTGAAATTCATAGATGTTAAGTATTTTGATGTTGTTCTTTTTTTTTTTTTTTTTTTTTTGAGACGGAGTCTCACTGTGTCGCCTAGGCTGGAGTGCAGTGGCGCGATCTCAGCTCACTGCAACCTCCACCTCCCAGGTTCGAGCGATTCTCCTGCCTCAGCCTCCCGAGTACCTGGGATTACAGGTGCACACCACCATACCCAGCTAATTTTTATATTTTTAGTAGAGACAGGTTTCACGATGTTGGCCAGGCTGGTCTCAGTCTCCTGACCTCGTGATCCACCCACCTTGGCCTCCCAAAATGCTGGGATTACAAGCGTGAGCCACTGCGCCCAGCCCAGAATATTCTTACTAGTCTACTAATATCTGTAAGACTTATATTGATGTCGCCTTTTTCATTACTGATACAGTAATTTGTGGCTTCTCATTTTTCTTGATCATGTTAGCTAAAGGTTTATGCAGTTGATTTTTGCAAAGAACTGACTTTTTTCTCAATTGTTTGCCCATTTCATTTATTTCTGCTCTTTGTTATTTCCTTCCTAATACTTTGGTTTTACTTTACTTTTTCTAGCTTCTTGAAGTAGATCCTAGATCATTGGTGTGTATGTATCTATTTTAGTGTTTTTAAAAGTAATGTTGATTGAGATATAAGTTACATTCTTTTACTTAACGTAATGTTTTTGAGTTTCACCCATGTTGTTAATCAGTATTCTGTATTTTGTATTGTTGAATTGTATTCTATTGTATGGACGCATACCAGTTTATTTACCCGTTGACCAGTGGACGAACCTTTGTGTTGTTTCCACTTTGGGGCTATTATACATGAAGCTGTTAAAATTTTTTATGTGCAGGTCTTCATTTGCCAGTATGTTTTTATTTCTTCTGGGTAAATACAAAGCAGTTAAATTACTGGGCCATGTGGTAAGAGTAAGTTTAACTTTATAAAACCACCGCCATTAAGTTTTCCAAAGTTTTGCATTCCTACTAGCAATGAATGAGAATTCCAGTTTCTCTATATTCTTACTGACAACTGGTATTGTCATTCTTTTCAATTTTAGCCATTCTAGTAGGTATATATCTCATTATAACTTTAACTTGCATTTCCCTAATGACTAGTGATGGTGATCTTATCATTTGCTTGTTTGCTACCTGTATATCTTCTTTGTTCAAGTGAGTCTTCAAATATTTTGCCCATTTAAAAATATGATTGATTGTCTTTTATTTTTTATTTTTTGAGATAGAGTTTTGCCTTTTTTTTTTTTTTTTTTGAGGTCAAGTTTCACTCTTGTTGCCCAGGCTGGAGTGCAATGGTGCAATCTCGGCTCACCGCAACCTCCGCTTCCTGGTTCAAGCGATTCTCCTGCCTCAGCCTCCCAAGTAGCTGGGATTACAGGCATGTGCCACCACGCCCGGCTAATTTTGTATTTTTAGTAAAGACAAGGTTTCTCCATGTTGGTCAGGCTGGTCTCGAACTCCTGACCTCAGGTGATCTGCCCGCCTCAGCCTCCCAAAGTGCTGGGATTACAGGCGTGAGCCACCACACCCAGCCTGATTGTCTTATTAAGTTGTAAGCTTTCCTTATATACCTTGATATGAATCCTTTATCAGATATGTGGTGTTTTTTTTTAAAGGGTTTTTATTGATATTACATATAGAAAAAATTCTGATTAGAGACTTCTACAGCTAGATTATAAATCTTATATAGTTATGTGTGTATTCCTCTAAATTTGTTTCAGAATATATCAGTCATTAGGCCGGGCCCAGTGGCTCATGCCTGTAATGCCAGCATTTTGGGAGGCCAAGGCGGGTGGATCATGAGGTCAGGAGATCGAGACCATCCTTGCTAACATGGTGAAACCCCGTCTCTCCTAAAAGTACAAAACAAAATTAGCAGGGTGTGGTGGCGGGCGCCTGTAGTCCCAGCTACTTGGGAGGCTGAGGCAGGAGAATGGCGTGAACCCAGGAGGTGGAGCTTGCAGTGTGCCGAGATTGCGCCACTGCACTCCAGCCTGGGCGACAGAGCAAGACTCCGTCTCAACAAAAAACAAAAAACAAAACAAAACAAAAAAGAATGTATCAGTCATTAGATTATTGATGTTTTCTTATTTTGAAATTTTAATTTATAAAAACTCCCTGATACATGATAATAAACGTGCAGCTTACATTGAGTCATAAACGTTTAGTGGATTTATTTGCTATCCCCATCATGTTTGGTTTGTTTCAGAGCTTTGGAGCTTTAGGAGGAGAAGTTTCTGAATGTGTAATAAAGGAATATCCCAATTTTTTTTTTTTTTTTTTGAGACAGAGTTTTGCTCTGTTGCCCAGGCTGGAGTGCAGTGACACAAATCTCAGCTCACTGCAACCTCTGCCTCCCAGGTTCAAGCGATTCTCCTGCCTCAGGCTACCAAGTAGCTGGGATTACAGGCATGCGCCACCACACCCAGATAATTTTTTTTTTTTCCTCTTTCTGTTTTGTTTTTGTTTTTGTTTTTGTTTTAATTATACTTTAAGTTTTAGGGTACATGTGCACATTGTGCAGGTTAGTTACATATGTATACATGTGCCATGCTGGTGCGCTGCACCCACTAACTCATCATCTAGCATTAGGTATATCTCCCAATTTTTATATTTTTAGTAAAGACGAGGTTTCACTATGTTGGCCAGGCTGGTCTCGACCTCCTGACCTCTGGTGATCTTCCTGCCTCGGCCTCCCAAAGTGCTGGGATTACAGGCATGAGCCGCTGCACCTGGCCGGAATATTCCAATTTTTGAGCAAAGAATTACAGTTGGTAAACCTGAAACCTGAGATGGTTCCATGCATGAACATTTTGTTTTTTTGTTTTTTTGAGACGGAATCTCACTCCATCACCCAGGCTGGAGTGCAGTGGCGCGATCTTGACTCACTGCAATCTCCGCCTCCTGGGTTCAAGCGATTCTCCTGTCTCAGCCTCCTGAGTAGCTGGGATTACAGGTGTGCACCACCACGCCTGGCTAATTTTTATTTTATTTATTTATTTTTTTTATTTTTAGTAGAGACAGGGTTTCCCCATGTTGGCCAGGCTGGTCTCGAACTCCTGACCTCAAGTGATCCATCTGCCTTGGCCTCCCAAAGTGCTGGGATTAAAGGCATGAGCCACCATGCCCGGCTGACGCATGAATGTTTTGGAACAACATTTAAATAGTTATGGACATGTAAGGAAGATAAGGAAATGGAGCAGAGCACCAGAGTAGACCTATTACCTTGACCAACATCCTGACCATGTAGTAGTTTACATGTAGTTTATTGTTAATATGTAAAGGTTTCAGACACATAAAATTTATACTCTCATCCCTGTTTCTTTCTAGCTTGATTTTTAATTTTAGTATGGAGATAAACATTATAAGGGGGATAAATTTGAAGAAGCACAGTTTTTTTTTTTGGTGGAATCTTTTCTTTCAAATAATCTTAAAAATACAGATGCCAATTTTCTTGCGATGTAGAATAGAAATGTGATGTTAGCTCTTAAAATGTCAGTTATCTGCCAAAGCATTCTCTTAACTTTCATCAGGAAAACATTGACTGCTCTCTCCTTGCTCCTTCCAAGAATTTGGCTGGTGTGATGCTTCTTTGCTTACTGTGCCTACTGAGTAGGCCACCCCATCATCTGATACAGAGACACCTGATCTGTTCTCACATTGGTCTGTCCCCTGCCTTAAATGTAACTCCAAGTCAGATTCTCTCGTGGGATGCTCAGGCTTCCTGAAGTGAGTATGACATGAATTGTTTTAAAAACCATTCATTTCCATGGGCAAAAACAGATTCTGGTGGTCTCCAGTAAAAATGTATATAGTGCGTATAAAATCTCCAAAACTGACATAGTATTTAAATCTTAAGTTTTTTGGCATTTAAAAAATTACCACCACTCTTTAAGTTTCCCGTTCCACCTGATGGTGTCTTTTATGTGGCACAGGCTTTTTATCTTTTTTAAGAATCATGTTTAGTGGGCTATAATTTACATACAGTAAGTTTGCCATTCTTAGATAGACAGCTCTCTGCCTTTTGACAGGCCTACGCACTCACATAACCACCACTGCAATCTTGAGGAAGTTTCCATCACCTCAAAAAGTTGCCTCGATCTGCTTTGTAGATCCCCTCTCCATCCCCAGCCCCTGGCAATCATCGACCTGATTTCTTTCCCTGTAGTTTTCCCTTTACTAGGATATTATTTAAATGAACCCAAACAATATGCAACATTTTGTATGTGGCTTCTCCCACTTAGTGTAATGCTTTTGACATTCATCCATGTTGTTGTGTTTATTGTTATTTCAGTTGTATGGGTGTACCACAGTTTGATTATCCATTCATCAAATGGTAGACATTTGAGTTGCTCTCAGTTTTCTTAAATTATAAGAAACTACAAAATTGTTCTTTCCAAGTAGCTGCACTATTTTGCATTCCCACCAGCACTGTATGAGAATTCTAGTTGCTCTGTATTTTCACCAGCATTTAGTTGAAAAAACTTTACTCATGGTAGTGGTTACATGGTGGTATTTAATTGTGGTATTAATTTGCATTTTCTTAATGACTGTCTCTTTTTTGGAGATGCGTCTGCTCAACTGTTGTGCTCATTTAAAAAAAAATAAGGTTTTTTTTTCTTATTGTGGGATTTTAAGAGTTCTTTACCATAGATACGTCTTTTATCAGATGTGTTTTATAAATGTTTTTTCCTAGTCTATGGCTCGTCTTTATTTCCTTAAAGACCTTTTAAAGACCATGTATTTTAAATTCATTTGGGGATATCCAACTTATGATTGTTTTCTTTGTGGTAATGTGGTTGGCAGAATAATGGCCCTAAAAGATGTCTGTGTCTTAATTCCTGGAACCTGTTGAATGTGTTATGTTTCATGGCAAAAGGGAATTAGAGTTGCAGATAAATTAAGATTGCTAGTCATCTGATCTTAAGGGAGGGAGATTGTCCTGGAGTTTCTAGGTGGACCCAGTGTAATTACAGGGATCCTTAAAGTGGAAAGGGAGAGAGAAGCAGTTAGAGCCAGAGAAGGTGATGTGACAATGGAAGCAGGAAGCAGGTGAGGCACTGGCAGAAAGACTCACCTGCCACTGCTCCCTCTGGAGATGGAGGAAGGGCCCATGAGCCCTGGATGCTGGCAGCTTCTGACCGCTGATAGTGCAAAGAGACAGCCTTTTCTGGGGCATCCAGAAAGGAGTGCCCTCTTGCCAACTTCATGATCTTAGCCTAGTGAGACCCATTTTGGTCTTCTGGCCTCCAGAAGATAATAAATTTGTATTGTTCAAGGCACAGAGTTTGTGGAAATTTATTATAGCAGCAATGCAAAACTAGTAAGAATAGTTTGTGTTTGTTGTGTCCTAAGAAATCTTTGTCTAAGAAATACAAAGATTTTCTCTTATTTTTAAAATTATTTTATTTTTTTGAGACAGGGTCTCGCTCTGTTGCCCCAGCTGGAATGCAGTGTCACGATCATGGCTCACTGTAACCTCCACCTCCTGGGCTCAAGTTATCCTTCCGCCTCAGCCTCCTGAGGTAGCTGGGACCACAGGAACATGCTACCACACCTGGCTGATTTTTGTATTTTTTGTAGAGACAGGGTTTCACCATGTTGCACAAGCTAGTCTTGACTCTTGGGCTCAAGTGATCAGCCAACTTTGGCCTCCCAAAGTACTGGGATTACAGGCAGGAGCCACCATGCCCGGCCTTATTTTTTTAAAAGCAGAAGTTTTATAGCTCTAGGTTTTATGGTTAGGTCTGTGATCCAGTTTGAGTTAATTTTCACATATTATACAAGAGAAGAGTGTAGTTTTCTGGTTTTTTTTTTCTATCTCTTTTTTGCATTGTCCATTTCTAGCACCATTTGTTGAACAGGGTTTTCCCATTGACTTACCTTGGCACCTTTGTTGACATTACATGACTATATGTGTGTGGGTGTGCTTCTGGACTCTGTTCCATTCCATTGTTCTGCACGTCTACACTTGTACAAATACTACTGCTTGATTATTATGGCTTTATAGTAAGTCTTGAAATCCCATCATGTGACCTCTGACTCCTTCAACATTTTTCTACTTTTTGGTAGAAAATTATTTTGGTGATTTTTGTTCCTTTACTTTTCCACATACACTTTAGAATCAGCCTGTGAAATTCGGCAAAAAACTTGCTGAGATTTTGATTAGGACTGCATTGACTCTAATGTAAATCAATTTGGGGAGAATTGCTGTGTTTGTTTATTTGCATTGCTATAAAGAAATACCTGAGGCCAGGTAATTTGTGAAGAAGAGGCTAATTTTGGCTTATGGTTCTGCAGGCTGTGTAGGAAGCACGGTGCTGGCATCTGCCTCTAGTGAGGGCATCAGGAAGCTTATAATCCTAGCGGAAGGCAAAGTGGAGCCGGCATATCACATGGTGAGAGAGGGAGCAAAAGAGATGCAGACTCTTTTAAACAACCAACTCTTGCATGAACTAACAGTAAAAACTCACTAATTACCATGGCACTAAGCCATTCATAAGGGATCTTCTCCATCACCCAGACACCTCCCACCAGACCCCACCTCAAACAAACAATGGGCATCACATTTCAACATGAGATTTGGAGGGGACACACGTCCAAACCATATCAATTGTCATCTTAATTATCACATCTTCTAATCCATGAACATGGTTTATATCTCCATTTCAGTTTTCTGTTGCTAGTACATAAAAATACAGCTGATTTTTGTATAGTGACCTTGTGTCCTACAACCTTGATAAACCTGCTTTTCATTGTAGTAGTTGTATTGTGGATTCTGTAGACTTTCCTATGTAAACTATCATGCCATCTATGCATAAAGACAATTTTATCTCTCCCTTTCAGTCTGTATCCTTCTGTTTCCTCTTCTTGCTTTACTTTGTTGTCTAAGACTTCCAGTACAGTCATATATAGAAGTGGTAGGAGGGACATCCTTGGCTTGTTCCTTTTTTCTTTTTTCTTTTTTTTTTTTTTTTTGAGAGTTTCCTTCTTGTTTCCCAGGCTGGAGTACAATGGCATGATCTCAGCTCACCACAACCTCCACCTCCCAGGTTCAAGCAATTCTCTTGCCTCAGCCTCCCAAGTAGCTGGGATTATAGGCATGCACCACCACACCCGGCTAATTTTTGTATTTTTAGTAGAGATGAGGTTTCACCATGTTGGTCAGGCTGGTCTCGAACTCCCAACCTCAGGTGATCCGCCTGCCTCTGCCTCCCAAAGTGCTGGGATTACAGGCGTGAGCCACTGCACCCAGCTGGCTTGTTTCTAATCTTAGGGGGTTGCTGTCAGTCTTTCATCATTACGTGTATGGTTTGCTGTAGGGTTTTTGTCTGTTTTTTCGAGACAGAGTCTTGCTCTATCGCCAAGGCTGGAGTGCAGTGGTGTGATCTCAGCTCACTGCATTCTCTGCCTCCCGGGTTCAGGCGATTCATGTGCCTCAGCTTCCTAATTAGCTGGGACTACAGGTGCCCACCACCATGCCCAGCTAATTTTTATATTTTTAGTAGATATGGCATTTCACCATATTGGCCAGGCTGGTCTCGAACTCCTGACCTCAGGTAATCTGCCCACCTTGGTCTCCCAAAGTGCTGGGATTACAGGCGTGAGCCACTGAGTCCGGCCTTGCTATAGGGTTTTTGCAGATGCCCTTTATCAGGTTGAGAAGTTCTTTTCTACTTCTTGTTTGCATATATACATATATATGTATATGTATGTATGTATTTTTTTTTTAATCATGAATGGATGCTTTTTTCCTCCCAAACCAAAAATGGCCAATAATGAATGGATGCTTAATTTGCCAAATGCTTTTTCTGCATCTACTGAGGTGATCATAATGGTTTTTCTGTTTTGGTCTGTTGATAAGGTAAATTACATTAATAGATTATTTTTCAAATGTTGAACCAAAGCTGCATTTGTGAGATAAACCATAATTCATCATGTATTATGTGTTAATGGTTTCATATATTGCTCAGTTTGATATATTAGTATTTTGTTAAGAATTTTTACAAATCCTTACCTGTCTGTGAGGGATATTTGTAGTTTTTTTTGTAATGAGTTGCCTAATTTTGGTGTCAAGGTAATGCATTCTGGTCTTTGAATGCATTTGGGGAGTGTCCTATTCTCTGGAAGAGTTTGTGTAAAATTAGTATTAATTAGTTAATTGATTTTTTTTTAGACAAGGTCTTACTCTCTTGCCCAGGCTGAAGCACAGTGGCACGATCACGCCTCACTGCAGCCTCAACATCCTGGGCTCAAGCAGTCCTCCCGCCTCAGGCTCCCAGGTAACTGGGACTACAGATGCCCATCGTCTGTAGTGGGCAGATGCACTACCATGTCCAGCTAATTATTTTTTGTAGAGACGGGGGTCTCACTATGTTGCCCAGGCTGGTCTCGAACCCTTGGGCTCAAGTGATCCTCCCAAAGTGCTGAGATTACAGGTGTGAGCCACTGTGCCTGGCCTATTAATTCTTTATTCAGTGGTAGAATTCACCTGTGAAGCCACCTGTCTCTGGAATTTTGTTTTGTTGTGGTAAGATTTTAAGTATAAACACAATTTCTAATAGATATAGGGCTGCCTAGGTTATTCTTGAGTGGGCTTCACTAATTTGTGTCCTTCAAGGGATTTGCTCATATCATCTGCATTTTTCAATTTATTGATATAATGTTCTTAGTATCATCTTATCCTATCCTTTTAAGTTCTGTAGAGTTTGTGTTGTATCTCCTCTTTAATTACTGATGTTGTAATTTTTGTCTTTTTCTCTTGATCAGGTTAATGAGAAGATTGTCAATTTTTTGACCTTTGCAAAGAACCTACTTTTAGGTTCATTGATTTTGCCCTGTTGTTTTTTGAATTTTGTTCATGTCTTTGTTATTTCCCTCCTCTTTATTTCCAGTTTAATTTGCTCTTCTTTTTCTGATGTTTAAGATGGAAGCTTAGACAAACAGTAGTATGTTTCCATTTCCCAGCTCAACCTTTATATTATAGTTCTCATTTGTTTTACTTTTACATATGTTGTAACCCAGAATATATTATCTGTGCTTTACAGTCTGTTTTTAAAATATATGTCTCCACATACTTAACATTTATGACCCTCATTCCCTTTTGTAGATCTAGATTTCTCCTCTCTGTTATTTTCCTTCTGCCTAAAGAACATCCTTGAAGATTTTTTTGTAGTGCAGATTTGCTTGTGATGAATTCTGTCAAGTGTTGCTGAAGTTTGAATTCTTAAGTTGACAGTTTCAGCATTTTAAGGATATCATTCTACTGCCTTCTGTATTTTTTCCTTACAAGTTAGTGGTGATTCTTTGTTCCACTTTATGCGATGTGCATTTTATTCTCTGGCTGCTTTTAAGATTTTCTCCTTATCACTGCTTTCAGCAGTTTGATTATAATGTGCTTTGAAGTGGTTTTTTCTTTTTATCACACTTGGGGTTTATTAAGCTTTTTGGATCTGTGAGTTATAGTTTTCATCCAATTTAGAAATAATTTGGCCAACATTTCTTTAAATATTTTTCTGTGATCGTTTTCTGGCACTCTAGTTTATATATCTATATCATATATGTCTTACATATAGATTACTTCTACGTGTAAATTATACCTCCATTGGGTCGCAGGTCTTCGTTCACTTTTCTTTCTGTGCCTCATTTTGGACAGTTTGTTTTTCTGCAATGTCTCATTTGCTGTTAAGCGCATCCAGTGAATTTTTCATTTCAGATACTGTATTTTCTAGCTGTTGACGTTCCATTTGGTGCTTTCCCCGTAACCGTCCATTTCTTTCCTCATTATGTTCATGTTTTCCTCTAAGTCTCAGCATCTCTATACAATAGCTGTCATTGTGCCTTTGTCTGCAGCCCTGCATCCCAGAGTCCTGGCCACTCCCTGGTGCCCATGTCTGTGCTGCCTCCTGCCTCCGCTCACACTCACTTCCTCTTCTCCACCATCTGTCTCTGTCTCTTCTCTTTCAACAGTCTGATCTGAGATGGATCAGAGCCTTTTAAGTTTAAAGTTTGCATAGGATGTCACTTCCAGGGTGCTGTAAATATTGACATTTAAAAATGAAAGTCTTATATTACTCTTTGAAATGTTTCCAGTGTAGAATATAAATACCACAGATATGCCCACCACCACAGATACTCCCATCATCACAGTTTTTTGTTTTTTTGTTTTTTTGTTTATTTTGATGTGAATAAGCTCTACTTCACTGGCTGGAAAACCTTTGCTAGTTTTTCTCCTGGCACTCATGTTTTCATTCCACTTGTTCCCTTGAATTGCACCCTAATGTAAACATTTTTATGCTTTTAAGTATTTTATTTGTCATTTTTTTATACTCTTCTGTAACTAGATATACAGGTAGATAGATAGATTGAGCTTTATTTATTTGGTTTTTTTTTCGATACAGAGTCTTGCTTTATTGCCCAGGCTGGAGTGCAGTGGCACAATCTTGGCTCACTGCAACCTCTGCCTCCCGGGTTCAAGTAGTTCTTCTGCCTCAGCCTCCCAAGTAGCTGGGAATACAAGTACCCGCCACTATGCCCGACTGATTTTTGTATTCTTAGTATAGACGGGTTTCACCATGTTGGCCAGGCTGGTCTCGAACTCTTGACCTTGTGATCCGCCTGCCTTGGCCTCCCAAAGTGCTGGGATTACAGGCGTGAGCCACCGTGCCCGGCCCAGAGCTCACTATTTGAAAAGTTCCTATAACTGTAAGACTCTTAGGTGTTAAACATTTGCTTTTGAACGATTGTTGCAGTTGTTATTTGTACAGGCTCCTGCTTCTGGTTTTTCCTCCTTTGTCTCTGGCTGCCTGTCCTCTGCCTCATCTTCCAGCCCCTCAAAGTGGGGGAACCTCAAGGCTTCACCCTGTCTTTGGACCTGTATAGTCAGTTCCCTGGTGTCCTGGCTATCTTGTGACATCAGAATGCTTTACCCTGAATGGCTCCCAAACTGCCCTCTCTATCCAACCTCTCCCAGTACTCAAGAATGATCTGTCAGCTGCCCACTCAACACCTCCACTGGGATGCCAACTTGAAATCTCAAGTTAATGTGTCTGATTTGAACTTCACACAGTTGTGCCATCTGCAGTCCTTTTATCTTCATGGTAGCAACTCTGCCATTTCCATTGCAAGGTCAAAGATCTTCTTTGACTCCTTCTCTCCTCCCTCCGTGCCTAATCTGTCAGCAAATTCTGGTGTTGCTGCCTTCAAAATCTGTCTACTTCACCTGCTCCCACCCTGATCCTAACCATTACCATCTCTCACCTGGATGATTACAACAGATAACCACAACTGGGCTCCTGCTCTGCGATCCATTTATATGCTCCTGTGCCTCCCCTACTCAGACCCCTTTCATGGCCGCATCTCACTCTGAATCAGAGCCAGCTACATGCAGGGGCCTGCAGGGCCCAACACCCTTTGCATCTGCTCCCTCTTTGGGCTCAGGTCCTCTTCCTCCACCTCACTCTCTGACCACATTGGCTTCTGCAGGGTTCACGGAACATACTAGGCCTCTTACCGTACCCACCCTGTTTCATCTGCCTGGAGTGTCCTTCACCCCAGTACCCTCCTCCTTCAATTCATCATTTTCTCTGACCTCCCTGCTTAAAACTGCAGCCTCTTCCCACTTTCTACTCCTTCTATTATATAATTTATGTATTTTCTCTCCCTTCCACTAGAATATACGCTTCATAAGGGCGGGAATTATCTCTTGTTGATGTGTCACCAGGGCCTAGAACTGTGTGTGGCACATGGTGGGCACTCATCAACTATTTGTGTAATGAATAATGAATTTAAGCAAATTTTGATGATAATTAAACATTTCACTTGCAGTGTATCTCTGAAAATGATGGGGTTACTATTAGCATTTTCCCTGATTAAATTGATGCATTTGTGAATGAATATTATTTTATGCTAGAAACAAAGGTCTGATACCAGTTTTCTTCCATTATTTTGTCTTTATAGATATAAACACTCAGGACTGCTTGTTCACATAAATAAGTAGATTAGATGGGCATGGAAAGTGTCTTGTTATGGCTGTGCCATTTTGTCTTTGGACTTCAAAGTTAAAGGCCAAAGATTGTACAAAGTATTTTCTTTTTTTTGAGACAGGGTCTCACTCTGTTGCCCAGGCTGGAGTGAAGTGGTGCAGTCATGGCTCACTGCAGCCTCAAATTTCCAGGCTCAAGCAATCCTCCCACCTCAGCCTCCTAAGTAGCTGGGACTACAGGCACACACCACCACACCTGGCAATTTTTTTTTTTTTTTTTTCTGTGGAGATGGGGTTTTGCCATGTTGCTCAGGCTGGTCTCAAACTCTTGAACTCAAGCAAGCCACCTGCCTTGGCCCCACAAAGTGCTGGGATTACAGGCACGAGTCACCTTGCCTGTCGTCATATAAAGTATTTTCATGATTTTTCCACTGACTGTTAGATTAGATTCCTTCTTCCATTTTGTTGAAAGTAGAGAATTGGAAGCCACCTGACTTGGAGAAGGCTTTGTCACTCAGTCATTGGAGTCCTTTGCTTCAGTTTCTGAAGTGTCCACCAGAATCACTTTACCAATCCCTGTCAGCTGCAGGGACATCAAATGCTTTTCTACCCTGAATAGTTACATCTGTCACTCCTCACTTCAGAGCAGCTTTGCAGGCTTTTGCTGGAAATGCTGAGGAAGAGTTGAGAGAAACAGCAGTATTATTAATTTCCACATGCTAATATGTATACCAATGTAGTATTTTTAAAAATCTTATTACATTCTTCCTATTTTCACCCAAAGCTTGGAGCTCCAGATTCAGCCCATTCAGTTTATCAAAACTATCTGCCATATACATTAATTGTCAAACTAGTCTGCGAAATCACTCTTTCCCTCAGGCAAAAGTCTTACTTCATTTTCATTCTAACAATATGCCTCTGACAGCCATCTCACTCTGAGCTCCTGGAGGTTCCTAGTTAGATAGGTGAGACGTGGAACTGGTGCCCTAGGTGGAGGAAGGCACCATGGCTGTTGTTTCTTGGCATCCTCTTTTGTTGGCTCTCAAAGGGGTAATGCCTGCTTTTACAGTGGTCTAGGGTTTGAAGTTACTAAATGAAGTTTTCATCATCCCTGCCATCAGACTCCACAGTGTCTGAACCCAAGACACTCCAGCGTGAACCAGGACATACTATTTATAATACCATGCTTTGTCCTTTACAGAAATGGGTATAGGCCAGGTGTGGTGGCTCATGCCTGTAATCCCAGCACTTTGGGGAGGCCAAGATGGGCAGATCGCTTGTGGTCAGGAGTTTGAGACCAGCGTGGGCAGCATGGTGAGACCCCATCTCTACAAAAAAACTAGCTGGGCGTGGTGGCACACACCTGTAGTCCCAGCTACTTGGGTGGTTGAGGTGGGAGGATCACCTGAGCCCTGGAGTTCGAGGCTGCAGTGAGCTGTGCACCCCAGCCTGAGCAATTGAATGAGACTCTGTCTCAAAAATAAATAAATAATTTAAAAAAAGAAAGAAAGAAATGGTTATAGATAGGGAAAAGCGAATGGAGACACAGTGGTGGGGGAAAAAGCAAATATAGGGAAAAGCACAACCCTACCTTAATGTGTCGCTTTGAGGTGGCTTTACCCTTATCAGTGCGTCACGGGTACTTTTGTCCCCTGGGAATGTCCACTCCTTGAGACAGTTCATTCTAGTACAGGGGGAGATGGGAGGTAGGCCTTTTTTTGCAGGGGGGAAGAAGGTTGTAGAAGAGGAGGTGGGACAGAGAGCTGGCATGACTCCTTGGCCTCAAGGGCGTTGTCCACAGATTTGTTACCAGACAGAGCATATGTGGATGTCGGCCATCTAGAATCTAGAAATGGATTCTGTCACAGTGATTTGAGGCGACATACCCCTTCAAAAGGTTTGTTTTCCCAGGGCTCTCGGTAATCTTGAAGACACTGGAGTATGGTTCCTCAAAGGTAGTGAGGAGTGGGCTCTAAAGCACAAGGAAAGAGGAGGATAATTCCTCTAATTGTAACAGTGGGGCAGGGGCCAGGCTGGCTGATTGAGAGCTGAGTGCCAGGAACTTCCCTCAGTTGCATTTCATTATTGTATTTTAAAACCTAGTTGTCTGAGAAATGTGTTTTCAGTCCCAGCAGCCATGGACGATAGTAACATAGAATTGGCCTGTCCTGGACTTGTGTACTGTGCTGTGGGCCACGGTGCACGTGTAGTTACAGACATTCTCAATGAGTCCACTACCTGCCGGCTGTGGAAGTGAGCAGGCCTTCCTTGAACCGTCTCCGCCTTGGGCCAGGTACTCCCAGAGCCAGGTGTAGAAGGTGAATCTGAACTCTTAAGCTGGGGACATCGTGAAGGAAACCTTGTAAATAAGAGATGCTCTTGGGTTTCATCTCAGTCCAGTCTGCTCCCAAGCTGCTTTTTAAGTTGGACTGTGGAATTTCTGGGCAAATTAACAATAATAAATAAGCAGATTTGGATCAGGTCTAAAAACTGTGCAACTTCAAAGAGGGAAAAAGAAGTACTGATGCAGGAGCAGATCATTTTCCTGAGAGAGATTTGTTTCATGAAAGAGAAAAAAATAAAACAGTCTGTTCTCACTTTTTAATGAGTTAAGAGAAGATATAATCCTAATAATTATTAAGGAAGAACTTGACTGGAGCAGAGGGAATAAGGTGAAGTGATAATCATATTAGACCAAATAACATCTTTGAAAGTGGTAGGCAATAGAGTTGAAACTCTGTAATCCATGAACTGGAAAGCCAACTAGAGAAAAAATATAGCATGGCAGGATGGAATGGCCAGAGCACAGCCACGACCAGGGTGTCTCGCATGGGTAGTAATCATTCCTAAGGGAAAGGAAAAGGACAGCGCGGGTGAAGCAGCATCATCCAAAAGCTGTGTAACAGTTCACAGAGTGGACTGCGTGGTTTGTAATGTTAAGCCTGGCATTGGATTTCTGTGTTGTGCCACAGTGGTCAATATCACAATACATGTAAGACACCAACATCCACACATGCTTTGATGAACAAGGATATGTACTCTGAGTATTTTATATCTAAGATGCCACTTATTTGAAAAGTTCTTATATCTGGAGTTAAAAATTTCCCCAAACAAGTATCTTTGCCAGAGACTTTATACTGCCAGTCAGAAATCCAAGTGTATTTATAAAAACTAGAAATACGCATCTCAAGTAAGTGGAGGAAGGCTAGAATAATAAACGCCGTTGGGGTGATTAAGCAACCAGTTAGGAAAAAAAATACGACCTTAGTCTGCAATCAGTTGATGAATGAATGAGCTGATTAAATGTAATCTATGAAACCATTAAATTACTAGAAGAAAATATAAGAGGATATTGATATAATCTTGGTTGGGAAAGGCCTTTTCTAAGCATGACCCCAAAGACAGAAACCCTAAAGAAAGATTAGCTTCTTAAAAATGGAAAACTAGTGTTCAGAAACCACAAAATCAAAATGCAAACAGCAGACTAAGAAAAATTGCTTGTAGCCTATTTAAAAAGCAAAGGCTAATTAAGAGATTTTTGTATTGGTAATTAAAAGATGAATACCTCAGTAATAAAAGGAGAGTTTCAGAACATTGATCATTCAGTTCTTAAAAGAAAAACCTAAATGACCAATAATCATATAAATTTTAGCCTCACTAGTATTCATCAGAGAATGTAAAATAAAAGAGAACTGGTATTTCTCTTCTATCAAATTGGCAAAGAAAAAAAATGTTAGGGTCCAGGTAATGCCAGTTTTAACTACTAGATGACATAAATGTTGATACGGTCTCAACTCTTAAGGAATGGAATTTTTTTTTAATGATGACTTGTTTGAGGCTAACAACTTGCTGTTATGCATTCATTTCATATAAAAATTTGAGGAAAATGATAAGATTTAATATTACTGGTTTGTTCATGATGATAAATATTTTAGGGGAAGTTGAATTTTAATTTTAAAATGGTGCTAATTCTGTCAAATTTGAAAATTGAGAATAATTTATTTCCAGTGGCTTTTCCAAGCTCATTCATGCTGAAGTGCCCTCTGCTGGCACCAGCAGCCACTTAGTGACCCCAGGCTGGGTACCACCTGAGGAGAGGGACTGCCCTGTGGGGTCTACAGGGTGTGGGGGGCGGGGTAAAGAGGGAGTGGGGGTACACAGCATGTGGATGGCAATGTGGTGATGCTCAGACCCTGGGCTTCCTCCTTCGTGCCTACCAGCCCGCGTTTCTAGAAGGCCTGCTCTGTTCTGAAGGCTGCATCAAGCAATCACTGAGGCAGTGATTCTGTCAGGTTCACTGCTGTGTCCCCAAGGCCTAGAACCATGCCCAGCAGAGGTTGGGTGCTCAGTAAGGGTTTGTTGGTGACTGTTAGTCTTGTGTCCTCCAATTGACATTCTCTTGGGGAGACCAGCAGTAAGCAGATAAAGAAGTCACTTAAGGCATGAGATGTGTTCGGAGGGTTGTAGGTTCCAGGAACATGGTAGGATGCAAGGAGGCCAGGCAGATGGCCCCAGAAGGATGTCCCTTCCCTTCCCTGAGGGTGTGCTCAGCCCCCTGAGAAGACAGACAGGCAGGTGACAGCATGGAGCCCATTTCTGTTCAGGCAGGGGCAGGACTTCCACCAGTGTGTGTGCATTTGGTGATGGAACCGAGGAACTCTGCAGGCCTGTTTTTAAACTCCTGATTCTCTGTATTTGCCATATCCTAACAGAGTGTTTGCTTTTTGTTTCCTTTTTTTTTTAATTTAAAGGATTTTTTTGTTTTGTTTTGTGTTTTTTGATAGATGAGGGTTACTACCAGGGTGGAAAATTTCAGTTTGAAACTGAAGTTCCCGATGCGTACAACATGGTGGTGAGTAGCCTGCGTTGAGCCTGTTGTTTTACTTCTCGGGCGGGGCTGCCTGTGGCTGTGGCCCGCCACTGGCACAGGGCCCTAGCACTCCCCTCTGCGTGTGTCCATGTGTGACTGAGTACTCACTTCAGTATTTTTGTGATGAATGTCACTCATCAGCAGTATTTAGAGTGTTAGTAGAGAATTCCGTTTATTCAGCAAATACTTATGAGTACTATGTGCCAGGCAGCCTGCCTGTGTATTTTCTATAACTCTTATCTGTTACAGTCTGGCACTGAAGAAAAAAAGCATTTAATAAAATGACTGTAGTTTTGTTCATGATATAACACCAAAATTCCAGAAGTCTATAAAATGTGTATTTTAGAATTTCAGAGAACAGTGACTTGTAGTTTAAACTATAAGTAATTTATACCTATAGTTTCATGTTAATCCCTCAAAGATCCTTTTAGACAATAATTATACCAAATACCATTACATTATGTCTTTGCTTTGGTGGAACTTACAGACCAATTAGGAGAGATAAAGTGTAGAAAGTTGATAAAGCGATAAAAATGGTAAGTAGAGGACAGTAGTGATACTCATCAATGATAGGAAACTAGTTTTTGAGAATTCAGAGAAGGGAAAGTAATCATCACTTTGGAAAGTGGTCAGGGCTAGTTAAGCTTTTAGGGGGAAATCTAACTGGAGTCACCCCGATGTGGCCCAGAACCAGGGGAGGGTATTCTAGGTGACATGGAAACATGATGAACTGTGGTGACAGGTGTGGACATGAGAACTTGCAACCTGCAGAAGGCAGATAGGGCCAGGTCAACTCGAGTGAAGAATTGGAGTTGGGGAAGAATAGAGGAAAAAATGGGAAAACTCAGATGTGGGGGTTTGGTTGGGCATTTTCGATTTGGCAGTGACAAACCACTGGAGAGTCTGAATAATTCCACACCCCCAAGTTGGGGTATTAGAGGAGGTGTGGCTGCGCTTCAGGGACGGGTGTGATGTGTCTCGGCCCAAATTGCCAGGGGTTGACGTACAGGCAGTTCAGCATGCTTGTCTTACTGGCGTGCACCATGGATATGTATTCCTACTCACGTGTTCTAACTAACCCTCTTGGCCCGTCCAGTAGGAAAGCACAAGCTGATGGTGCTGCCAGAGAAAAGGAAGCCTCACTCCCATCATGAGGATGTGGGCATTGGGGACACTGTTCCTGTGACTTCGCTTGTGGGAAGTGTGCTCCCACTGCCTGACGAGTGGAGTTGCCCCCCAACCCCAGCCACTGGGCTCCGTTCAGTGGCTGCAACACTTGTTTTAGAAGCAAACCTTCATCTATGGAAATTGACTTTTTACCGGACTACTCCATTTAAGGTTCTTTTTGAAATGTAATTTATGGGGATAGGGAAGAGTTGGCAGCCCAAGAAATTTTTAAATTTGTAGACAAAGATGGGAAAATACACATTTCCAGTCTTTGTCCATCCACCACCTGCTGAGACTTTCCATCCTTCCCAAACCACACTGAGAAACCTGGCGACGGAGCACTGCACCATGTCCGGTGGGAGGTGGTTCCAGAGGCTTGGTTTCAGTACAGATGTTTAGAATTTGGGGACTCTTTGGTGGTTTCTGGAAACAAACAGGCATACAGTATTTAAAATTCTGTATTTAGATTTGCTGCTAAATACTTATGACATACCGTTCTGGATGTCATAGCAGGGAGTTAAGTCTAAGCTGATAAACTTTCCAGACAAGTCGTGAGGCATCAGAGAACCATTGTTTCAGGTATATCTGGCATCATCTAGGAGCAGAGCTCCTTGTTTTCACTATAGGAAGAAAGCAAACTAAGAGAAAATACCAGGGAAGGAATGGGCATGATTGAGAGCCTCTGTGTGCCAGGTGTCTTGACTCACATTACTTTATTTCATTCTTCTGATGGTTCAGTGGGTTATTTATTTATTTATTTATTTAGAGACGGAGTCTTGCTCTGTTCCCCAGCCTGGAGTGCTGTGGCGTGATCTCAGCTCACTGCAACCACCAGCTCCCGGGTTCAAGCAATTCTCCTGCCCTAGCCTCCTGTCAGTGGGTGATCTTAACATTCATATCTTTATACATTAGGAAGTTTGGGTTCTGAAAGCTAAAGTTAAAAACATTAGCTTTGCCAATGGAGACGGCTGAATTGTTGAAGTCACTTAATGTCCAGGGCTGCCCAGCTTTTAAGCGTGTGCCCTTCCTACCACATCAGGTGGTGAGAAAATGTTTGTCATACTGTCTTGTCCCATTTGTGACTTCAAGAAATAGGAAGGAAAATGGAATAAAGAATGACTTGAAAGCCACTGAGCCTTGAAGACTTGTTTCCCTTATTAGTTTCCCTTATTAGTTTGAGACTGGCACAGAGGTTGAGGTGGAGGGGTAAGGCTTAAATTTTCCTGTCCTTGTCTCAGACCTGCTATTCCCCAGCCCCCCTCTCCCCTCCCCACTACTAGTCCCTGTGGGGAAACATCATTCCCATGCAGCCTTTCTGAAGTTCTGTGTGCTGTGTTTGACCTTTAGCTCTGTAACGATGATCTTACATTTTTCTATTTCCACTGCTGTCTCTTTTGGAAGTTTCATAAATGATGGGCTGGTCAGATTTCATCAGGAATAAAACCCCATGTTCTCAAACCCAGAAGTACTGAGAGCAGCTGGTGGCTCTGCATGAACCATGTTCCTACCCTGCTTCTGTAGGGTCCTTTCCTCTCCTTTCCCCAGCGTTTCCTTCCTGTCCCCCCTGCCTTTTTTTTGATACAGAGTCTCACTCTGTTGCCCAGGCTAGCACGATTTCAGCTCACCACAACCTCTGCCTGCGGGTTCAAGTGATTGTCCTGCCTCAACCTCCTGAGGAGCTGGGATTACACGCATGTACCACCACGCCCAGCTAATTTTGTATTTTTAGTAGAGACGGAGTTTCTCCATGTTGGTCAGGCTGGTCTCAAACTCTCGACCTCAGGTGATCTGCCCGCCACGGCCTCCCAAAGTGCTGGGGAGCCACTGTGCTCAGCCTTTTTTTTTTTTTTTTTTTAATGAGATGGAGTTTCACTCTTGTCACCCAGGCTGGAGTGCAATGGCATGATCTCAGCTCACCGCAACCTCTGCCACCTGGATTCAAGTAATTCTCCTGCCTCAGCCTCCGGAGTAGCTGGGATTACAGGTGCCTGCCACCACACCCGGCTAATTTTTGTAGTTTTAGTAGAGACGGGGTTTCACCATGTTGGCCGGGTTGGTCTCGAACTCCTGACCTCAGGTGATCCGCTGCCTTGGCCTCCCATAGTACTGGGATTCCAGCCATGAGCCACTGAACCCAGCCTCCTGTTCCCTTCTCTTGTTTTCTTCCTGTCTGCCTCTCATTCAGGCAAGTGTGGGGCAACTTCTAGGGGCCAGCATATGTCACTGGTGTCCCCAGCAGGGCGTCTCCAGGGGATCATTAGGGTGTAGTACTTGGCTGAACACAAAAGTAGTTGCATTTGCCATATTTATAATGAATCATTGCTTACAGACTCTCCTGAGCATCTCTTTCCCACTGGGCTGTGAGCCCTGAGGGAGTGCCAGCTGTCTTGCCCACACTATTTCCGGTGTGTAGCTTGTGCCTGCCATGCTAGGCAAAAACACAAATTGTTCAGTGGTTGCCCCTCTCTCTGCCCCCTACAAACTTAGTGTAGAAAAGAGATGAAATAATTCAGTCAGCATAGGAAAATCACATAGGCACAGGCATTCAGGATAGAGTGTGAGGGCACACTCTGAGGGCACCAGGTGGGTCAGTGAGAACGGATACAGCAGCCAGTGCGGAGCCTAGGGATGGGCTGGGGCTTCTCAGGGTGCATCTGCTTCACTGCCATGACTGACTTGACACAATTTCTGTACTTCATAAGGACTTGTCTCCTAAGAGTTACAGTTCCTGCAGTGAAGGTCTGTTATTAAGACTGTGAATGTGGAAAACCTTTAATAAAGTCGATCGTTATTTTAGAATAAACTTTTAAAAGAAAAATGTCCATTTGGAATCCCCCACCCCACCCAATATCCCAGCAGCCAAAATTCAAATTTTCTTTGTGTTTTTGTTCCTTTGCCTCTGCAGTTTAACTCCCAGCCTAAAGCCTGCCTTGTAATTTGTCAGTTTAGAAACTGTCCAAACGGATGTAGTGACATTTAGTGGGCTCCTACATTGTGCCAGGCTCCGTGTCAGACACTGGAGGGCCAAGGATGGGAACTTGGTGGCCTTTTAAGAATTTCAGTCTCTGGGGAGACAGACGCTGACATGACAATGAGGAGCCCGGGTGGTGATGTGGGTGACGGCTATTCCTCAGGCTGGTGGGGACGCCCAGAGGAGGAGCACGTGACATGGCCTGGGGATGCCTTGGAGGAGGAGAGAGCCTTAGCCCAGACCCTAGCTGGCCTGTGGTGTCACACAGCCCTCAGGTGCGTCGGTCAGGACTGGTTGGAGGAAGCTGTGTGCTGTAGCAGGAGAAAGGATTACAGCTCTTTGTTCTTGGCTCTGGTTTCCTCCTGGAAGTGAAGACACCACGTCTCCTCACATGTTGTTGGCCAAATCAGATAACATGACCATGGCCAGCCCGGAGGGACTAAGGAAGGCCAGTCCTGCCATGGGCCCTGGAGGAGGAGAGCCAGAGACACTTGTTGAACAGCAGTGATGACGACCACAAGTGACACCTGAACTCCCACTCTCCCTTCTTCTTCATATGAAATTATCAGACTTTGTAGGGAATTGAGACAACACGGCCATGCAAAAATAGAATAATAATAACCTGTAATCTCTCCATCCAGAGATGATCACCCTGACTCTCTAATGTCTGTTGCAGACAGTATAAATTCCACATACCAATGGGGCGATGCTACACATAGTCTGGTAACTTGGGGCTTTCCCGTCATAATATGATGGACGTACACATTCATGTCAGTCAATGCACAATTGCATCATTATTAATAAGAGCACTTCCTTGTATGATGTATCATTTAAACCAGTCCTTTATCATTGGTCACTGGTTGACCAACCTTTTGCAGTATAAAGCAGACTTTCTGTAAAGGGCTAAGCAATAAATATTTTAGGCTCTGTGGACCACATAGTCTCTGTCCCATATTCTTTTTTGTTTTTTCAATAACCTTTTAGAAATGTAAAAACCAGTCTTTGACCATGTGAAAACAGTCCCAGCCTCGATTTGGTCTGTAGGCTGTGGTCTGCTGCCCCAGAATAAATAGGGCTGTGAGGTAAGTCTGGGGCATGCATCTTATGTCTGTCTGCCTCTTTCCTCTGGATCAGTTCCTAGACATGGCATTATGGGTATTGAGTAATTGATGCTCCATTTTAAGGTTCTGGATAAATCCTATTAAATTACCTTGCAGAGAGGAATGCCAGTTGGCATCCTCACCATCCATGTTTGAAAATTCCGTTTCCCTAAGCAATTACCAAGGTAGAATATTTGCCTTTTTGTTGTTGTTGTTGCCATTTTGGGAGGAAATGGTATCTCGTTTAATATCCGATTGTCATTTCTTTTTCTTTTCTTTTCTTTTCTTTTTTTTTTTGGAGACAGAGTCTTGCTCTGTCCCCCAGGCTGGAGTCCGGTGGCACAGTCTCAGCTCACTGTAACCTCCACCTCCTGGATTCAAGCATTATATTTTCATTTCTTAAGTCGGATGCTGAATAGTATTTCCCACTAATAAGCTGTTTATATTTTTTATGAGCTGCTATTATGTCCTTTGCCCATGTTTCCATTGGGGATATTTGTTTTTCTTCTAGATTTACTAGAGTCCTTACAAGCAAAGTATGTGAAACTTTTTTCTTCAGTTTTTTAGCTATGCTGTAAATACTTTCTTTGTTTTGCATTTGCCGTCTTTAGTCGTTGTTCTATACAAGTTTGGTTTTTTTGTTTCACTGCTTGAGTTTTGTATGTTATGATATGCTTAAAGCAGCCTTCAGACCCCAAGATGGTCATCTACATTTTCTTCTAGTCCTATAATTCTCTTTTATGTTTAATTTTAATGCATTTGGAACACTGTGTTTTTCCAAATGGGTAGCCAGTGACCCACCAAATAACCCAGTTCTCTGTTGGTTTGAGAGGCCAGATTTGTCATACATTAGGCTTCTGGCAGGGTGAGTGATGGTGGCCGTGCCAAGCACTGAGGGGGAATGTGGGAGGGCTGGGCATTGCTTGTTGGTCTAGCTGTGGGCCACTGGGGTTGGGGGGAAGGGGCTACAGGCCTAATTCAGTTTGGAAAGTATGTATGTCAGAAGCCAGGTGCAGAGTTTTGCCCTCTGTTCTGGAACCACAGTTAAGAGGACCGTTGACAAAAGGAGGTATCTGTGTTAACATCAAATTATGGAAGGTGTGAAGGGGACAGGAGGAAGGGCGAATACCCGCAAGCCTTTGGGAGATGTGGTAGCACCAGGCTGCATGGTCATGTGTGAGGGCCTCCGCAGAAGGGGTACCTGCTTGGGAGGGAGAGTGAGTTTGCCAATTTTCTAGGTTCCTACAAAAACTGAGAGTTGGTGACTTGGCCTAGCACTAGCCTGCCACCATCCAGTGACCCAGAAGGGGGCACAGAGCCCTGCCCCTCATGGCAGTCTGACCTTCCCTCTGCAGCCCAAATGCCTCAGTAGAAGGGAAAGATGCAGTTCCTCCTTTCTATTAAATACATTCCCATTTATTTGTAGAAAAGCACAATGTGAAATTTATTTAAACTCATTCTGAACCTAAATTCTTTGTCCTCAGACACATGGATTTGCACAGTCAGTTTAATCAGTTTTTTGGAATCTACTGATTTTGTGGTATTTTGAAATTAGGAAGAATGCTCATTATAGTGTCGAAAAAGTATTTTTGCTTTATACAAATAAATAAAAAGATGAAACTATAAAAGTTTACTAGAAAGTTAAAGAGGATATTTGGATGGTGAAGTATTTTCTAAGTATGGCATCAAAGATAAAAATTTGATTACAAAAATAAACTCCTCAGAAAGCATCATAAATAAAAGTTAATAGCAGATGATACACAGGGAAAATGTTACCCATTTCACAAAGGTTTGATTCCTTTTTGAGATGACCTTTCTGATGAGATCCTGTGATTTGACACTTCTGCATATTAACCAAGGGGACCTTTCTGTGGGAGGTCCTGGAGAAGAGGCCCTCTCCCTTACTGCAGGTTGTGGTGGGGTTGGCGGGCGGGGTGTCACATCTTCTGAAGGACATGAGCAGTGTATCAGAAGCTAGGGTTTATGACCAGCAGATCCTCTTCCTGGGCTTCATCCTGAGGAAACATTTCACCCAGGATGAACCCTGCATTGATAGAGCAGGGTTGGGAGAAGAGGAAGCAACCTGAGGGCCCAGAGGTAGGGAAGTGCCTATTAAACTCGGGCAGGTGTACCATGGAATGCAGGATGCCATCTGAAACGATGGCAGAAATAACTAAAACATATGTAGCACAGCTTTCTTCTATAAAGAAAAATGAGTATGCTGCATGCACACTATGTGTGTGGCCTAGAAAAGAGGCATAAACACATGTACATCAGGTGTCACATAATTTCTGGGTAGCATTTTGATGGAGTGTATATATTCTTACATAAAAAACAAAAGTGAAAGACAGCAGAATTTATTAGATATTTACGTATGTTTCTTTTCATTTGTGTTGTCCTTTTCTCTCTGAGTATGGATTGCCTTTGTAACAGAGAAATCTGTTTGGTTTGGTTTGGTTTGGTTTTCTGGTTTGGAGGCAGGGACTCGCTCTGTCACCCAGGCTGGAGTACAATGGTGCGATCATAGCTCACTGCAGCCTACAACTTCTGAGCTCAAGTGATTTTCCCACCTCAGCCTCCTGAGTAGCTGGGACTACAAGCAGGAGCTACCATGCCCAGCTCTTTTTTTTTCCCTGGAGAGACAGGGTCTTACTATATTGCCCTGGCTAATCTTAAACCCTTGGCCTCAAGCAATCCTCCCACCTCGACCTCCCAAAGTGCTGAGATTTTTTTCTCCTGGGTATCTATCATTAATTATATTTTCTTCTTTTAGGTGGCCTCCCAAAGTGAGCCACCATGCCCAAACTAGAAAAATCTTAAAAGAACTTTATCCAAACATGCCAAGTCATAAATGATGTTGATATACTTTATCCCCACAAATTCATTTTCATTCTCTTTCTCTCCTTTAAATGTAAAGTGGACTAGGGCTTTCATCTAGGAAAACGTATGTGACAATAGCATCTTCAGAAAAATCCAGCAAATGGAACAGGCTGTTCTTGCAAGGAGCAGTAACTTTCAGCCATAGTAACTTGTATTGCAAAGGAATCTGGGGCTTCTGATTGGATTTGGACCCAGAGGATGTAGAACTATTCCTTAGAGTGCACTGTGGATACCTTCTGCAGTCCCAAACCCAGGGGGTGTGGGAGGTGACAGAGGTCCAGTCACCAGCACTGTCAGCCGGCAGGACACATGGGGCTTGTAGAGAGGTGCTCAGAAGCCCACGGGTAGACTTTGCTGCTGAGACTAGCCCTTGTGGATGCAGCGCATCAACACATGCCTCATGGGTGAGGTGAGCCAGTATTCAGGGTTGAACACGTGTTCAGCGAGTCAAACTGCACACTGAGTCAGCCATGAAACAAGCGTCTAGATAGGGGATGTGGTAAGGCTCTGGCCTGGAGATGTGATTTGCAGAGACTGTCGGCGTGATCTCTCTCATTGTCTCTGTGTTGCAGCCTCCCAAAGTGAAATGCCTGACCAAGATCTGGCACCCCAACATCACAGAGACAGGGGAAATATGTCTGAGGTGAGTTTATTGTCTTTTCTTTCTTCTACATTCGTGAGTGTCATGTGCAAGCGTTGGGCTTTTAAACATGTTGTCTCCTCTGAAAAGATTTTGAGGCATGGCCAAGATTAGGAAGGGCTTGAACTCAGCTGAAGTAGCTGCGGTTGCCTGCCTGCTCCCAAACCCTACCCTACCTTCTGCCTCCAGACGAGTGTCTTCTCTTGGCCCTCTGGGGGCCACAGCCCTACTAAGTTCTTAGTGCAGCCTCCTTGCCTGCCCAGGATGGACCCTTGGAGTCCCTTGCCTTGTTCCCCTCCTATTTACATGAGAGACCACATTCCCTCCATGTGGCTGATTTTAGCTAAGATGAGAAAATATGATTAATGATAGATACCCAGGAGAAAAAATGTAGATGGCAGGCTTGAGACGACCTTGGGCACTTGTATTTAAGCTGCCCTCTCTCTACCAAAATGGTCCTGATAGATGTCAGGGCACTTAGGGCAGGCAGCCTCTCGGAGCTTCATGCCTGCTGTGACTTGTGTCCCTGATCCCTGGCATGGGCAGAACGTCAGGCATCAGTGATTTCTCCTCCTAAGGCTGCTGGAAAAGTTGTGTAGGTGGATTGGTTGGTTTTTAAAGTAAGTTTCACATTTGGGCTTTATTTTTTCTGCACTTTGTCCCTTTCATCACTTTAAGGCAGCAAGGTTGATTGCAGGGGCTTTGATATCAGACCACCTGGACCTGAGTCCAGCTCGCCGCCCCCGCCCCCACCCCTGCCCGGCTGCCCGGGGCAGCTGTGGGACTTTAGGCTAGGTATTTGAACTGTATGTGCCTCACACTCAGCCAGTTTGGAAAGTAGGCACAAAGTGTTTTCTTAGCACATTTCTCCTACTTTTGACATGAAATGCAATTAGTGGCCTAAGTCATTTCTCATGCTCAACTTCCGTATCTCTTTTCTTTCATTCCTCTCTCCTTAGTAAACACTAATCACCTTTGAAAGGAAATGTGTAAACTGTGGCTGCTGGAAATCTTACCTCAGGATCCCTTTCTCTTTTTTTTTGAGATGGAGTCTCGCTTTGTTGCCCAGGCTGGAGTGCAGTGGCGCGATCTGAGCTCACTGCAAGCTCCGCCTCCCAGGTTCACGCCATTCTCCTGCCTCAGCGTCCCGAGTAGCTGGGACTACAGGCGCCTACCACTACGCCCGGCTAATTTTTGTATTTTTTAGTAGAGACTGGGTTTCACTGTGTTAGCCAGGATGGTCTCAATCTCCTGACCTTGTGATCTGCCCGCCTCGGCCTCCTAGAGTGCTGGGGTTACAGGTGTGAGCCACCGCGCCGGGCCGGATGCCTTTCTCTTCACAAGTACAGTTAGTGCCCATTTGCCCATTTCATTTTTGTATATACTGCTCCTTCTTCAATATCAGCCTCGTTTTTCACAGATGGTTAAAAATACATTTTACCAGACATACCTTTTTAAAAAAGCATCTTCCCTTTGAAGTATCTGTCCTTTACGTATTGAAACATTAAAATTCCACTATCTTTGGTTGCAGGTTATAAATGTGTTTGGCCCAGGCCCCCACTGCCCCGCTTCCTCCTGTGCTTGTGAGGACACCTGGCTCACTTTCTGGGGGGCCATACTCTACTTCCCTGTCTTGTCCCTGCCTTAGTCAGAAATGGGTCCAGAATAGGAAGCTCTCTTGTCCCTTTTGCCGTCTTCTGGGAAGTCAGATGATTAGCAAAGCCTTATAAGGATGAACAGATGGTATCCTGATATAAAAGCCAGACGTCTTAAGGAAAAAGATTGTCAGATTTGACCATGTAAAAATTAAAAACACAAAATGGAAGAAGAAATGATCAACTGGATTAACATCCTTGGTATGTAAATAGTCCTTACTATTCATTATAAAAAAGACGGATACTTCTCTGGAAAAATGTGGCATTGGCTACAAATAGGTGATTCATAAAAGGAGAAATAGAGGTGGGCAGTAAATATCTGAGGAGATGTTCACTCTCATCAGTAACCAGAGAAAGGCGCAGAAGACCATGAAGTGTGGCTTACCACTCACCAGATTGGCAGGCACAAAGGTAGATACTTGGTGGCTGGGGGAGGAGTGTGTGACAGAGAGCGAGCAGGCTCTCTTGTTGGAGGGTGTGTGTATTTGCACACCTTTCATTGGTCCTTCAGCCACGTAGACTACCTGTAACTCGTATGTACCCTTGGACTTGTCAGCTGCACTTCTAGGGATTTAATCTAAGGAAATAATGTGCCAGATTGATGTACGGGGACCACCTTGTTAGTGAAAAGCAGACAGTGTCCAGTGGCAGCTTTATGGTGTGTCCCGAATAAAGGGAAGGAAAAGCCCAACCGCACCTCTGGTTTGTGGTGACGCTGACAGCAGCTCATCAGCCCTTCCCACAGCAGGACTGATGGGTGCCTGGGGCTCCACAGGCCTTTCAGTGCTGGCACACAGGAGCACCTTCCTCTTTTAGAGAGATTTGCCCTGGCTCCACCTTGTTGTCCCGGCAGGGACCCTTCGCCTGCTCTGGCACAAGGTCAGAGGCTCCATGTCTGTGGGATTGGAGGGCCTAGGTCAAGAGCTCAGTCAAAGCTTCTCCTAGAGTCCAAGCTTCTATTACAGTTCGTGGGGTGTCCTTTGTCTCCTTGCTTAATGACATCTCTGATAGCCAAGTGTCTCTGTCTCCTGAGCTGTTGCTGGGACTATCCTCTGTGAGGCCAGGCTAGAACTTCCTCAGTGACTGGAGGCACTGCACCCCTGATGGGCCTCACTGCTGCCCAGACCAGTGGCCACCACATGCTGGGGCCGGCCTTGCCTCCCCATTACCTGCCCCAGCCAGATGCAAAGCCCTCCTGCTCTGGCTGTGCTGTTAACAGCAAAGCTCAGGGTGAGCTTCCTTCTCCTTCATTCAGCTAATGTTGATTGAGCTTAGGCACTGGCAGAGGAATTAGCATTCCCTGCTTTTATGGATGAAACAGGCATTCAACAAATAAATGACAAATATATAACTGAAGGTTGCATTAAGATCTATATAAGAAAATGATTAGCTAGATCAGAAATAATTCCTCCATTCAACAAAATATAGCCACTAGGATTTGACTTCATTCCCAAAAAAGTTATTCAGAAGTTGACAATTCAGATCCACAAGTCACCAATACCTCTGTAGGGTAGAAAGACGTCCACCCAGTTGGTAGGATACATGATTTGAGTTTTCCTTTTTTCTTTTTAAGGCTAAAAGTAAATTTTAATGGTCAATTTAAGGTTAGTTATCTGTTTTTTTTAACTGCTCTTCACAGACAATTAAGATTATAGCTTTGATTCAAACTCTACATATTTTTCTCCTGATCTGAATTGACTTTTGTGAATTTAAACATGCTCTAATTCAAAAAAGTTTATCAGAGGTAACAATTATGGATAAAGCCTGATATTTTATTTACAGATCAAAGCCACAGCACAATAATTCAACAAATACAAAAGTAATTTTATCTCCAGAAGGAAGCTTGGCAATAAATTATACTTTTTTCAAAGTATGGAATGATCATTTAATCCTTTTAAAATTATTTAAAATTTTTTTTTTACTTTTTAAGATTATTGGGAAAATGCTAATCTTCTCTGTATCATCCCAATTTGAGCATATGTGCTGCGGAAGTGAGCACTGGAATGATCATTTCCATGAGAGTATATGGTGTGCCTTTACAGCTGATAGACAGTAATGACCAGGACTCTCAGGTACCAGCTTCAGAAACAGGGCTTCATCAGACCTCTGAATCCTGGTGTGCCTTCCCTGAGCATGGGCCCCCCACCTAAGGAGTGATTGATACTCAGAATTTTGCATTAATCTTTTATCCTCAAGCTTTTTCTTTTGAACTTTAAAAAAATAAAAAAAAAAACCCAGTTACGGCTGGGCGTGGTGGCTCACGCCTGTAATCCCAGCACTTTGGGAGGCCGAGGCGGGCGGATCACGAGGTCAGGAGATCGAGACCATCCTGGTTAACACGGTGAAACCCCGTCTCTACTAAAAATTCAAAAAACAAAATTAGCCGGGCGTAGGTGGTGCATGCCTTGTAGTCCCAGCTACTCAGGAGGCTGAGGCAGGAGAATGGCGTAAAACCGGAGAGGTGGAGCTTACAGTGAGCCGAGATCGTGCCACTGCACTCCAGCCTGGGAGACAGAGAGAGACTCCGTCTCAAAAAAAAAAAAAAAAACCCAGTTATTAAAATGTCATATGCTGGGAGCTCCCATTGTTGTTAACCTGCATCAGCAGTGTTTCAGAATGTCGGTGCCCGTGAGCTGCCTGGGTTGGAAGAACAACATTGTTCATGAGGCGTGTGCCCTTGGGCGTGTCTTCTCTGTGCCTTGGTTTCCTCCTGTATAAGACAGGGAAACAGGGATGCTCTCTTCACGGGTGGTTATAGGCATTAAGTGAATTTAATGGCACAGCACCTAGGATTGTGCCTGACATACACATAATAAGCTCTAAGCTTCAGTTACTCCTGTTGTCATGTTGTCATTTTGTTGCCATTGTCATTTTCTTTCTTTCTTTCTTTTTTTTTTTTTGAGACAGGGCCTCACACTATTCCCAGGCTGGAGTACAGGGGCGCCATCACAGCTCACTGCAGCCTTGAACTTCTGGACTCAAGCAGTCCTCCACCTTTGGGAGTACAGGCGTGCACCACTATGCCTGGCTAATTTTTAATTTTTAGTAGAGACAGGGTATCACTGTGTTGCCCAGGCTGGTCTCAAACTCCTGGACCCAAGCTATCTTCCCACCTTGCCTCGGCCTCCCAGAATGCTGAGATTACAGGCATGAGCCACCATACCCAGCCACCATTGTCATTTTCTGAATATTAAATTGACAAATGTTCTTTGTGTGTTGTTTTAAACATGCTCTTCCTCAGCCTAAAACTTCCATGTCAAGTATTACAACAAATAGATAAACATAACACAAGACGTTATAATTGAATATGTATATAACCTTGGAGGTGGAAATGCCTTCCTCAGCAAGAGAAAACTGAGAAGCCACAGAGGAAAAGATGGGTTTAATAAAAAGTAGAGCTCCTGCATGGCACACACCGAGAGGACTAGTTGGCAGCGTGCAGGGCACCTGTGGCTGCTCCTCACTAACCACTGTGTGTTTGTCTTTTTCAGTTTATTGAGAGAACATTCAATTGATGGCACTGGCTGGGCTCCCACAAGAACATTAAAGGTAGAGTCTGTGCCTTGATCTTGATCATAAGTTGTCCCTGTGGTCCTCTCCCTGCAGTAGCCAGCCTCCCGAGAAAGCAGCACATGTCCTTGCCTGTCACATCCACACCAGTGGCCGGACACACCCTGCCTCCTCTTCTCCCTGCTGCCTAGGCTACTTAGCCAGTCACTGACCTCGGTCAGTTTGGGCCGGATGAGCATCCTTGTTGACTTTGCCAGGCACCATTCTAGAACCAGAGATAGGAGCCCAAACTGCAGGCTTCACAGCCAAACCACCCGCCACATAGGAAACCTCATGGCCATCATTCATTCAACAGGGATGTCTTGAGCTTTTCTGGCCACTAGGTGTTGGAGGAGGAGCAGCAAATTGATGTGCAAACCACTCCCTATGGCCAGAGAAGACTGTCAGGTGTTGGGTACCTAACATCAGGCAGGGACCCTAGGGGAACAGCACAGGAAGGGGCTTTTGGCCCTGGCCCTGCATAAGGGAACACTGCAGACTGCATGCAGTCCTGACCCAGCTCCTCCGAGCTGTAGTCTCTGCCACCATGGGCAGCCCACCCAGCCTTTTCTTAGCCTCTCCCCACGCTCTAGAAATGTCCTGCCCTCTCAGAACTTTCCCTCTGCAGGTCGTGCCTCTACCTGGAAGGCGGCCCTCTCCTCCAGCCCTCTCCCTGGCAGACTCCTGCTCCCCTGGGGCTCAGATGGCTGTCATTGCCTCTGGAGCCTCTCCTCCCAGGGTGGGTGCTCTGGGGAACACGTCTCATGAACAGTGCTGGCCTGCTGACCTGCCCATCTGTACATCCCCCTTCCTCAGGCTGAGGGCTCACCTTCACCCACACTCCAACCCTAGGCCTGGCTCACATCGGAAGGTCAGGGATGGGTGGGTGGATGGATTGATGGACTAGAGAAAACAGAGAAAGGCAAATAAAATTACCAACTAGCAAAAAGTAGGGGAGGAGCATGAGAACAGGCCTAAAAAGGACGAAACTCTTGAGTTGATGAAGAGGAAAATGGAGAATGAATTTGTGATTCACAGATGGCAGGTCAGTACAGATAGAACAACTCTGGCTTTCAGTTTTATTTAATGAAAATCTCTGATCCTTGAATTGTGAATCTTCTATGATTCTTTAAATAACTAATGCAAAATCATTAAGAAAACTTAATAGGATGAGGGGTAATTAACTTATCTACGACCGCAAGAGGCAGTAGATGTAAAAACAACAGACTTTATTTTGAAGGTGACTTTTTAGAAGTCAGAACCATATTTGGTGGTAACAAGTAAGAGGTGATTTAAGGTGGAGCCCCTATGCAGACACTGGCCTGCGGGCCCTGTCGTGCAGGATTGGGCTTGTCAGGTCTGACTGGGAGGGTGTCTGATGCTATCTTTGATTTTATATTCACTACCTGAGACTGCTCATATCTTTGAATTTTCCAGAGTTTGTTGTTACACTTGAAGAGAAGTTATTTTAATTTTCTATCTTGAGAAAAACAAACCATGCTAAAGACAGGTTTTGATACAGTGCAAAGCATATTTCTTGATCATGGGTTTAAAAGACTAGGTGCACTTTGGCTTAAAACTTGTTTTCTGTTTTCTTTTTTATTTCAGGATGTCGTTTGGGGATTAAACTCTTTGTTTACTGTAAGTACAGTGATCAAAATCCCAAGTTATTCTCAATTTCCTTGTTGCTGGTTTTAGACATTGCGTTAAGACATGGTTTTAACACAAAACCATGTTAAAAAATGAAACATGGACTGGGCACAGTGGCTCACGCCTGTAATCCTAGCACTTTGGGTGGATCCCCACTTGAGTCCAGGAGGCCCAAACCCCATCTCTACAAAAAATAGAAAAATTAGTTGGGCATAGTGGCACATGTCTGTAGTCCCAGCTGCTTGGAAGGCTGAGGTGGGAGAATTGCTTGAGCCCAGGAGGCAGAGGTTGCAGTGAGCTGAGATTGCACCACTGTACTCCAGCCTGGGCGACAGAGACTCTGCCTCAAAAAACAGATACACACAAAAACCCCCCAAAAACATGCTGGCTGGGCATGGTGGCTCACACCTGTAATCCTAGCACGTTGGGAGACTGAGGCAGGTGGATCACTTGAGCCCATGAATTCAAGACCAGCCTGGGCAACATAGCAAGACCTGTCTCTAAAAAAAAATAATAAATTAAAAAATAGCCCACCGTGCAAACAGTTACATAGTTACCCCTTTTTTCTATTGCTCTTTTATGAGTCAGAAGTAGAACAGTGAGGTGGGGAATGAGGGGACTTTGGAGTGACATGTGGGGAGGTTGTCTGGGGCAGGGGCCACAGCAGTCTCACTTCTGCCCTGCTGAGGTGGCTGACCCCGGTTTCTAGGGGATGAGGCTGGTTCCACTTCCCTTAGCCCCTTCCAGCAGGGTGGCTGTTACTCTGGGGTCACTTGGCCCAGTCCACTTCTGTGCCTGTGGCTACACTAGCCAGCCCAGGGAGTGGCCCTGTCACCTCCCAGGTGTTCTGGTTGGGGTGGATGATTTTGTGGTTACCCAGCCTTGAGGGCTTTTCATGAGTCCAGAACCTCAGAGTTGTTGTCTTTTTGTCAGTGATGAGCTGCTGAAGTTTGCTGTTCTCAGGAAATAGCATTTCTCAGACAATGGCCCTAGGGCAGGAAGAGGCTAAATGGACTCAGCCAAAAGCTGTTGGTTGGATTTTTTTTATACGATATTATACGTTCCTTTGAATTTTTACTTTTCGATTCATAAAGGCGCTTTTAAAGAAATAAGCTTCAGAGATCTGTTTGTGAAAAAATAGTTTTTGCTACTTTTGATAAAACCTAAGGTGCCTCTATGATCTTGGATGGTCCACCCAGGCCAGTGGGCTGTTTTATGAGCATCCTCCTGGCCAGGTGTCATGTGGGTCACTAGCTGTTGCCTACAGCAGAGGCACCTGCAGGACTCAGTTAAACTAGGGGCGGGTCTGCTCTTACTTGTCCTGTCATCTGAGGGCACAGTGTTCTTATCTTCAGCAAAAGCAGAGCCTCAAACTAAACTGAGTCCCTGCCCACCTTTTGTCTTTCTGTCAGATGTTAGCTGGTGAATGTCTATCACACAAGCAGAGAAATCAAGCACTTCCAGTGATTTCAGGATCTCCCTGAATCTCCATGGGAGGTCATACCTGATGGACACCTGGACTTGACAGTTTCTGCTGGTCTTAGCCACTTTGTTCTGCTTCTGTCTTTGGCTTTTTCATTGAAGTGAATGAAGTTTTATTTCTGGAGCCTAATTTGAAATCTGTCTGGCAGTTGTGCTGCATTGTAATATTGAGCCTTGGCATCTCCAGATTTGATTGAGAGAGCCAAAGCTGTGAACTCAGGCCCTTCTAGGGGCCCATATGCCGTCATTGTCATCAGCCACCATAATTTTTTTCTGGAGCCCACCATGTCTGTCCCAGGCTCCTTGGCTCTGAATAGGTTTTAACTGGCAACTTGCTGCAGGGGAATTAATGGGAGGAAAGAAACACTGGCTCCTTGGACTTAAAAAAAAAATTGTTGGCTAGGCGCAGTGACTCACGCCTGTACTCCCAGCACTTTAGGAGGCGCTGAGGCCAGCAGATCACCTGAGGTCAGAAATTGGAGACCAGCCTAGACAATATGGTGAAATCTCACCTCTACTAAAAAAAAAAAAAATTAGCCAGGCGTGGTGGCGGGCGCCTGTAATCCCAGCTACTTGGCAGGCTGAGGCAGGAGAATCGCTTGAATCCAAGAGGTGGAGGTTGCAGTGAGCCGAGATCACGCCATTGCATTCCAGGCTGGGCAACAAGAGCGAAAATCCGTCTCAAAAAAAAAAATTTTTTTTTAAGAAATCTGCTACAGCCACACTAGCTCCCCATCTCTCAGTGCTCTAAGTAAATTCTAAAAGAGCCAATCAAAATTGCTAATTAAGTCTGTAATGGTTATTCTGATCAACTCATTTATCTTAGGTCTAACATATAGTAAAGAAGATAAGAAATTCTGTGTGTCTGATAACAGTCTTTATCTAATATGTACTTTATATTTTTGCCTTTTTCTAGGACTTGGAATCTGATTTTCCAACTGTGAATGACTATAGAGATTTACAGTTTTTCTTTGCTATTTTGTAACATTTTAATGGTCACAGCCATATTAATCTCCAGGAACATAGTCCCCAAATTTAACATCATTCCTGAAGAGAAATATGGTTGTCTTGACAATGATCCATCCTACAGCCTGCGTTGGAAAGCCATGACTCATCATAAGGACAAATTGAGGCCCCCTGATTTTTTCTTTTTTTTTTTGTTTTTGAGACCGAGTCTTGCTCTGTCACCCAGGCTGGAGTGCAGTGGCGCCATCTTGGCTCACTGCAACCTCTGCCTCTGGGTTCAAGCAATTCTCCTGCCTCAGCCTCCCGAGTAGCTGGGATTATAGGCATGCGCCACCATGCCTGGCTAATTTTCGTATTTTTGGTAGAGACGGGGTTTCACCATGTTGGCCAAGCTGGTCTCGAACTTGTGACCTCTGGTGATCCTCCCATCTCAGCCTCTCAAAGTGCTGGGATTACAGGCGTGAGCCACCGTGCCCAGCCAGGCAAGCCCCCTGATTCTCAACAAGAGGGCTGAGCAGTGTGAAGATAAGATGCGGCTTTGGTCCAAAGTCCAGAGTGCTTCTTGGGGCTGAGGGGCGTAGCCATTGCAGTGCTTTTCCAGGGGAGAATGGGTTGGGCTCCCTCTCCTGAGTCGGGGGACATGAGCCTAGCGACACTGCTGTGCAGTTTGCTCGGGTTCTAGACATCGTCCCTATTGGCTGTGCATGGGAGGCTTGGTGAAGCAGAGAAAGGAAAGTCCAGGGAAGGGGCCCAAAAAGTCAAAACTGTTAATCACAAAACAAAAGAAAAAGTGAATTTTTATGGAAAAGAAGGGGATTTTTATTTGGAAATGCTTAATAATAGTGGTTTTCATTCTCCAGTTATCACAAATAGCATTAGAAATGAATGCGATTGCAATTTACTCCATCTTCACCAAACTTTGTAGAACTACATGTCAACATATCTCTGACTTCTTTCAGTCAGTTGTCAGTCACCATTTTGAAAAAAATACCCACATGTTCGATATTTTGGTATCACAAGCACTTGAGTTCTTAGTGGGATTCTCAGCTCTCCAGTTTGGTCTGCCATTTGCTAATTAGACTTCTCTTACTGTGCCATAAAATGAAGACTTTAACAGCAGAAAAGCAGTTCTCCCAATGTTTACTTTAAGTTTCTCTCTTTTTAAGGATCTTTTGAATTTTGATGATCCACTGAATATTGAAGCTGCAGAACATCATTTGCGGGACAAGGTGAGCCAGTAACAGGCTTATTCTAGGTTGATGTACTTGTCACGAACACGATTACTACTGTCTCTTGATTGGATAAATGAGAAATTTATCCACCAAGAGAGTGGTGGGATGCAAGGCTGGAATTCAAAGCAATTTGTAAACAATATGGTATAGTAAATGTGTGTAACCTCAGGAAAATGCTTTACCCAAGGTTGGAGAGAATTGGTGTGTGTTTGTTTTTTTGTTTTTTGTTTTGTTTTGTTGGTTTTTTGAGACAAGATTTCACTCTGTCACCCAGGCTGGAGTGCAGTGTTGCAGTAGTGGCTCACTGCAGCCTCCACCTTCTGGGCTCAAGTGATCCTCCCTCTTCAGCCTCCTGAAGTAGCTAGGACTACAGGTGCATGACACCACATTCAGCTAATTTTTTTACTTTTATTTTTTGTAGAGATGGAGTCTCGCTTTGTTGCCCAGGCTGGTCTTGAACGGTTGGCCTCAAGCAATCCTCCTGCCTTGTCCTCCCAAAATGCTGGGATTACAGGCATGAGCTACGGCGCCCAGCCGAGAAGTGATTTTTTTTTTATGTGATTTCCTAGTAGAATTTAGTATGAGTAATTTAAAACAGGTATAGCACTAGCATGGTGGCGTTGTGATTACACCTGTAATCCCAGCCTTTGGGAGGCCACTGTGGGCAGATTGCTTGAGCTCAGGAGTTTGAGACCAGCCTGGGCAACATGGCAAAACTCTGTCTTTACAAAAATTAGCCAGGCATGGTGGCACACGCCTGTGGTCCCAGCTACTCAGGAGGCTAAGGTGGGAGGATTGCTTGTGCCCGGGAAGTTGAGTGAGCCAAGACTGTGCCACTGCATTCCAGCCTGGGTGACAGAATGAGACCCCATCTTTAAATACATAAATAAGTAAATAGTAGGAACAGAGAAGGAGAATGGACGGTGTCACACCCACTAGCACCCTCCTGACCCCCAGCGGCCCACCTTATCCTTCCACACCTTTTGTTGAGCTCATACACATTCATACACACTTGACTTTGATTTTTACCCAAAAATAATGAGATCCTATTCATTACTGTTTTTAATTTTTATTTATTTATTTAATTTTTAGGACAGCACCCTGAGCTTGTCAAGGTTCAGAGAGCTCCCCCTATTCATTATTTTTAATCTTCAATTCCACTTCTAAAAATTTTTTTCCTCTAATGCAGTGCATAAATGATCAGTCATTCATTTCAGGAGCCACACTGAGGTCTTCCAGTAAGACACCTATTTAAGGAAGACCGTTTACCTAGAAACAATATATTAAAACTCACTGGGAAGAAAAAGGTATAACAAAACCCAAGCTGAAAGAATTATAGTTGCTGAATGTCACCTTTCCACTGTGCTTGAGTAGCAAGGCAGCAGTGGTTTTAACTGTCTGATAAAAGAAAGCATACAAGCCTTGAGGAGGGGAAGTGCTGTCAGGAAAGGGGGTCTGAAATGACTTTACCATTGGCCCAGTGCAAAGCACATGGAGCAGGAGCCTGCAGAGGCAGGCCATGTGTGGCTGGCGTCGAGGTAGCTCAGCTTAGGCCAGGGGCTCTGGCTGGATTTGGTGGTAGAACCTCGCACTCCGTTTTCTGAACCAGATTCCCTATGGCAGCCTTGCCACTGTGGCAGTCAGTCAGCCACTACTGTTCACTTGGCTGAAGTTGCTTTTTTTTTTGAGACAGAGTCTGTTACCCAGGCTGGAGTGCAGTGGTGCAGTCTTGGCTCACTGCAACCTCTATCTCCCGGGTTCAGGCAATTCTTGTGCCTCAGCCTCCTGAGTAGCTGGGACTGTGGGCATGCGCCACCACACTGGGCTAATTTTTGTATTCTTAGTAGTAGAGAGGGGGTTTTACCATGTTGCCCATGCTGGTCTCAAACTCCTGGCCTCAAGCAACCCACCCGCCTTAGCCTCCCAAAGTGATTACTGCACCCGACCTGATGTAGCTTTGAACACAGTTCTAAAACCCCTCTAGCTAGTTCTAGACATCGTGCTGAATGTTTAGCGCCTTGGCTTCTGTTAATGTTAGTTAGACCTACTGTGTGCCGCGACCAAGTAGGGCATTTGAAATGTGCCCTGCCAAGTCCTCGCTACAGTCTTGAGCTCAGGAGGTGCTGCCTGACCATGGCCCCAAAGAGTGGGCAGGAGCACCTCCGACAGGGAGGCAAGAGAAGTGCCACCCAGCATGCATCCTGCTCAGACTCACAAAACAAGTGGCAGGCATGGTGGGCATGGGGAGTGGTGCAGTGCAACCAGGCGGGCAGAGCAGGCCATCTTCTGAGGCTGGTGTGCTGCCAAGGAGGCAAGCTCTGTCCTGAGGGCTGGAGCAGCAGGGGTCCTCAAGAGAAGTAGCAGGGGTGTGAGGCAGCCCTGTGCTCACAGCTCCCCATGGGGGCAATCAGTCCCCGACCCCTGCCATCCGTCGGTGGTCCTGATGGGCTTGTGTTGTCTGGTAAAGCCTTGGGCTTGGTACTGCGCTGACAAGCCCTGGGCAAATGTGCCCCTTGGCCCACCCCTTGCAGGCATTCATGGCGGCACTCCTGTCTGCTGTCGTTGGCGAGGACTAGCCCTTGTGGACCAAGCCTTATCAGATAGAAAGTGATGGCAATAGGGGTACTCCCACAGCTCCAGGTGGAGAGATGTCTTCCATTTTACCTTTCTTTGTATGAAACAAGATTTCATATTCCTGATTTGTATAAAATAGGACTTTGCAACTGGTACACTTTTAGCCCCAGTAAAATGGACCTAAAATCTCCAAACAGTGGTGCCTCCACATGAAGCCTAAGCAGTGCCGCCCCATCCCCGTCTCCGTGCGGAGTCATAGTCACAGCTGGTGAGCACCGCATCCTTATGTCCACTCGTTCATCACTTATTTGGCTGGTGACCACTTATGTGCCAGGGGAGGTGCAAAGTGCTCAGGATGACTGTGGGAATGACAGTCCTTGTCCCTGTGGCGCACACATTCCGGCAGGAGGAGGCGGAGCATAGGTGAACAAACACGGCCAGACACCGTGGCTCACGCCTGTAATCCCAGCACTTTGGGAAGCTGAGGCAGGCAGATCACCTGAGGTCAGGAGTTCGAGACCAGCCTGGCCAACATGGTGAAACCCCATCTCTAGTAAAAATAAAAAAATTAGCCGGGCATGGTGGCAGGCACTTGTAATTCCACCTACTTGGGAGGCTGAGTCAGGAGAATCACTTGAACCCAGGAGGCGGAGGTTGCAGTGAACTGAGATCACGCCATTGCACTCCTGCCTGGGCAGCAAGAGCGAAACTCCATCTCAAAAAAATAATAATAATGAAAATTAAAATTTAAAAAAATAGGTGAACAAACACAGCATGTGAGGTGGAGAGGGGGCCACAGAGGGCCGGGTGGTGAGAGAGGAGCGCTCCAGAAAACCTTGGCTGGCAGTGCAAAGGCCCTGAGGCAGGAATGTGCTGTGGAGCTCAGGGCAGAGAAAAGAGGCCATTATGACTGGTGCACATCAGAGGAATGGAATAGTAGGAGCCAGGCACGCTTCCATGCACTTGACACAGAGTGCACTTGTTTCTCACAACAGCCCCTTGGGGCAGATACCATCATGATCCCTGTTTTGCTGCTGAGGACACAGCTGCCAAGAAGCTGAGAATCACCATGATTGAGTAGCCCATTGGAGGCAGAGCCCAGGACTTGGACCCACCTCCTTCTGGCTCCAGAGTCTGTGGTTTTCACTTGGGCCCTGTGCTTTGTGTCCCTTGCAGTAGGAGAGGAGGAGGGAGGCAGCAGAGGCTGGAGCATGGGGCCTGCTGGAGCATGGAGCCTGCTGCAGGCATGGACGCCGGGCTCTATGCTGGCTGAGGTGAACAGGGAGACTAAGAGTACATGGCATCTTTTGTCCTCCAGAACATGGAGAGGCAGGGGGCATTTATGGGGTCTTCATTTTACATCCTGTAAGCTTTTGCAGGGTCCTTGTGAGCTGCCAGTATTGTCTGGCTCTGGGGATTGTGGAAATGGCCTTGAGAAGGTTTTGTAAAAGGGCAGGCAGGGTTTCTGCACAGTCCCCCTTTGTTGCGGGGTAAAGGCCCATGTGGGAGGCTCCAAACGCCATCCTGTAGACAAATAGGGCGGTTGGCAGGGCAGAGGCACCTGGGTAGACTCAGAGCACTCCACTTTCTCACCCTGAGACCAGAGCAAGTCATGGGACCGTATCCATAGCTTCAAATTGGGAACTTGCCCGCCCTGGAAAGGGTCGCTGTGCTAACTAAAAGTGTGGCAGGAGGGCAGGCACCTGGTGCCCAGCTGGCCAGGACCATGCTCCAGGCAGGATCTCCCTGCAAGAGGGCATCGCGGCAGCAGCGAGGTATACATCGAGTGCCAGGTTATACCCTGCACATTGCCAGGTGTCGGGATTATGCAGTGGAATCAGCAAACAGGTTAGACTGAGGCTTAGACAGGAGGACTGAGGCTTAGCTAAGGAAATGGAGCTCATGCCCACTAAGAACTATGGTAACTGTGCTGTGTTCCCTGGGCAGTGGGGGCTGCATGGCATTGATGGGACCGAAGCAGTGTGATCCTGCAGGGACATCTGAGACCCAGCAGCTGTGTTGTAGGAGTGAGAGGGTTAAGAGCTCCAAGTCATTCTTACGGCTCATACAGTCCCATGGGATTTTACTCCTAACCTTGGGGAGACCAGATCCAGGGACAAACCTGACAGTGGCCCAGATCCGAGAAGATTGTTCCACCCATACTGGCCTGGGGTGATTCCTAGGTCCACACCGCCTTTGGTCACTGTCCACCTTCATTTCAATGCATGAGGATGGAGCTCTGTGGCACACCCAGCTCTCTTCTGGGCAGGGTGGTCATCCTGCCCAGAAGAGATGGGGGCCTGTACATGGGCTGTGAAGAGCAGGCACATTTTAAGTAGGTAGCAGCATCCAGGGAAATCATTCTAGGAAGACAAATCCAGAAACAAGGGTCTTCCTGAGAGCAGCAGCTGTGGCTCACATCCATTGTGGCCAAAGGAGTCTTGGCTTTGTGACCTCGACCACACTTTTCTGGGCTCCACTTTCCCCATCTGGAAAATGAGAAGGGATAGGTACCCCCTTAGGGTCCCTTCCACTCAGGCCTTCCACGTGCTCCCCCCTCAACATACCCAGCACTGTGTCTTGCGTGCAGTAGGCACCCAGGTCGTGGCGAAATGGCACTCAGACTCCGCAAGGTCCCAGTCCTTCTACCACCTTGGCGACCACAGGGGACCTTGGTGCTGGTGGATCTGACTTGTCCCTGAAGCGCTGCTTCACTCACTCACTCACTCCTCCTGTTCTTCTTTCTGTCCCCAATGCTGTTACTCCACAGGAGGACTTCCGGAATAAAGTGGATGACTACATCAAACGTTATGCCAGATGATAAAAGGGGACGATTGCAGGCCCATGGACTGTGTTACAGTTTGTCTCTAACATGAAACAGCAAGAGGTAGCCCCCTCTCCCGTCCTCATGCTCCCTCTCAGTCCCCTGGATTGCCCCAGTCCTGTGACCATGTTGCCCTGAAGAAGACCATCTTCATGACTGCTCATTGTAGATGGAGAATTCAACATAAATACAGCAAGAAAATGTGTTTGGGCTTCTGAAGAGTTGTCTGCTTACCTTAACATGTTTACTTTTTTGAACTTGTACTGTATAGGCTGTTGGTGAAATTCTTAAGAAGTTGTAATGAACTCAAAATTGAGGCCAGAGCTTGCTTTCCCTTTTCCCAAACAAAATTGGTTTTCTGCACAAGCGATGCTAATGATGTGTTCAGTGTAACTCGCAGATTGGCAATAAGATACCCGCTACAAACTGTGATTGGATGCAAAATCTCTTAGCTTCTTTCACGAATGTTGGCCCTGCCTAGATGTTGTGAAGCCTCCCAGAATGCATAGAGTCATTCACTGTAGATCTCTTATTGAAATGCGTATTTTATTTAATGTAAGTATATTTTGGAACAGATTTGTAATTTGTACAATTCAATGCTTTAATTATTTTTTCTATTCTCATTTAGTTTGTATTTTCATTGTATAGAGCAGACAGAAAGATGTTGGGTCAAGCAACTATTGAAGAGAAATACAAAGAAAATATGAAAGGCACATTATTCATTTTGTCCAAATGCAATGAGAATCTCACTCTTAAAAATCAGCTCTTGCTTTCGGGTCCGGATGTGGTGAGCACATTTTGGAGCCCTTTGAAGCTAGATTTGGATGATCAAAACAAAAAGGCAGGGAGCCCATTCTAACATGCTGCCCAGAGGAAACTGGCTGGAGCCTGGACCAGCTGGGGTTGATGCTTTTGCAGTGGTCATGTGATTGTGACCTGGTAGCTACTTATCAGAGAGCCAGACCCTGCTGTCCTGGGAGACAGGAGCGATGCCTCAGGAATCAGCCCAATGTCTGATGTCACTGAGACTGTACCTGTGGCCTTCTTCTGAGTTTGCTATGGCTCCAGGCCCTGCCGGTGGGGTGAGCCTCCTAGGCCTTGGAGGACCAGGAGTCAACAGTGGCATATGCCATCCTCGGCCAGGTTAATATACTGCAGAGGAAAAGCCCTGAAGAGAGGCAAGTGGATTTACTCCAGCATGTAGACATTTGAACCAGTGAAATCAAACACAAAATAAATGTCTGTCTAGTTTCATTTGCTGCCTGCCTAACACTCTCAAACTTAACTGCCAGCTTCCTTAGACCTCTGGATTCCCCCATCTGCCATCTACTGGGTTTAGTTTGTTTTTCTTAATTTATAGAATCTCTGATTGTGAGATCAGTCTGTCACGGAGACCCAGCAGGTGAGGAATGTAGGCCTTGCTTCCTCTTTGCACCCATTAGACTTGAGGGTGGCCCCTGGCTAACAGGCCACACAGAGCAGGAAGGGTGAGATTGGTTAAAGAGAATGATGGCATCTCAGGAGCTCAGGGCTTGTCCAGGAGACACATTAATCCCCACCTCTCAGGGCCTGGGAGAGGGAGGTACTGCAGCTTCACACTTTTCCTCTGCCTAGTGTCAGAGGAACTTGCCAGCTGAGCACTAGGCTTCCTCTCTAGGCAGGGCAGGAGGCCAGCAGCTAATTCCTGCCCCCTCTGACCCAGGAAATGAGGTTCTCTGCTTGGTGCCAGTCCCAGGCCCAAGTCAGGGCACATCCCATAGTAGTTGTTCGGGCTCCCTGGAGTTCCCCAGCTGGTGGTGCAGGTGTTGATGCAGGACTTTTCAGAAGAGCGCTTCTGTGGGAGAAACGCCTGCTGTCCAGTGGAAACGTTTATGCAGTGTACATGAAAGACAGTGTGCCCTCTGGACCACACTGAAAGTGGTAATATCAGTTATTCTGACATCAAAGTATCTGCACAGTAGAAAAACACTTTGCTCATTATCAGGGATTAAGCAATTCTTTCAAAATGTCCAGATAACTGAATCATCCCATTCTGTCTAGTGGAAATCCCCCAGAGATATGTTGCGCACACACACCCCATCTTAGGAGCACACTCAGATGCAGCCCATCGCAGTAAGCAGCAGCTGTTGTCCTGGGTGCTTGGCCAGTGGGGCCCTTGGGATCTGTTGGGTGACTGTGGGACCCAGTTTCCTTCCAGACTTTTTGAATTCTTAGCATTCCCCTCCCTCTTTCACAGGCCAAAGTCACATTTCTGGCTCCAGCGCATGTGCCCCCAACCAACCGGGTACTAGTTGGTGATTTCTGATCTGTCAGGGAATGGGAATCCCTATACTCGGCCAAAAGGCCAGTCCTGGAAATAGGTGAGAGTGGGCAGGCCCTTGGGGAAGTGAAGCTCTTGGGAAGCTCTGACATCCAGTTGGACATCCAGAACCTTTGCTTCCTGAATCCTGGTTCTTGGCTGGACTCCAGAGGGTCCTTATGACTATTGCTTAGAATTTGATGCATAAGCTGTATGTTTTTCAAGCACTCCTAGAAGGAAACACTTCCAGGGTAAGCCTCTCAGAGGAAGGCTCACATCTTACCTCTGATCTTCCCCTAAATAATCACCAGCAGGTGACCATCTCTTTGCAGCCTTTCTACTAAGGAGCCAAGGCAAGAGTATTACTCAGATATTGAAAATGGATCTCAGCTGTGCCCCTCGCCTTTTCTCCCACGACTCGTCATCTGTGATGTTTCCACCAGCTTTATTTGCAGAGCACAGACCACAGGGAGCCAGTGTCTTGGGTTAGGGTTGTCTTCACCTGCCCTCGTCTCCAGGCACGAGAGGCCTGAGAGGCTGCTCAGGAGCTAAAACATTGTGAATGTCCATTCTTGTAAAGGATCAGGTACCTTAGTATTCGGCAGTTTACATGATTCAAAGCACCTGTGCATGTTTTCCTCTTTCTCTAGTTACTTGCACACTTGTCTGGAAAGACCTTGTGGGGTGTAGAACACAACAGTGTTCATAGCTAGGCCAGTCTCAGCAGTGTCCTAGCCCATTCAGAGGCCATCTGGTGATAGACCCAGCATGTTTTTTTCTTATGGCAGCAGAAAGATTGAATAGCCTTTCTGCTGGATTCTAGACCCCCAAAAAAGAAAAATAAAATCCCAGTGGGCAAACTCCCAGGCGGTGGTGATCACTAAAATCTGTCACAGTCTTCAGTGAACAAACCCCACTTGCTGTTCCTGGGGTTGCTCTGCTGCCACTCCCCATCCCCGCTTATTTAAAGAACTGCTGTGAAAAATCAGTTCCAGTTTCTTCTGTAAAACCCACGGCACTACTGGTGCATTCTGAGTTACACTTGTTAAGTAGAACCTTCTTATTCCCTAAGAGATTTTCAAAATAAGTCACTTATTCCTGTTAACATCGCCCTTTTTGTCAATAATCAAATCAAGCAGGTTGTGTTTTTTTATGTAAGAATTCCAACAAGAAGATGTAAACCACCAATTCAGGATTGTTTTCACTTTCTTTTTTTGAGATGGGGCCTCACTCTGTCACCCAGGCTGGAGCTAGAGTACAGTGGTGTGATCTCAGCTTACTGCAACCACCTCCTGGGCTCAAGCAATCCTCCCACCTCAGCCTCCCCAGTAGCTGGGACTACAGGCATGCACCACCATTCCCAGCTAATTTTTTGTATTTTTGGTAGAGATGGGGTTTTACCATGTTAGCCAGGCTGGTCCCAAACTCCAGAGCTCAAACAGTCTGCCCGCCTTGACATCCCAAAGTGCTGGGATTACAGGTGTGAGCCACCGCACCCGGCCTTCACTTTTATCCATATGTTTCGCTTTGGAAATTCAAGTTTGCTACACGTTCACTATTCTTCATAAAATAAGTCTAGTAAAATGTTGATATATAGTCTTAGTAAAATGTTTAACTTGTTCTTTGCCAAAGAATAATTTGAAAAATGAGAAAACCTGTCACTCCCTTCTTTCCTCCCTCCTATAGCCCCACCTAAAATTAAACATATTGAACAGCTGAGAGGGGCTGGTTCAGAGGCGTCTGTATCACCTATCTACGCCACCTCTCTTACCCCGGGTTTCCATAGATTACAGAAATTTATTTATTGAAAGAATTGTGGTTTGAAAAAATAAAGTTCTTCAAGAAACCCACTGATGGGAGCATTTGGGGACCCCGCATTGTTAAGAATATCTGTTTGTTCACACAGTTATATAAATAACCGAATGATCACTTCAAAAAATTCATCTTAGGCCTTGCTGATTCTCATTGGCAAATTCACTGAGCCAGAGTTCTTCCAGTATATTCACTGCTTTTTTTCTTTTTCTTTTTTTTTTTTTTTTAGCTTATGTCAGGGCCAGATGGAAATGACAGTGCCTACTCCAAGAGTTCCCCATGCTGGGAAAGAGAACACCTGTGAACAGGGCCTCCATGCACAGCCAACTGGGGTAAATACTTGTCAGGGAGGCACAGTAACCAGGAGAGACTTACATAGTAGCCATAGTGGCTTAGAACTTCCATTTTGTCTCTTCCTTGGGCCTCTGGTCCACAGTTCATGTGTGGGTGTTTCCCCTTCACTGATAATCTAGGTGGTACCCAGGTGATGCTCTTGTGGCCTATAAGGCCTCCTCTGTCTGTATTTGTTGTATTTTTCAGTGTTGGGTTTTCATCACCTCATTGTCCAGCCTCATGACGTTCCTAGCAGCTCATCACTCGTATGTCATTCCTGATGCCTAATGTTCGAAGATTACTTTGTCTCAAACCAGTCATTGATATTACCAGATATCCCTTTCTAAAAATATGTATTCCAGCCTCAGTGACCCTGTTCACCTGTGTCCTTTCCTCTCCTACCCATGGTGAGGTGGAGGAGCTGTAGCTGGGAGCAGCCCTGTGGGTCAGTAGCCTTGTTTCCTATTCCTAAGAGGTTTCCGCCTCAAGTTAGTCTGGAAAGAGAGAACCTGTCTCCCTGGGGAATGCTGTGGCAAGGAGCTCCAGATAGAGCAGGAGACACAGGTGGAGCCCAGTGACTGTGGAGCCCACTCACATGGCTGTGTGCTCTGCCATACCCATCACAGTGGCATGTGACAGAAACCATGGTCATTGTAGGAAGGGCAGTGGGATGTGGAAGAGCTGGCCAGACAGGCAGGTGAGACTAAAACCCGTGGGGATGGCCTCCTCACCCACATCCTCTCCACTTTACTGCTGCAGAGGTTTCTGAAACACCTCTGACCATTCCACCTCTTCCTCTTGCCTTCAGAATAAGCATTCCTGTGCCTGGCATACAGAGCCCATTGTCACTGGGCCCCTGTCCACCCTGCCAGCCACTGCCCTGAAGACCCTGGCCTCAAAGTAGTGCTTAACATGCTCTGAGATGAGGCCCACTCTTCCAAGACACTCAGCCTCCCTCTTGGGACTCCTTCAAGGGTTAGGTCATATAGTGCCACTGCTATGAAACTGTTCCTGCTCCTACAGGTAGACGAACACTTTCTGAGTATCCTTGTCTTTCCCAAGCTTCCAGAAGCACCAAGGGTGTGGACTGCACTTATTCACATATGTATTCCTGCCTCTCCCAGGAGTCAGCATCTGGAGTACAGGCCTTAGCCAGCTGCAGTAACTGAGTAGGTTACTACAATGTGATTTTTGGCTGTTGAGTAAATATGTAGTAGCTTAAGAGCACAGTACACCAGCTGCAAGCCTGCTTGTGGCAGTCAACCAGGAGCTGGGTGGACTTACTAGCCCAGGCAATAGCTGAGGATGGCGTCTGGCACCACCCAGGCAAGGTAACTGCCTTTCCATCAGCTGACAGATGTCAAGGCTGAGCAGAGTTTACTTTGCTTGAGTAAAGCCTGTGGGAAAATGCTGCAGAAAAGAAGAAGTAATATCCTGGAGATTCTAAGGGTAAACATGATTTTGGAAATGAAGTGTAGAATGAAAAAAAATCTTTTAGGGAAGAAAAATCCACATGTTTAGGAAAATGCAGTAAATTGCACCTTTGACTAAAAAAGCCCTAAGTAGGCAATAGGCCAAAGTGAAAAGGAAACAGAATGAAACTATAAAAGAACTAGATGAAGAAACTAAAATCATCGTAATAAAGTGCACAGCAAAGGGCAGAATTGATGCTGAGAAAGTAGATCAATGATGTGGAGACAAATTTGAGGAATTCTCCCAGAATGCAGAAGAAAACAGACAAAAGCCATCGGAAGGAAGATAACAGGACAGAGGGGACTTGTGCTTGCAGCTTGAGTAACAAGGATTGGATCTACCCTCCTATATGAAATAAGCAAAAACCCAACAATATCTATGGCTTTTCAGGCTTTCAGACATGACGTCAGGCAGTTCATGACAGCGATTTAAATTAACAATCTCCTAACATAATAGAAATGTCCAAGATACAAATGAAAATCACTCATCATACCAAGAACCAGGAAAATTGCAACTTAAATGAGAAAATACAATAAACTGACACTAATCATGAGCTGAATCAGATGGAATTTTCTTATAAGTATTTTTAAAGTACCCATCATAAAAATGTTTCAAAAGCTGTTAATGAATTGTTCTGAGACAAATAAAAAAATAGAATATCTCTACAAGGATATAGAACTTATAGAAAACCAAGTGGAAGTTATTGAACTAAAATGTGCAGTGACAGAAACTTTAAAAATTTACTGGGTGAGCCCAATAGTAGAGTAGAAATAACAGAAGATACAATCAGCAAATCTGAGGACAGATCAATAGAATTTACTAAATCCGAAGAGAGAGAAACCAAAAAGGGGGAGTGCAGGAGGACAAAGCCTCAATGGAACAATGACAAAAGATTCCATTTCCTATTGAGTTCCAAAAGGAAAGGAGAAAGGGAGTAAGACTAAAAGAGTATTTGAAACAATAAATGTGAAAACTTTGCAAATGTTATGGAAAGACTCAGAGATTGATGAAGCTAAGTGACCCCCACACAGGATAAACTCAAAGAAATTCATGCCAAGAGGCCGGGCGTGGCGGCTCACGCCCGTAATCCCAGCACTTTGGGAGGCTGAGGCGGGCGGATCACCTGAGGTCAAGAGTTTGAGACCAGCCTGACCAACATAGAGAAACCCCATCTCTACTAAAAATAAAAATTAGCTGGGTGTGGTGCTGCATGCCTGTAATCCCAACTACTCGGGAGGCAGAGGTTGTGGTGAGCCGAGATCGCGCCATCGCACTCCAGACTGGGCAACAAGAGTGAAAGTCCGTCTCAAACAAAAGAAAAAAAAAATCCATGCCAAGGCAAATAATAAGTTAACCATCTAAAAACTGAAAACAAAAAGTCCTGAAAGCAGCCAGAGGAAAATAGTGCATTACCTATAGGGGGACACCAGTTTGAAAGCAGTGAATTTCTCCTCAGAAATCATGGAGGCCAGAAGGAAGTGGCATGGTATTATAAGTGTTGAAAGGAAAATAACTGTCTACCATGAATTCTATATACAGCAAAACTTACTTTGAGGAATGAGTGAAATCAAACATTCTTGGATGAAATAAAACGAAGAATTAGTTAATAGCAGATCTACCCATAAAGTTTAGCTAAAGGAAGTTCTTCAAACAAAAGAAGTGATAAAATAATCTTCATAAATCATATGTGTTGGTTAAATTAAAAATCATGCTGTCTGATGCTCAATACAATGATATTTAAAAGTAGAGGAAATAGGGCAGGGTGCAGTGGCTCATGCCTGTAATCCCAACACTTTGGGAGGCCGAGGCAAGAGGATTGCTTGAGGCCAGGAGTTTGAGACCAGCATGGGCAACATAGCAAGACCCCATCTCTAAAAAATTAGCCCGTCATGGGGCCAGGTGCGGTGGCTCACGCCTGTAATGCCAGCACTTTGGGAGGCCAAGGCAGGTGGATCACGAGGTCAGGAGATTGAGACCACCCTGGCCAACACGGTGAAACCCTGTCTCTACTAAAAATACAAAAAAATTAACCGGGTGTGGTGGCAGGCGCCTGTAGTCCCAGCTACTCGAGAGACTGAGGCAGGAGAATGGCGTGAACCCGGGAGGCGGAGCTTGCAGTGAGCCGAGATTGCGCCACTGCACTCCAGCCTCGGTGACAGAGCAAGACTCCATCTCAAAAAAAAAAAAAAAAAATTAGCCCGTCATGGTGGTGTATGCATGTAGTCATACCTACTCAGGAGGGTGAGGCAGGAAGATGACTTGAACTTAGGAGTTAGATGTTACAGTGAGCTATGACTGCACCACTGCACTCCGGCCTGGCCAACAGCAAGACCCTCTCTCTTGGAAAAAAAAAAAAAAGAATAAAATTAAATGCAAGTAAGATTTCCTTATTTCATTAGAGGTGGTAAAATGTTGACACTAGTAGACTTAATAAGTCATATATGTATATTGTAATACCAGAGCCACTAAGGAAACTACAGAGACACACTAAGAGACAGTATGAATAGAAATGATATCAGTGAAATTGGCAAAGAACTTATTTTGTTTTTTTAAGACAGGGTCTTGCTCTGTCACCCAGGCTGGAGTGCAGTGGCGCAATCTTGGCTCACTGCAACCTCTGCTTTCCGGGTTCAAGCGATTCTCTTGCCTCGGCCTCCCTAGTAAGTGGGATTACAGGCATGCGCCACCACGCCCGGCTAATTTTTCTATTTTTAGTAGGGACAGGGTCTCACCATGTTGGCCAGGCTGGTTTCGAACTCCTAACCTAAAGTGATCCACCTGCCTCAGCCTCCCAAAGTGCTTGGATTACAGGCGTGAGCCACCATATCCAGCCAAGAACTTCTTAAAATGTTCTCTTCCATAAAAGTAACAAAACTGGCAAAAAATTATCAGTCACCTTTTTATAGCTCTGGAAATTAACCATAGGCTTGAAGCAATCCAGAGCATTTACTCAAGAAAAATATGTAAATCTCATTAACAACAGAGGTTTATGGCATTTTTAACTTACACTATTCCTCTTTCTTTTTTCTTTTCTTTTTTTTTTGGACAGAGTTTTGCTCTTGTTGCCCAGACTGGAGAACAATGGCATGATCTCGGCTCACCTCGACCTCCTGCCTCCCGGGTTCAAGCAATTGTCCTGCCTCAGCCTCTTGAGTAGCTGGGATTACAGGCATGCACCACCATGCCTGGCTAATTATGTATTTTTAGTAGAGATGGGGTTTCTCCATGTTGGTCAGGCTGGTCTTAAACTCCTGACCTCAGGTGATCCACCCACCTTGGCCTCCCAAAGTGTTGGAATTACAGCTGTGAGCCACCATGCCTGGCACACTATCCCTTTTTCACACCCTCAAACTCCACAGTAGCCTTAAACACATTTACAGTGCAAATGCACAGCCTAGACACCACTGGAGGGAGCAGAACATGGCTGGAGATCCTTCAAAGCCTCATTCCTGGAGAAATGTGTCCTTTTCTTCCTATGTTGCCCAGGCTGGAGTGCAGTGGTATGATCTCAGCTCACTGCAACCTCCGCCTCCCAGGTTCAAGTGATTCTCCTGCCTCAGCCTCCCGAGTAGCTGGACTACAGGTGCACGCCACCACACTCTGCTAATTTTTGTAGTTTTGGTAGAGACGGGGTTTGACCATGTTGGCCAGGCTGGCCTCAAACTCCTGACCTCAGGTGATCCGCCCGCCTCAGCCTCCCAAAGGGCTGGGATTACAGGCATGAGCCATGACGCCCAGCTGAGAAATGTGTCATTTAACAAATCTTGTAGTTCCATGAAAAGCCCCACTTGCAAGGCTGTATTTGACTTGAGTTAGAGCTCACTGAGGACAAAACTGCTTTTCCCAGGTTGCAATATATAAGTGCAGTATACTGTAATCACTAGCAATGAACAATCTAAAAATGAAAATAAGAAAAGCAATTCCATTTGTGATGGCATAAAAAATACTTAGTGATACATTTAATAAAAGAAACAAGACTTAGAGACAAAAACTACAAAATACCACTGGAAGAAATTGAAGACAAATAAATGGAAAGCCATTCTGTGTTTATGTTTTGCAAGACTTAATATTGTTAAGATGACAATACTCCCTAAATGACATGGTTTGGCTGTGTCCCCACCCAAATCTCATCTTAAATTCCCACGTGTTATGGGAGGGACCCGGTGGGAGGTAATTGAATCATGGTGGCAGGTCTTTTCCGTGCTGTCCTCGTGGTGATGGGTGAGTCTCACGAGATCTGATGGTTTTATAAGGGGGAGTTTGCCTGCACAAGCTCTCTCTTTGCCTGCTGCCATCCACATAAGATGTGACTTGCTCCTCCTTGCCTTCCACCATGATTGTGAAGCCTCCCCAGCCATGTGGAACTGTAAGTCCATTAAACCTCTTCCTTTTGTGTATTGCCCAGTCTCCGGTATGTCTATCAGCAGCATGAAAAAGGACTAATACACTAAATAAACGTACAGATTTAGTGCAAACCCTCTCAAGCTAATCCTAACAGTCTTGAGAAAATTTAAGGGGCCCCAAATAGCCAACACAGTCTTGAAAAGGGACAAATCTAGAGGACTCACACTTTGTGATTTCCAAACTTAACTATAAAGTCATAGTAATCAAGACAGTGTCATAAGGAGAGATGTATAGATTAATAGATAATAGAGTCCAGAAATAAACCTATGCATCTATGGTCAATTGAGTTTTTTTTTTCAAGTGATAGGGGTCTCACTATGTTTTCCAGGCTAGACTTGCACTCTTGGGCTCAAAGGATTTTCCCACCTCAGCCTCCTGAGTATGTGGGACTATGCCTGACTTGATCAATTGATTTTTTTTTTTCTTTCAGGCAAGGTCTGGCTCTGTTGCCCAGGATGCAGTGCAGTGGTGCGATCTCAGTTCACTGCAACCTCTGGCCTCCCAGGTTCAAGCCATCCTCCCACCTCAGCTTCCCGAGTAGCTGGGACTACAGGCATGCGCCACCACGCCTGGCTAATATTTTTGTATTTTTTGTAAAGACAGGGTTTCACCATATTGTCTAGGCTGGTCTCAAACTCGTGAGCTCAAAGCAATCCACCCACCTTGGCCTCCCAAAGTGCTGGGATTACAGGCATGAGCCACTGCACCTGGCCTACAGTCAATAGATATTTGATGAGTATCAAGACAATTAAATGGTAGAAAGAATAGTCTTTTCTTACCTCATGTCATATATTATAATACAAAGATTAAGTCAAATGAATTAAAGACCTAAATACAAGAGCCTGGCTAATGGTGAAACCCTGTCTCTACTAGAAATACAAAAATTAGCTGGGCATGGTGGCACACGCCTGTAATCCCAGCTACTTGGGAGGCTGAGGCACAAGAATTGCTTGAACCTGGAAGACAGAGGTTGCAGTGAGCCGAGATCGAGCCACTGCACTCCAGGCTGGGCAACAGAGCAAGACTCCATCTTACGGAAAAAAAAAAAAAAAAGTTTACTGGTTGCTAGGGTATGGGAAATGAATACTAATGAGCACAGTTATTTCTTTTTGGGGTGTTGAAAATATTCTGGAATTGGTGATGGTTGCACAACCTTGGGAATAGACGAAAATCCACTGAATTGTGTACTCTAAAAGGGTGAAGGTTATGGTATGTGGATTATATCTCAGTTTTTGAAAACAGTATAAAGAAATCAAGACAGAATACTGAAAACTGTTCAGGTAACCCAAAGGAAGGCAAGTAAAGAGATACAGCTTGAAACCCAGATGAAACAAACAAAACGGTAGATTTAAGAGCTAACATATCAGTAATTCTCTTAAGTCAAAGATTGGCAGAGTGGATTAAAAGACACAACTCAATTATATTGTTTAGTAGAAACTCCCATCAAATTAAAAAACATTTGTAGATTGAAAGGATGAAAACAGATATGCGGAATTTAATTTAAAAAAAAAGCAGCAGTGACTATATTGATATCTGATCACTTAGACTTCAGAGCAAAGAAAATTGGCAGAGACAAAGACAGATATTACATAACAGAAGATTCACCACCAGACAGTCCTACATGTGCCTTTACCAACATCAGACTCTCAAAACACATGAAGTAAAAACTGATAGAGCTGAAAGGAGACAGACAAATCTGCAGTCACAGTTGGAAATTTCAGTTGCTGAGTCATTACAGTGAACATGCAATTACTGTATGCCCCAGCTACTACATTCTTGACCATTTATCCCAGAGAAATGAAAACTTACGTTAACACAAAAACCTTTACACCAATGTTTATAGTAGCCTTATTTATAACAGCTGTAATCTGGAATCAGCCCAGGTGTCCTTCAACCTGTGAATGGTTAATCAAACTGTGGTACACACATACCCTGGAATACTACTCGGCAGTGAACAGCAATAAGCTATTCACAGCAACTTGGACCAGTCTCCAGGAATTACACTGAGGAAAAAAAAAAAAAATCTCAAGAAGTAACATGCTGTATGTTTTTGTTTATGTAACACATTTGGAAAAACAAAATTTTAGAAACACAAGAGTTTAGTGGCTGGCAGAAGTTAGAGACAGGAATGGGCAGGAGGAGGGGGTGGATTTGTTTTTAAGACTAATACAAGGATCCCTGTAATGATGGAAATGTATCTTGATTGTGGTAGTGGATACACAAATGTACACATCACAAAATTGCATAGGGCTAAACACCCCACAAATGAGTAAAGCTGGGGAAAAACAATGAATTGTATCAATGTCAGTATCCTGGTTGTGAGATATATATACATATATATATATATATATATGTATATATATGTATATATATATATATATATATGTATATATATGTATATATATATATGTATATATATGTATATATATATATGGAGAGAGAGAGAGGTGGAGAGGAAGTATTGCTCTGTTGCCCAGGCTGGAGTGCAGTGGTGATCTCGGCTCACTGCAACCTCTGCCTCCCGGGTTCAAGTGATTCTTCTGCCTCAGCCCCCCGAGTAGCTGGGAGTACAGGCACATGCCACCACACTTGGCTAATTTTCGTATTTTTAGTAGAGACGGGGTTTCACCATATTCACCAGGCTGGTCTCGAACTCCAGACCTCGTGACCTACCCACCTCGGCCTCCCAAAGTGCTGGAATTACAGGCGTGAGCTACCTCGCCTGGCCCTGGCTGTAATGTTACACTATAGTTTTCAAGACGTTAATCATTGTGGACAGCTGGGTAAAGGATCTTTTTTTTTTTTTTTTTTTTTTTTTTGAGACAGAGTTTCACTCTTGTTGCCCAGGCTGGAGTGCAATGGTGCGATCTCAGCTCACTGCAACCTCCGCCTCCCGGGTTCAAGTGATTCTCCTGCCTCAGCCTCCCAAGTAGCTGAGATTACAGGCATGCGCCACCATACCTGGCTAATTTTTTGTATTTTTAGTAGAGACAGTATTTTTGTATAGTTTTTTGTATAGTAGAGAGTATTTTTGTATTTTTGTTGGTCAGGCTGGTCTCGAACTCCCGACCTCAGGTGGTTCATCCGCCTCAGCCTCCCAAAGTGCTGGGATTACAGGCGTCAGCCACCACACCCAGCCAGGATCTCTTTCATTTATTTACATCTGCATGTAAATCTACAATGATCTCAATACAATTTTTAATTAAAAATATATATCCAGGCCAGGAGTGGTGGCTCATGCCTGTAATCCCAGCCCTTTGGGAGGCTAAGGCAGAGGTCAGGATGGCTTAAGCACAGGAGACCAGCCTGGGCAACATGGTGAGACCCCATCTCTACAAAAAATACAAAAGTTAGCCAGGTGTGGTGGCATGCACCTGTAGTCCCAGCTAGTTGGGAGGCTGAGGTGGGAGGATTGCTTGAGCCTGGGAGGAGGTTGCAGTGAGCTGAGATCATGCCACTGCACTCCAGCCTGGGTGACAGAGCAAGACTCTTGTCTACAAAAATAAAATAAAATAAAATAAAATAAATCCAGCACACACCAGAGAAAATATAATATGCCTAGCATTCAATTAAAAATTACAGGCCGGGCTCGGTGGCTCACACCTGTAATCCCAGCACTTTGGGAGGCCGAGGCAGGGGGATCACCTGAGGTCAGGAGTTTGAGACTAGCCTGGCCAACATGGAGAAACCCTGTCTCTACTAAAAATACAAAATTTAGCCGGGCATGGTGGCGCATGCCTGTAATCTCAATTACTTGGGAGGCTGAGGCAGGAGAATCACTTGAACCTGGGAGGCGGAGGTTGCAGTGAGCCAACATCACGCCCCTGCACTCCAGCCTGAGCGACAGAGAGAGACTCCATCTAAAAAAAAAAAAAATTAGAGAAAGACACTGGATGGGTTTAACAGCAGCTTATATGTTACAAAAGAAACATGGACTTCAAGATAGAGCCACAAAGACAATCCAAAATAAAGGGAAAAACTGGGAACCTCTCCCCCCATGAGAACTTCATGAGCTGTGAGATAACTCATAATTGTGAATCCCCAAAGAAGCAGGGGAGAAAGAAATATTTGAAAAGAAAAAATTTCCAAATTGATAAACACTCTAATCCAATGGGTCTGAAAAGGTCAACAAACCCAAAGCACAAGAGCATGAAGAACGCTACCCCATAGTGAAGTCTCATAATGAAACTGCTCAAAATCAGTGACAGAGCAAAATATTTTAAATAGTTTTTTAAATTTATTGTGAAGAATGGGATCTCGCTATATTGCCCAGGCAGGTCTGGAACTCATGGGCTTAATCTGTCCTCCCACCTCTGCCTCCCTAACTGCTGGGAGTACAGGCGTGAGCCACTGTGCCTGGCCAGAGCAAAATATTCAAAGCAAGCAGGAAGGAAATAAAGAGACAACATATAGAGGAACAAAGATAAGAGTGACAACAGATGTCTCGTGCAGACAATACAAGCAAGAAAATATTGGAGAAGTAACTCTAAAGTGCTGAAAGAAAAAATCTCAAGCCAGAATTCTAGATCTAAGGAACATATCAAATATGAAGGCAAAATAACAAGTTTTCATGTGTACAAAAGCTGAAGGAAGCATACCAGCAGACTAGCACTACAAAGTCCTTTGGCAGAAGAAATGATACCAAATGGAAACGTGGAACCACATCAGGGTTTCTCCCCTTTGGCACTGGCGACACTTGGGGCTAATAATTTATTGTGGGGGATGCTCAGTAGTATAAATAGCCTCACTCACTACAGCCCAGAAGCACCACAGCTCCTGTTATGGTAACCAAAATTGTCTCCAGATATGACCAAAGGACCCCTGGAAGGAAAAATCACCTCTGCTTGAGAATCACCATATTCAATGGACAATTTTATTTCATATTTTCCATCTCTATCCTTTTGAGCAATAATCAGAGAATTCCTAGGGCCAGTTCACGAATTCACTCCTCAGCTATGCCTATTCTGCTCTTCAACCCATCTATTGGGGGGTTCTAAAAAAAACAATAAACCTTATTTATTAGAGGAGTTTTAGGTTCACTTGAAAATTGAGCAGTTACCATATATCCCCTGCCTGTGCACATGTACGCAACCTCCTCCACTATCAACATCCACTGTGGTACTTTTGTTAACAACTGATTAAACTTCATTGACACATCATCACCCATAGTCCATAGTTTACATTAGGATTCATTCTTGGTGTTGTATCTTCTGTGAATTTTGACAAATATATTACATGTATCCACCATTATAGTATACAAAATAGTTCATTGCCCTAAAAATTCTGTTCTCTGCCTATGCATCTTTTCCTTCCCCAACACCTGACAACTCATGTTGAGTTTTTAAACTTCAATTATTAATGTCTAGTATCTCTTTTCACTGTTTGTTCTTGTTTCATGACAGCCTATTTTTTTTTTTAAATAAAATACCCATTTGTCTCAAGACCTTGCTCTATTGGAGACCTACTCTGATAGCTCTATAAACTTTTTCCCTTAGGTGAGAATTCTATTTGGTGCACGTGCTATTGTGTCCGGAATTGGTGGGTTCTTGGTCTCACTGACTTCAAGAATGAAGCCGCGGACCCTCGCGGTGAGTGTTACAGTTCTTAAAGGCGGCGTGTCCAGAGTTTGTTCCTTCTGATGTATGGATGTGTTTGGAGTTTCTTCCTTCTGGTGGGGTTTGTGGTCTGGCTGGCTCAGGAGTGAAGCTGCGGACCTTCGCGGTGAGTGCTACAGCTCTTAAGGCGGTGCGTCTGGAGTTGTTCGTTCCTCCCGGTGGGTTCGTGGTCTCGCTGGCTTCAGGAGTGAAGCTGCAGACCTTCGTGGTGAGTGTTACAGCTCATAAAGGCAGTGTGGACCCAAAGAGCGAGCAGCAGCAAGATTTATTGCAAAGAGTGAAAGAACAAAGCTTTGACAGCGTGGAAGGGACCCGAGCGGGTTGCCACTGCTGGCTCGGGCAGCCTGCTTTTATTCTCTTATCTGGCCCTACCCACATCCTGCTGATTGGTCCTTTTTACAGAGAGCCGAGTGGTCTGTTTTGACAGGGCGCTGATTGGTGCGTTTACAATCCCTGAGCTAGACACAAAGGTTCTCCAAGTCCCCACCAGACTCAGGAGTCCAGCTGGCTTCACCCAGTGGATCCCCCACTGCGGCTGCAGGTGGAGCTGCCTGCCAGTCCCGCTTGCCCTGCGCCTGCACTCCGCAGCCCTTGGGCGGTGGATGGTACTGGGTGCCCTGGAGTAGGGAGCAGCGCTCGTCTGGGAGGCTCAGGCTGCGCAGGAGCCCATGGAAGTGAGGAGGTTCAGGCATGGCAGGCTGCAGGTCCCGAGCCCTGCCCCACGGGGAGGCAGCTAAGGCCCGGCGAGAAATCCAGCGCAGCGCAGGTGGGCTGGCACTGCTGGGGGACCCAGTACACCCTCCGCAGCCGCTGGCCCGGGTGCTAAGCCCCTCATTGCCCGGGGCCGGCGGGGCCGGCTGGCAGGCCGCTCCGAGTGCGGGGCCCGCCAAGCCCACGCCCACCCGGAACTCCAGCTGGCCCAGAAGCGCCCCGCGCAGCCCTGGTTCCCGCTCGCGCCTCTCCCTCCACACCTCGCTGCAAGCTGAGGGAGCCGGCTCCAGCCTTGGCCAGCCCAGAAAGGGGCTCCCACAGTGCAGCGGTGGGCTGAAGGGCTCCTCAAGTGCCACCAAAGTGGGAGCCCAGGCAGAGGAGGCGCCGAGAGCGAGCGAGGGCTGCCAGGGCTGCCAGCACGCTGTCACCTCTCACTATCTTCATGGAGATGCCATTCCTCAAATGTCTGGCCACTATGGGGCACTTGTGTTTGTATTAGAGACATCTTGGTAGGTCATCTGTTGCATGTGTGACCAGTATACTTGGAATGGTGGTAGCTGCTGCTGCGTGTTGTACCCTAAACTGTTTTCAGCTGGGCTACCTCAGCACCTGGGCTTCTGTATGTTTGTACTCAATTCTTTCGGGGTATCACCAGCCATGTTGGACACTATCTTGTCTGACTCCACCACTACACTCACTATGTTCACCTGGAAACACAAACCTTATTGCTGCCTAACTGGCCCAAGGAGTGCTTGGGATGAATCGTCACTTTGTCCATTGTCCTTGGGCTCCTATCCTTACAGCCTTCCAAACAGATTTAGAGAATGAATTCTCCCCATGCCTATCAACTTCCCTAGCCACCTTTACTCTTAACTTCATCCCCTATCGTCTCCTCCAGGACTTTGGCTCCTCTTCCTTGCACGTCCTGTTGGCTAACTCCCTTTAGCCTATGAACATGTTCAGTCTCTATTTGCTCTTAATCTTTTTTTTTTTTTTTTTTTTTGAGACGGAGTCTCACTCTGACTCCCAGGCTGGAGTGCAGTGGCATGGTTTCAGCTTCACTGTGTAACCTCCACCTCCCAGGTTCAAGTGATTCTCTTGCCTCAGCCTCCCCAGTAGCTGGGATTACAAGCATGCACCACCACAGTCGGCTACTTTTTGTATTTTTAGTAGAGACGGAGTTTTGCCATGTTGGCCAGGCTGGTCTCGAACCCTTGACCTTAGGTGATCCACCCACCTCAGCCTTTCAAAGTGCTAGGATTACAGGGGTGAAGCACCGCGCCCAGCTTGCCTGTAATCTTATACGCCTTTTTAATTCCTCCTTTCTCAACCGTTTTAAGAGTTGACTGCATTCTTCATTTTTTCATATCCCATCTTTGCATTCTAACTTCCATGCCTCTCCCATCACTGAGACTTCTCTCGCTAGTTTATCAGTGCCTCCTAATTGTTACGCACAGTAGACTTCGGATTGCCTCTCAGCCACACTTTACACTATTATGTGTCTTCTTGACTTTTTTGACATTCCTTCTCAATTCCCTTTCCTTTCCTCCTCTTTTGACTGTTCTCATGCTCCTGTGCATCCATTTGCTTCTTAAATGTTGGTGGGCCCTTTGCTATTGGCTGCATTTGGCAAGAAATGAGCTGCGTTTATAGGGAAGAATGAGAGAGAATGAGTCCAGAAATTTGCAGATTTGCTGTGCTGGAAAAGCCAAGTTATTCTGGACCCCAACAGGACACAAAATAGAGAAAGCCCATGAAAAGCCAATTAAAATTCAACCTCTTGGCAAAGCATGCTTGAAACCGAATTTTGGCTCCAGCCACTACTCGTGTGAACTTGGGCAAGATGCCTTTCTGTATCTTGGATTCCTCATACATAAATACCTACCAGACTGGGTTAATCATCAAGATTAAATTAGTGAACACACGAAAAATACCTAGAACACTGCCTGGCATAGTTCAAGGCTCAATTAAAGGTAGACACTATTATGCCAAAAAAACAAAAAACAACAAAAAAAGTGACGGTAGGATGGCTTCGTGAGGATTTTTGCTCATTTCTACCACTTTCTCAACTGACTTTTCTTAATGGTTGGCGGGACACCAACCATTGGTGGATGTTTACACTTGTGACTGTCTCACAGACAACTCAACATGTCCAAAGCTAAACCCATCATCTTTCCCCCTCCCGTCTTCCCTCTTACCCAGATAAAGGCACTAACATCTTCCCAGTCACTTGTCTAATCCTTGCTTCCTTCCTGTCCCTCATGCCCCAATTCCTATTTAACGGCCTAAACAGATCTTGAATTAATCTTTCCTGCGTTTCCACGCCCACTTAGAGTCCCTCATCTCTGGCCCTATTTTCTCAATGCCCTCCCATCCTCTACTCCAGATCCCCTCAAGTCCATCCTCGATGCGTGACTCTTAACTTCACGCCATCCAGGTCCCCTATGGAGCCGCTCCGACTAACGGACGCGCAGGTCCAGCGGACCTGCTCATCACTGTCCAGGGTGGCCTGCGGGAGACCCCCGGGGCCCTGGCCCTGCTGCCGCGGCCCCGGCACTTCCCCTCGAGGGTTCGCGGGGAACAAGGCCGCGCGGCCCCGGCTCTCCCGGAGTGCACGGTCCCGCGCTCATGCGGCTAGAGGGAGGCACCCGCAGGACTGCCCAGCCGCCTCTGCTCCTCAGGTCCAGCTCGGGCCCCGCCTGCTCTTACGCCGACTAACCGGCCGCGGCCCGATGGCGGCCCTGCCGCAGACAGCAAAGGTCACGGGGCTCCCCCGGAAGTGAAAGTGCGGGGATCCGCCGGCCCAGGAGACGCGGCTTCTAGCGCCCGGTTCCCGGGAAGCTCTGTGACGCGCTAAGCCCCGCCCCCACCCGTCACCTGACCCAGCGCAGCCTCGCCTCCCCGCTGGGGGCTCGGCGGCCCTCTGAAGCGGGTGGATTGGCTGGGGTGCTTCGCTCAGCCAATCCGGACGCGCCCGGGCGTCGCGGCCCCGCCTCCTCCCCGGCGCTCTGGGCCCGTAGCGCTCCGCGGGAAGGAGGCTGGATGCCCGGCAGCAGTGGGGCGGGGATGGAGGCGGCCGTGGCGCCGGGGAGGGATGCGCCGGCACCCGCGGCGAGTCAGCCCAGCGGCTGCGGGAAACACAACTCGCCGGAGAGGTGCGCGCCTTTAGGGCAGGGCTGGGGAGCGGCCGGCGCCTGTCGCCGATTGTCCCGCGCGGGAGGACGAAGGGGGCTCCCGGCCTGTGGCCGCTCTCGCGTGGGGCGTCCCGCGCGGGGATGTCCGCGAGGTCGGCCTAAGTCAGGGATGCGAGCTTCAAGGAGGAGCGGGTGCGAGCTGTGGCCCCGCAAGGGCCCACGGAGAGGTGACTTTGGGGCCGAAACCCGAGTGACTTCCAGGGGTGAGGTTTGCAGGTTCTGGGGAAGCAGAGCCTGCCAGGAAGAGGGCACAGCAGATGCGAAGGGCAGGGGACTTGCCGGAGGTGAACCGGCAGAGCCCCTGAGCCCGGGAAGAACTTTGGGGTTCATTCGGAGCCTTATGGGGCCTCGGAAGTTGATCACGGGGCGATGCAATTTAAGTGTTTTGAAGGAGTCCTTCTGGCTGCTTCCTAGAAAGTAGGGGCGCGGGTAGGCATGGGACGAGAGGAAGCCGGGAAGCCAGTTGGGGATCTTGTAACAACCTAGGAGAGAGATGTGGTGTGCGCCCAGAAACGGATGCGTTGGTAGGAAGCTGGTGCACTGGGGCAGGTGAAAGGGAATCAAGGGTTCTCCCAGACTGCTGGCCCAGCTGCAGGAAACGGGATGGCCACCGCTGAGAAGCGCGGAGACCCGAAGCACGTGGTATCCATACTAGTTAAGTCCGAGAAGAGCAGGAGGCAGGGGTATGCATTTTCTGGTTTGTGTGTCTTCTTTCCAGACCCCTCTTTTTCCTTTTTGTGAGCTCATTCGCTACCCATGCTTAGAATATGAGGGGGTCCAGGCCTAAAGCACACACATTTGGCATTCTACCTTGGTTGGAACAAAGTGAAGGGATCTGGGAAAATATCCCCTAGGGAATCAGTGGAGCGAGATTCCCAAGATTTTTTATTTTTTGGTTATGAAGCTAACAAAGTTGAGCCTGCTCATCCAATACTGATAGCATTTTAAGGAAGCAGCAAATAATGAAGCAAAGGAATGTGTAAAGTATTAATCTGAACAAAATAGATTTGTTCAGCCCAGCAGCAGATTGAAGAGCTACAGTCGCTCAACAAACACTAGCTAGCCTAAGGTACTTTGGATGCTTATTTATAGGAAAGAAAAACAGATATAAGGGCACATGCAAAGTCAAGCCGGGCTGGGGGATTCCTAGGACTATTAATACTAGTACCAGAGTGGTAAAGGATGGCGAGTCAAACTTGTCAAAGCCTTGTACCTATTGAGTGATTTTTTTTTTTTTTTTTAATTGAGATGGAGTCTCACTCTGTCACCCAGGCTGGAGTGCAGTGGTGCAGTCTTGGCTCACTGCAACATCCACTGCCCGGGTTCAAACGATTCTCCTGTCTCAGCCTCCCAAGTAGCTGGGATTACAGGCACGTGCCACCACGTCCAGCTAATTTTATTGTATTTTTAGTAGAGATGGGGTTTCGCCGTGTTGGCCAGGCTGACCTTGAACTCCTGACCTCAGGTGATCTGCCCGCCTTGGCCTCCCAAAGTGCCGGGATTACAGGCGTGAGCCACAGGGCACAGCCTGTTGAGTGATTTTGAACAGAAAAGATGCTTCATTTCAACTAATGCACATTCTGTCCACACTCAGTGGCTTAACAGCCACAGTTAGTCATTGTATCTGGGTTTTCATGTGGATTGGTGTAAGCACTGTTTATTTAAAAACTAGATAAATTAATATCAGGCAGGACTACTACTACACATTTTTCTAAAGGCTTTCGAAGGTTTTGGATATTAGTAAAAAGATATACAGATAAATTTTACTTAGTGAGGGATCTTTCAGGGAATTTGTACTTTCTGTGGCATTTATTTTGTCATCTTATAAAAATCAGGCCCCTGTTGTGTGGCAACCATGGGCTTCAACATTGGTGACAGGGCAGTGAGAAAAACAGAGCCCCCATGCCCATGGAGCCATACTTCTGTTACTCTATTAAGGTAGACAGTAAGGGAACAAGTCTGGTATGTCAGATGATGATGCTGCCCAGAAAGGAAGGCGGGAAGGGGACCTGGAGGCTGGGGAGGTAGGGACATAGGTGGCTGCAGTTTTGTGGGTTTGTTTTTTTTGTTGTTGTTTTTTTTTTTTTTGAGACGGACTCTCACTCTGTTGCCCAGGCTAGAGTGCAGTGATATGATCTCGGCTCACAGCAACCTCTGCCTCCTGGGTTCAAGCAATTCTTCTGCCCCAGCCTCCCTAGTAGGGCTAATGTTTGCATTTTTAGTAGAGATGGAGTTTCACCATGTTGGCCAGGCTGGTCTCAAACTCCTAACCTCAAGTGATCCACCTGCCTTGACCTCCCAAAGTGCTGGGATTATAGGCGTGAGCCACCGCGCCCAGCCAGCTGTAGTTTTAAGCAGAGCTGCAGGGCAGGGGGTCTCACAAGAGGACTAAGTTGGAACAAAGACCTAAAAAAGTAAGGTGGGGGCAGGGCATGTAGTCTTTCTGGGCAAAGAAACTGAAAGTGCAAGGTCTGGGGCCAAAGTTCACCTGCCCCAGGGAGAAGCCCAGGTCACTAGGAGCCCCACAGGCCATCGCAAAAATGAGTGTGGGGAAATAAGGCGAACCTCTGATGAAGTTAAAACAGCAGACAGGAAAGTTCCCTTGGGGAATGTGCAGCTGTTCCCCTCCTTCCATAAGGAAGAGGCCAGTGATCTGCCCTTTACAGCAGTCAGATGGGTAATCTGGGCCCAACAGACCATTAATCCTACCAAGGGGTAGAAAGAGTGTTTGTTATTAGAGACTGGGTCTGGCTGTGTTGCCCGGGCTGGAGTGCAGTGGCTATTCATAGGCACCATCATAGCTCACTGCAGCCTCAAACTTCTGGCCTCAAGAGGTCATTCCGCCTCAGCCTCCCACATGGCTGGACTACAGGCACAATCCACTGTGCCTTGCTAGAAAGAAATTTTGAAAACCGAAATGAAAATCCAAGTCCTATCAATTATAAAAGAAATTGACAAAAACTAGAGTCTTAGAAATTATGCATGCATTTTCCATAAGTAGTGTAGATCTGTAGATTCCCAAGTGCAGCTTGTGGATGCCTGCAGTGCTTATGCAGAGGATCACCATGCCCTTGACATTATTTGCTCCTGCCGATGGGATAGACACAGAGCAGCCATATTTCCCATATGCCATCTCCTTTTCCTTAATGGGTGTCTTTGCTTTCTTTCCTTCAGGAAAGTTTATATGGACTATAATGCAACGACTCCCCTGGAGCCAGAAGTTATCCAGGCCATGACCAAGGCCATGTGGGAAGCCTGGGGAAATCCCAGCAGCCCGTATTCAGCAGGTAATTCTAGAAGATGCACGTGTTCACTGATGGGAGATAATGGGGATGGGGCGCTCTTAGAGAAATTGCACACCCACACGTGACGGCTTTGTTTTGAATAGGTTTCTGTTAGCTGCAATTCTTGAGCTGTAATTTTTGATAGTTTCTTTTCTGGGAAGGCCCCATTTGTAAGCTGAGCCTTGTCGATACTGTAATCTTTAACCTTTAATGTTTAATCTTTAACATGCTGTCCTGTCACCCTTTCCCAGATGAGAAAGGTGTCTACTGAGAGTTCCTTGAAGTAGCAGTCAGTACCTGTGGAGCACTTCACAGATCTAGCTCAGTCAATCCTTACAGAATTTGCAAAATATGTCTTTTAGGTCATCAGGATAACATATAATCCTGGCCCTTTTTAAAGATGAAAATTACTTTTTCATTAATTACTTTAGTTATGAATATTCTTATTTGTTTCCAATTTATTCTTATTGTAATGTAGACCATTAAATTGGAGGTTTTGGAGAAGAATTTGCTTCAAGTCAGTTATATGACAGAGTTACATTCTGTTTTTCAGACAGATGAGCAAGCTAAAGTCTTACCTTTCTTATTTCATGTTTATGAGAGATAATTAAGATAAACTGTGTTAACTGTGGATGATGATGAACTAAATTAACTTCAAACAGAATATTGCCAGGCCATACGATTTAGTAACACTTGCGTACAATTTACAGGTTTAATACGTTCTCCTATCCATTTGCTTATTAAACGTTTCACGGCAACTTAATAACAAAGCCCTTCAGCTCAGATACTAGTCATTCATTAACTTATTTGTTGGCTTATTTGTTGGTCTATTCTGGCTAATCTTCTGCACATTGCCTCGTATCCAGTCTCTCCTCTAGTAAAATTGAAATTTCTGACGTATTAGACTTGAAAATATGGAGAATAATTAAATGCCGATGACAGGCATTGTCTCATGAAAAAGTCTGGGAATCGCTCTCAGGGAGAAATCATGTTCTGGACCTGAATGAAGCCTGGCAGTGGCTTTTAGGTTTCCTTGATAGCCTTTGTTTCCACAAATTAAGAACCATAAACTCAAAAGTGTTGCAGTTCACTTTGTGTTGCTACTCAGATCGAAATGCAAAAGAAAAAAAATCAATTTATAGAGTGGTTTAATTATTTTCACAATATTGTTATTTAAACTAATAATATTTTATTTTATTATTATTATTATTATTATTATTATTATTTTGAGATTGAGTCTCGCTCTCGCCCAGGCTGGAGTGCAGTGGTGCAATCTCGGGTCAATGCAACCTCCGCCTCCCGGATTCAAGCGATTCTTCTGCCTCAGCCTCCCAAGTAGCTGGGACTAGAGGCACGCGCCACCATGCCTGGCTAATTTTTGTATTTTTAGTAGAGACGGGGTTTCACCATCTTGGCCAGGCTGGTCTTGAACTCCTGACCTTGTGATCCACCCACCTCGGCCTCCCACAGTGCTGGGATTACAGGTGTGAGCCACCATGCCCAGCCTAAATATTATCTAAAGCCTTTGAGGGAAATTTATTTTAAGGAATATGTTGAGGATGTGGGGATTTTACATACCTAAGATATTTATCACAGTCTTGCTTATAATAGCAAAACAAACAAAAACCCTGAAAATAAGCTCAGCATTCATGAATTTTTATGAAAAATAAACTATCTTCGGCAAAACAAGAAACCTAGTGAGCATTGCACTGTTGTGCATGTGGAAGTCTCTTTACTGCCTGTTGCTGGAAGATAGCTGGCGCTCATACCTCCCCGTCCAGCCCACTGCAGTCACATCATAGTGACGGAAGCCTCTGGAAGGTTCACCATATACCTGTGAGAAAAGGAGCGTGAAAAAGGCAGTTCTTCTCTTAGTATCATCATGAAAACAGTTTTGACTTTGTGGACCTCCTGAGAGGGCCTTGGGGTTTTGGAAACCGCTGACGTAAGCAGCACTGACTGAGCACCAGCTGTGTACTCAGCACCCTGTTGGGGGAGGGATGAAGCACGGTGCCCAAAATGTATTTGGGTTTTCGAGGCATTACTTTGTCCACTATGTGGAGAATGGACCCTGGTGGGGGCCTGCTAGGAGAACATCACAGCAGTGGCCTTGGCTTGGTTGGTGGCTGGGCGGTGGAGAGGCAGAGTCAGGTTTGGAACATCGTTTGAACACAGAGCCTACAGCATTTGCTGGTGGATTAATTGGCGGGGAATGAAAAGGGAAAGAGCCCACGCTTTTGCCCTGGGCTGCTGAGGGATGGAGTTGCCATTTCCTGAGTGTATTAGTCTGTTCTCATGCTGCTAATGAAGATGTACCTGAGACTGGGTAATTTATAAAGGAAAGAGGTTTAATTGACTCACAGTTTCCCATGGCTGGGGAGGCCCCACAATCACGGAGGAAGGCGAAAGAGGAGCAAAGTCACATCTTACATGGCAGCAGAGAAGAGTGTGCGTGCAGGGGAGCTCCCCTTTATAAAACCATCAGATTTCATGAGACTGATTCACTATCACGAGACTAGCATGGGAAAGACCTGCCGCCATGATTCAGTTACCTCCCACCGGGTCCCTCTGATGACGTGGGAATTATGGGAGCTACAATTCAAGATGAGATTTGGGTGGGGACACAGCCAAACCATTATCACTGAGAGAGGGAAGGCTGAGAGTGAGGGTGACAGTTTATTACGGTGACTTTTAGTGTCACCAAGAAAAATGATGGAGTTTTCCTAAACACCACTTAGGTGTTTAGGAAACTACTACTAAAACTGACATCTATACAGTAGCGTTAAGGAGCAGCAGAATTACTTTGCATATTTATTTTACCTCAGCTTTTTATATTTCTCTTTTTTATGATGTTTCGTAATAGTATATGTTTTAGCGGTGCCTGCTCAATTTTTTCTTATTTTTAAATAAGACTGAATGGTCAAAAAAGTTTGGGGACTCCTGGTGTGTACACTAAGAATGGTCACTGAAACTTTCGGCATTCCCATGCCAGAGCCTTTCCTTCTTTGCCCCATCAAGCATGGTTGCTGTGTTTTCCTTCTAGCCAGTGAAACTGGGTGATGGCCGGATGCATAGCCCTGTTTGAAAGCAGGTGTGTCCCTGAGACAGTAACCTTTGTAGCCCAGGTACCCTGTGGGCGACATGCAAAATGAGATATGGCACTGGACTTCGCGTCGAGTCATGAGTTCTGTTTTTGCTTATTTTTGTTGTTTGCAACTCATTCCATCCTTTCATTCTCCTCTCTTGATGAATGGGAAGCAAGGCAGATGGCCACAGCTGCCCTCCCTCTAGCATCCAGTAAGAAGAAAGCCACATCTTGGGGGACGTCCAGGTTCATAGCCAGACTCCCTTACTTGTTTCTGGGTCTCATGGAGTTAATAACTCTCAGTTTGGTCCCTGGTTCGCTGCTGTCTCGGCCGCCCCTTTGCCGGGTTGTGTCTAGGTTGTAGCATTTTGCTGTGCTCACATTAAGGGGCCAGGTTTTGTCTTAGAACGGCCCACGCAGACCTCTTATTCCTTTGTATTTGGTTGTCCTTTTAGATGCGTTGATTGAGCTTGGTGAAGCAATGTTAATGAATTTCCTTTTTGGTCCCTCAAGGAAGAAAGGCCAAGGATATTATAAATGCAGCTCGGGAAAGCCTCGCGAAGATGATAGGGGGGAAACCTCAAGATATAATCTTCACTTCCGGGGGCACTGAGGTAAAGCTTCTGAACACACTCACATTCTGTTAACTGTAAGTTATAATAAAATACACAGAAAGTGATTTCCTTTTGCTACATTTTCATTTAAAGAAAGAGTAGGCCAAGTGTGGTGGCTCATGCCTGTAATCCCAGTACTTTGGGAGGCCAAGGCAGGAGGGTTGGTTGAGCCCAGGAGTTTGCGACCTCCCTGAGCAACATAGGGAAAGTCCATCTCTACAAAAAAAAAAAAAATTAGCTGGGCGTGGTGGTGTACACCTGTAGTCCCAGCTACTAGGGAAGCTGAGGTGGCAGAATCATTTGAACCCAGGAATTCAAGGCTGCAGTGAGCTATGATCACGCTGTTGCACTCCATCCTGGGCAAGAGAGTGAGACCCTGTCTCAGAAAGAAAGAGAGTAATGTGTGGTCTTGCTATATTGCATACTAGCTCGAGATAATTAGTATATATCCTTTAAGTAAATTCCAGGTAGCCGATAGGATTTTTGTAATGTAATATGTAAAGTAACCTGCTTTGCATTGTTATTTCCATAAAGGTTTCCCCGTCATTGTTGCCCTGGAATCAGTCCTTTTCATCCCTAATTGATAGATATTTAAGGACTTTCCAAGGTTTTGCTGTAACAAACAGTGCTGCACTTAATAAATAACCTTTATACACACTATTTTGTTTCACTGTGAATGTAGCTGTAGGAAAAAGTCCAAGAACTAGAATTGCTGGGTCACGGGGCTCATTTGGTAGATGTGATAAATGGCCCACAGTAGAGGTTGTACCAATTTATACTCCCACCAATAGTGGGTGGCTGGACAAAATACTCTTTATGGCAGATTTATAAAATTTAAAAATTCATAATATTCTATGCATATAACCACACTGCACTTATACCAATACATTTATATAAATTCTTAAAAATTAATAATATTGCTTAACTATAAAACAGACATAATTGACTGGAATCTCATGTTTTTGAATGTTGGAAAACCCCAAATCTTTCAAAAGGTCCCACTCAGGAAGTTGAATTTCTTTGAAGCTTTTTTGATGTTAGCCACAAAAGAAATTAAGTAACAGAAATTGTTGCTCTGACCCTTACCTCAGCACAGTTTTTGTAAATGCTTTTTTTGCTGTATCTCTGCAGTCAAATAATTTAGTAATCCATTCTGTGGTGAAACATTTCCACGCAAACCAGACCTCAAAGGGACACACAGGTGGGCACCACAGCCCAGTGAAGGGGGCCAAGCCCCATTTCATTACTTCCTCGGTGGAACACGACTCCATCCGGCTGCCCCTGGAGCACCTGGTGGAAGAACAAGTGGCAGGTGAGTGAGTGCAGGGTGGCCCTGGGACCAGCCTGCTGAGCTCCAGCTGCGAGGCGGGAAGTGGCCTGCGAGCAGAGCCCGGGATCCGCTGCAGAGATGTAGATTCAGTGTGCCACTCACTGTAACTCACTGGTTCTGATGAGGAGGCAGGCCCTGGCACCTTGGTGAATAGTTGCCCCTCACTGCACTGGGCTCCCTGGCTGCCCCTCTCGGTGCAGAGGCCAGCTGCCACAAGGGGGTTGGCAAGTGTGGCCAAACTTTCCCTTAGGAAGTTCATTGAGAATGAATATGTAGAACTAGCCATTTGTATAACTGAGTGATATTTGAAACTTGCATGTAATAAATATTTAACCTTTAAATAGTACGCCTGCAAATAGGCAAATGATGCTTGTCATTATTTGGTTTTCATCATAAAATCTCAGCTCCCACTCTCCTCTCACATGAAGGAAAAGGATCAAATAGACCTAAACTTCAGGTGTGAAGCCTGGAATAAGCGAGCTGCCGCACCTGATCTCAGCACCCATGACGCGAGGCCTCCTGCTATGTGTGGAGAAGCGGAGTGAGGTGGTGCCCAAGTGCGGCAGGAGGCGCAGGGGCCCTCAGGGAGGAGGAGGCTCGCTGCAGCAGCAGTGGCCTTGTGGCTGTCACACAGCACGGACAGAGCCACAGAGTCATAGGAAGTCCCAAAAGGGAGTGACATGTTCACCAGGTGTAGATCATTAACTTGTAAAAATGGGGCAGCCAATTAATCAACACTATCCTTGAGACAGATTTTCTTCTCAACCTGAGTTTTCTTGTGTAATCTGTCTGGAAACCTGCAGGTGAATAAAAAGAAAATATTTTTATTTTAAAGATTAAGGGACTGTGGCCAAACTGCTTGGTTTGACTATGAAGCCTTTTTTGAAAAAAAAATTTTTTTGGCTGGGCGCAGTGGCTCAAGCCTTGTAATCCTAGCACTTTGGGAGGTGGAGGCGGGTGGATCACTTGAGGTCAGGAGTTCGAGACCAGCCTGGCCAACATGGTGAAACCCCATCTCTACTAAAAATACAAAAATTAGCCAGTCATGGTGGTACGTGCCTGTAGTTCCAGCTTCTGGGGAGGTTGAGGCAGGAGAATCACTTGGATCCTGGAGATGGAGATTGCTGTGAGCCAAGATCCATTGTACTCCAGCCTGGGAGACAGCAAGACTCCATCTCAGGGGAAAAAAAAATTTATAACATTCTGTTTGTGGTCTTACTTGAATGCTTGCCCGTAGGTAAACATATTCACATGAAGGATTTAGATCCCAAGATTTAATTTTTTGCCACTTAAAAAAATCTAATTTTCTTATTTAAGTACTGTTAGTTTTTGGTACCTTTTTTTTTTTTTCTTTGAGATGGAGTCTCACTCTGTTGCCCAGGCTGATGCATAGTGGTGTGATCTCAGTTCACTGCAGCCCCTGCCTCCCAGGTTCAAGCAATTCTCCTGCTTCAGCCTCCTGAGTAGCTGGGATTACAGGCACACGCCACCATGCCCGGCTGATTTTTATATTTTTAAGAGAGATGGGGTTTCACCATGTTGACCAGGCTGCTCTTGAACTCCTGACCTCAGGTAATCTGCCTGCCTTGGCCTCCCAAAGTGCTGGGATTACAGGTGTGAGCCACCTGAGCCCGGCCAGAGCCCAGCCTCTGGTACCTTTTTTTCCCTATCTTACCAATACAGAGAAGGGCAACTTGGTATACATCATTATTAGTTACTGTTGTAATTAATTAACCTTTTGTTTAAAATTGTACAATTTAAAAAATGTATAGACATGCATGTGATGGAAATAGTTAAAATATTATAGAAAAGTATAAAGTAAAAAGTCTGCCAGGGCACGGTGGCTCACGCCTGTCATCCCGGCACTTTGGGAGGCTGAGGCGGACAGATCACTTGAGGTCAGGAATTTGAGACCAGCCTGGCCAACATAGCAACCCCGTCTCTACTAAAAATACAAAAAAAATTTAGCCGGGCGTGGTGGTGGGCACCTATAATCCCGGCTACTCGGGAGGCTAAGGAGGAGAAGAATCACTTGAACCTGAGAGGGAGAGGTTGCAGTGAGCCAAAATCGTGCCACTGCACTGCAGCCTGGGCGACAGGGTGAGACACTGTCTCCAAAACAAAAAAACAAAAGTCATTCTCCTGCTGCCCCTAAACCTCTGCAGCAGCAACCACTGTTACAGTTTGCCTTGAGTTCTTCTTGTGGATATTATCATTTTAACCACTTCCAGTTTAAGCTAAATAACTTAAAAACCTAACCCCCAGTTCTTGGTTTATCAACACAAGCATCCTCAATGTAAAAATAAGGACTTGGACCTTCATAAGCCTTCCTCGCACTCCCTCTGTCTCCACACATCCCAGTGGATTTCTTGTATATCGGCTTTAATGAGCTATCATTCATCCACTTAAAGTGTACAGTTCAGCAGTTTTTAGTGTGCTCACCAGGTTGTGCAGCCATCACCACTATATTTTTCAGTTATAGAAAATTTTTCTATAATTTTCAGTTATAGAAAATTCTCGCCAGCCCCAAAAGAAACCTTGTACCAGTTAACTGTAAATCTTCATTTCCCTCAACTCTAGGCAACCACTCATCTACTTTCTGTCTCTACAGATTTCCCTATTCTAGACTCCCCTATGAATGGAATCTTATAACGTGCTCTTTTTGACGGGCTTCTTCCATTTAACATAATGTTTTCAAGGTTCACTCATGTTGTAACATGTATTTAATTCATTTTCTACAGATGAACAACATTTCATTGTCTATCTGTACCACATTTGATTTGTCTGTCAGTTGATAGACATTTAGGTTGTTTCCATTTGTTGGCTGTTACGACTAATGTGACATTTGTGCGTATGTTTTAGTGTATTGGTATGTTCTTATTTCTTTTGGGTTTATACTTGAGTGAGATTGCTGGGTCATGCGGTAACTATCTGACAAATGTTAGGTAACTGTTTAACCTTAAGCTTTGTTTTCCAAAGTAGCCACACCACTTAGTACTCCTATTTGCAGTGTCACAGGGTTCCAATTCCTCCATGTCTTTGCTGACATTTGTTATCTGTCTTTTTGATTATTGCCAGCCTAGTAGGTGTAAAGTGGTATCTCATTTTGGTTTTGATTTACAATTCCCTGATGGCCAGTAGTGTTGAGCATCTTTCATGTACTCCTTGGCCATTTGTATATATCTTCTTTGGAAAAATGTCTATTAAAGTCCTTGCTCCTATTTTAATTGGATGACTTGTCTTTTTATTGAGTTGTAAGAGTTCTTTATATATGCTTGATACAAGTCCCTTGTCAGATAGATGATTTGTAAATATTTTCTCTCATTCTGTGGGTTTGCTCTTGCTCTCATGGTATCCTTTGAAGAACAGAAGCTTTTCATTTTGATGAAGTCTATTTTTGTTGTTGTTGTTGTTCCTTGTGTCATGTCTAAGAAGATTTTGTCCTACCCAAGGTCATGAAAATGTACTCATATTTTCTTCTAAGAGTTTTATAGTTTTAGCTCTTACATTTAAATCTGTGGTACATTTTGAGTTAATTTTGTGTGTGGTGTGAGGGAGGAGTCCAAATTTACTTTTTTTGCATGTGGACATCCAGTTGTTCCAGCACATTTGTTGAAAAGACTCTTCTTCCATGGATGGTCTTGGCACCCTTATTGAAAATCAGTTGACCGTAATATGTGAGGGTTTATTTCTTGACTGTCAACTCTATTCCATTTACCTGTATTTCTGTTCTTAGATTGGTACCAAACTGTTATGATTACTGTAGTTTGTAGTAAGTTTTGAAACAGGAAAGTAGGAGTTCTCCAAATTTGTTATTTTTTAATATTGTTTTGGCTATTCTGCATCTGTTGACATCTCAAAAGAATTTTAGGATCAGCTTGTTAAATTCTGCAAAAATCTAGCTAGGAGTTTGATAGGGATTGAATTGAATCTGTAGATGAATTTGGTCAGTATTGCTACCATAACAATATTGTTTTCCAATCCATGAACATGTGATGTCTTTATATTTACTTTAATTTCTTCCAGCAATTTTTGCAGTTTTCAGGATTAAGTTTTTGCACTTCTGTTAAATTTATCCTTAAGTGTTTTATTCTCTTGATACTATTGTAGATGGAATTGTTTTCTTATTTCATTTTTGGATTGTTCATTGCTAATGTATGTAAATGTAGTTGACCCTTGAACAACATGGGTTTGAACTCTGTGGGTCTACTTATATGTGGATTTTCTCCTATCTCTACTGTCTCTGTGACATCAAGATCAACCCCTCTTCTTCTTCCTCCTCCTCAGCCTACTCAATGTGAAGATGATGAAGATGAAGACCTTTATGATGATCTGCTTCCACTTAATTAATAGTAAATATATTTTTATTCCTTATGATTTTCTTAGTATTTTTTCTCTAGCTTACTTTATTGTGAGAATATAGCATATAATATATAATATACAAAATATGTGTTAATCAACTGCTTACGTTATCAGTAAGGCTTCTAGTCAACAGTAGGTTATTTGTTGTTAAGTTTGCAGGGAGCTGGCTGGGTGTGGTGTCTCACATCTGTAATCCCAGCAGTTTGGGAGGTGAAGCGGGGAACGGATCACTTGAGGTCAGGAGTTCGAGACCAGCTTGACCAACATGGCAAAACCCCATCTCTACTAAATATACAAAATTAGCCATGAGTGGTGGCACATACCTGTAATCCCAGCTACTTGGGAGGCTGAGGCAGGAGAATCACTTGAACCCGGAAGGCGGAGGCTGTAGTGAACTGAGATGGTGTCACCACACTCCAGCCTGAGCAACAGAGCAAGACTCCATCTCAAAAAAAAAAAAAAGTTTTTGGGGAGTCAAAAGTTAGACACAAATTTTCGACTACCTGAGGGGTCCACATCCCTAACCCTCACATTGTTCAAGGGTCAACTGTACAGTTGAGTTTGTATGTTACTCTTGTGTTCTGCAACTTTGCTGAATTTATTAGTTTTAATTGTTAGTTTAGTTTAGTTTAGTTTTGTTTTTTTGAGGCACTTTCGCTCTTGTTGTCCAGGCTGGAGTGCAATGGAGTGATCTTGGCTGACTGCAACCTCTGCCTCCTGGGTTCAAGCGATTCTCCTGCCTCAGCCTCCCAAGTAGCTGGGATTATAAGCATGTGCCACCATGCCCGGCTAATTTTGTATTTTTAGTAGAGATGGGGTTTCACCATGTTGGTCAGGCTGGTCTTGAACTCCTGACCTCAGGTGATCCCCCCGACTTTGGCCTCTCAAAGTGCTGGGATTATAGGCGTGAGCCACCATGCGTGGCCTAATTGTTAGTTTCAGTTGGTTTTTTAATGGATTCCTGAGGATTTTCTATATAGAGGGTCATATCATCTACAGCTAGAGATAGTTTTACTTCTTGTTGTCCAACTTGTATTTCTTTAATTTTATTTTCTTGTCTAATTGCCTTGACTAGGACCTCCTGTACAATGTTGAATAGAAGTGGCCAAGGTGGATATCCTTATCTTGCTAGTGATTGTAAGGGAAGGCATTCATTCTTTCATAATTTCATATAATGTTAGCTGTGGGTTTTTTATAGATGGCCTTTATCAGGATGAGGAAGTTCCCTTCTGTGCTTGGTTTGTTGGGTGTTTTTATCATGAAAGGGGTGTTGGATTTTGTTAAATCCATTTATTGAGATGATCATTTATTGAGATGATCATGTGGGTTTTTGTTCTTTATTCTGTTTGTAATGTTGTATTACCTTAACTAATTTTTGGATGTTAAACCATTTAATCCTTTTCATATGTTTTTAGATTTGGTTCACTAGTATTTTGCTGAAGATTTTTCTGTCAATATTCATAAGAGGTATTAGTCTGTAGTTTTCTTGTGGTGTCTTTGTCTAGTTTAGTGTCAGGGTAAAATTTGCCCCATATAAATCATGGGAAGTGTTCCCTCCTGTTCTGTTTTTTGGAAGGGTTTGTGAAGACTTGGTTTTAATTCATCTTTAAATATTTGATAGAGTTTGCCAATGACAACATCTGGGCCTGGGCTTCTCTTTGTGGAGAATTTTTAAGTTACTGATTCAGTCTCTTTACTTTTTATAGGTTTGTTCAGGCTCTATCTCTTTTGAGTCATTTTCAGTTGTTTGTGTCCTTCTAGGAATTTGTGCATTTCATTTGTTATCTAATTTTATTGGCATACCATTGTTTATAGTAGTCTCTGGTAATCTTTTTTTATTTCTGTAAGATTTATAGATCCCTTTCATTCATGATTTTAGTAATTTTATTCTTTTTCTCTGTCTTGTTCAATTTAGCTAAAGATTTATCTTTTTAAAAACTCTTTTTAAAGAACTAACTTTTGATTTTCCTGTGTTATTTTTGTAGTCTCTATTTTATTGACTTCTACACTAACCTTTATTAACCCATTTATGCCGGAGGTTGCAAGTTTTTTTGTGTGAAAAATCAGACCTTGGCAATAACCTTGAGCAGTAGGATATAAATAACTCCCACAAGCTTAGCGTTCCAATAATGGAACACCAGGCATAAATGGGTTCTTTCTTTCTACTTGTTTTAGGTTTGATTTGTTCCTTTTTTTTTTTTTTTTTACAGTGTCTTAAGGTGGAAGATTAGTTATGATTTGTATTTTTTTTTTTTTTGAGACAGAGTCTTATTGCCCAGGCTGAAGTACGGTGACACAATCTCAGCTTACTGCAACCTCCACCTCCCAGATTTTAGCAGTTCTTGTGCCTCAACCTCCCAAGTAACTGGGATTACAGACATGCACCACCACATCTGGCTAATTTTTGTACTTTTAATAGAGACGGGGTTTTGCCATGTTGGCTGGGCTTGTCTCGAACTCCTGAACTCAAGTGACCCACCCACCTTGGCCTCCAAAAGTGCTGGGATTACAGGTGTGAGCCACCACACCCAGACGTTTTTTCTTTTTTAATGTAGGCATTTAAAGACATAAATTTCCCTCTAAGCACTGCTTTAACTACATTCCACATGTTTTAGTATGTTGTGTCTTCATTTTCATTCATCTCAAAGTATTTTCTAGTCTCCCTTGTGGTTTTTTTTTTCTATGACCCATTAGATATTTAAGAGTGTATTGTTCTGCGGAAGGCCGCAGGGTCCTCTGCCTAGGAAAACCAGAGACCTTTGTTCACTTGTTTATCTGCTGACCTTCCCTCCACTATTGTCCCATGACCCTGCCAAATCCCCCTCGGTGAGAAACACCCAAGAATTATCAATAAAAAAATAAATTAAAAAAAAAAAAAAAAGAGTGTATTGTTTAATTTCCATATGTTTTTTAATTTCTAAGATTTCTTTCTGCTAATGATTTCTAATTTTCTTCCATAAGAGCTAGAAAATACTTTGATTTAAATTCTTTAATTTTTTTTATTTTGTGGCCTAGGATGTATGTAGACATATATCCTAGAGTATATGTCAAGTGCACTGGAGGATAATGTATATTCTGCTGTTGTTGGGTGGAGTGTCTTGTAGATGTCTGTTAGGTCTACTTAATTTGTAGTGTTATTCAAGTCTTCTGTTCCCTTGTTAAAATTCTGCCTAGTTGTTGTATCCATTATTGAAAATGTGATTTTGAATGATCCCAGTATTATTAATCAGTGGTCTGATTAATAGTTGATCACACTATTAATCAGTTTCTCCCTTCAAACCTGTCAGTTTTTGCTTCGTGTATTTTGGTGCTCTATTGTTAGGTGCACATACATTTATATTTGTTATATATTATGGATGAACTGGTTCTTTTATCATTATAAAATGTCCAACTATATTGCTGGTAACTTTTTAAATCCCTTTTATTTTATGTAAGTATAGTCATTCCAACTGTCTTATGGTTGCTGCTAGCATAAATATCTTTTTCCATCCTTTTACTTTTAATCCATTTATGTCTTTAAATCTGACATGTTGTAATACACTGTTAGAGACATATTGTGGCTATAAGATTAATGATAGCCGTAAGGCCCATGCAAACATCTTGCAGGGCTGACACTATGTGTCAATTAGCAGTATGATGCAACATGGTCTAGGGATTTCCAACCCTGGCTTGGGAATTTCCAGGAGGTAAGACCACCTCAGCATAGATGGAACTCTCATAAACCATAAATACAAAGCTTTCCCTTACCAAAATAGCTTAACTCCCTTATGGAAGAAAAACCTGGTAACTGACCTGGACTAAATACAAGATAAGAAAGGGGAAGAATCCCCAAAACTCTGAGAATGTTCTCTGGACAGAGACTTTCCCGGCCAGGCAGTCATCTGATACCTGAATGTATCTGACCCTTGCCACCTGCCTGCTCCTGCTAGCTATCTTGTAAGAGCACTGCCAGAATAAACTGCTTGAACATCACACAGCATCTAAGACTTATCTTTGATGTGAATAATAGGAAAAGGGAAAAGTCACCTTTGGGGAAGGTTAACTAGGCCCAGCCCAAGATCCCTGAACAAGACACATGGGTCTCCTGTAGATTCTCTTTTTTTTTTTTTTTTTAGACGGAATCTCGCTCTGTTGCCCAGGCTATGGAGTGCAGTGGCACGATCTTGGCTCACTGCCACCTACGCCTCCCAGGTTCAAGCTATTCTCCTGCCTCAGCCTCCCGAGTAGCTGGTACTACAGGCACCTGCCACCATGGCTGGCTAATTTTTGTATTTTTAGTAGAGACGGGGTTTCACCATGTTGGCCAGGCTGACCTTGAACTCCTGATCTCAGGTGATCCATCTACCTTGGCCTCCCAAAGTGCTAGGATTACAGGCTTGAGCCACTGCACCCGGCCAGTTCTTTTTAAATCTAGTCTGACAGCCTCTGCCTTTTTATTAGATTGTTTAATCATTCACACTTAATGTTACTATTGACATAGTTGGAGTACCACCTATTTTCACTTTTTGTTTCCTAGATGTCTCATATATTTTTTGTTCTCTTTTCCCCCTTTACCGTTTTCTTTTGCATTAACGAATATTTTCTAATTTAACATCAAAATTCTTTAGTGCTTTTTTCACTTTTTAAATTAGTTATTTCCTTAGTGGTTGTCAAGGGCTTACTATTTATGTATAAACTTACCAGTATATACTTCAAATTTATACTAATTTAATTCCAGTAAGATGTAGAAATGTTACTCCTATACAGTTCTGTTCCTTCTTCTTTTTTGTGCTTTTATTGTTATGGGTATTACATCTATATATGTTACAAACTCAACAGTGCATTGTTACAAATATCTTTTTTTTTTTTTTTTGGAGACAGAGTCTTGCTCTGTCACCCAAGCTGGAGTGCAGTGGTGCAATCTTGGCTCACTGCAACCTCCACCTTCCAGGTTCAAGTGATTCTCATGCCTCAGCCTCCCAAGCAGCTGGAATTACAGGCGTGTGCAATCAGGCCCATCTAATTGTTGTATTTTTAGTAGAAACAGGGTTTCTCCATGTTGGCCAGGCTGATCTTGAACTCCTGGCCTCAAGTGATCTGCCCACCTTGGCCTCCCAAAATGCTGGGATTACAGGCGTGAGCCACTGCAGCCAGCCACAAATATCATTGTAGTTAATTTCCTGTCTTTTCTTTCTTTCCTTCCTTCCTTCTTTCTTTCTTTCTTTCTTTTTCTTTTTTTTTTTTTTTTTTTTTTTTTTGACAAGATTCCACCCTGTCACCCAGGCTGGAGTTTGGTGTCACAATCACAACTCACTACAGCCTCAACCTCCCAGGCTCAAGTGATCCTTCCACCTCAGCTGCCCTAGTAGCTGGGACTACAGGCATATCCCATCGCACTGGCTAATTTTTTATTTTTTGTGCAGATAAGGTGTCCTTATGTTGCCCAGGCTGGTCTTGAACTCCTGGGCTCAAGTGATCCTCCTGCCTTGGCCTCCCAAAGTGCTTACAGGCATGAGCCAGTGCACCTGGCCAATTTCATATCTTTTAAGGAAGCTAAGGGAAGAAAGAGCAAGTATATGTTTATAGATTTTGCTTGAGTAATCTTCTTAGTTGCCTTTTCACATTATCTTCATTTGTTCCATGGATCTGAATTATCATCTGGTGTCCTTTCCTTAATAGACAATTCTGCTCCCTCCCACCTCCTTTGTGCTATTATGAAATATTGTGTGTTATAGCCCTAACAAAATAATTATATACATGTTATTTTATACAGTTGCTTTTAAATCAGTTAAGAGAAGCAATATACAGTTACACTGCCCTTTTTTTCCTTTACTTTTTTGAGACGGAATCTCTTTTGCTGATTGCGAGATAGTTTCTCTGTCTTTGGCTTTCAACATTTTCATTATCATGTGTCTGGGAGTGAATGTCTTTGTGTTTTATCCCACCCAGAATTCACTGAGCCTCTTAGGTATGTAGATTAGTGTTTTCCATTACATTTGAGATGTTTTCAGCCATTATTTTTCAGAGACATTTTTCTGCCCCTTTCTCTTGCTCCTGCCCTTCTGCTACTCCTGTTTTCCCTATTTGGTGCCTTATGGTGTCCCACATTTCTCTGAGGCTCTGTTTATCTTTCTCATGTTTTTCCTGTCTTATATTTGGATTTCGTAATCTCTGTAAATCTACCTTCATGTTGACTAAATGTATTTTCTGCCAGTTCCAATATACTCTGGAGCCCCTCCAGTGAATTCTTCATATCGGTTGTACTTTCCAACTCCAGGATTTCCTTTTGGTTCTTTTTCATAATTTCTCTCTTGTTTATCTTGAGGACTCTCTATTTGATGAGCCATTGTCATCATACTTTTCTTTATCTCTTTAAGTACAGTCATAGGCAGTTTTTATCACTTGCCTTTTTTCCTGCTTTTCCACACACTGAAGATACCAGTTAGAATTTTTTTAGTTTTCCTGTTCCTGGGATTGCTTCTATGTGATCTAGAATCAGTCATTTACCTGTTCATCCTGGTTTTTCCTCAGGCTTGGGGATCCTGGATTGTTCCTGTGGATGGATGAAGCATTTCGTTGTTTGATGTAGGGGCTAGGGATGGCTCATCTCCAGTTCTCAATGCGTTTCCCCAGGAGGTGTCTCCCAGGAAAGGAAGGCCCACGGTGGGCTCTGCATAAGGTGGTGGCAGCAGAGCCCGGCAAGCCGGGTGGACCCCCCCAACTTTTCTCGTGACTTCCCTGGACGGAGCTGCCTTTGCTTTGCTCCTCTGAGTTCCCTAGCAGATGCCTCAAGCTCCTCCCCCTTTTCTAGATCCTTCCCCCATCCTGGGAGCCCACCTTGTGCCCGCCCTCTCTGGGCGTGTGGTGCTGTCTCAGTCTGAGGTCAGCACCTCTGCCGCTGACTTGGTGTACGGGAGCAGGGCGTGTTCGGACATTGGGAAGCTGACCTCTGCCGGCCTCGGTAGCTGGCCCGTGCCCTGCGCTTCCCGCTGTCCACCCTGAACTTGGGTGGCCACTGGATACTTTCAGATTGGCCTTTAAGTGTTCTTTTCCCTGTTAATCTAATGCCATCATCTTGCTACATTTTAGGGACTCCTCAAAATTCCTAGTCCACATACCCCCTCCCACCCCCTTTTATTTGAGACAGTGTGTTACTGTGTCACCCAGGCTGGAGTGCAGTGGTGTGATCTCCCTATGTTGCCCAGGCTGGTCTTGAACCCCTGGGCTCAAGCAGTCCACCCACCTCGGCCTTCCAAAGTGAGCCACTGCGCCTGGCCAGATACCCTTTGTTGGTGTTGTTTTGATTTGATTCTTAGTCGGAGAAGTAGCTGTTTTCTCTTTCATTTCAGTAGGATCCTGAGTGGGCAGTGGATACATTTGTTTTTCACCATTTTAAACTCAAAGCACTAAAGCTAAACAATGTAGTCCCCTCTGCTCATTTTCCATCTGCAGTAGTGAGACTCTCAGTGCCCGGGGCAGTCAGCGCCTGGCGCGTAGGAGCGGCTTCATCAGCACTGGCTCGGTGCCAAATGCATGGCAGTGAAGTGCTGTGCACTAGGACCCTCCCCAAAAGCAAGAGCCTGCATCCCTGTTGCCTCTTCCTCTTCCGTCTCCGTAGAAGCAGAAAGGCACACAGCTTCCACGACACAGATTCACTGACTGCAGCCGCGTTAAAGACACGTTCACACTGAAGCACCTGACAGTGACTCTGGGCCAGTGATGATGGGCGGCTTATATTCTTCTTTATAGTCTTCTGAACTTGGACAACAATTTACTTTTATAGTTGTAGAAAACTGTTAAGCTCTGTTGGAACGCAGTTTTGAGAGGAATCAATTTGTGCAGCTCAGTTCGGTACTCATGTTTGTTTCCCAGCGGTCACCTTTGTCCCGGTGTCCAAGGTGAGCGGGCAGGCAGAGGTGGACGACATCCTCGCGGCAGTCCGCCCGACCACACGCCTCGTGACCATCATGCTGGCCAACAATGAGACTGGCATTGTCATGGTGAGTCGGCCTTTGTTTCTCTTTAAGGAGAGCTCATGGGGAAGAACAGCAGCTTAGACTCATGGCGTTTCAGGTTTCCCAGCTCTGGCCTCTCCCGTTTCTCTGTTCACTTTGATAACATTTGGCCTGCGCTCACTACTCCTGATTTCTGTCATTCAGTTTTCATCAGATCGGAGCAACATACTCAACTGTTTCCTTTCCCCGTCAGCCTGTCCCTGAAATCAGTCAGCGCATTAAAGCCCTGAACCAGGAACGGGTGGCAGCTGGGCTACCTCCCATCCTCGTGCACACGGATGCTGCACAGGCCTTGGGGAAGCAGCGCGTGGATGTGGAGGACCTGGGCGTGGACTTCCTTACAATCGTGGGGCACAAGGTAAGTCTGCAGAGGCTTCCTGCCTCTGTGGGCAGAGCCTACTGCGCAGGTGGCTGTTTACTCCTCGGTCCGTAAGCCTCACTGCCCACCGTGAGCCAGGCCTTGGGGGCACTGCGAGGAGCAACGTGGGATCCTTGTCCTCAGGAGCTTTAAGAGGGGAGCCCCACATGGCCAGCATGCCAGGACGAATGCCATGGCAGGGATGATGGGGGGGGTGCCCAGCCCACATGGGGCAGGGTGGGGGCGGTAGACCAAGCTAGGGGAGGAGACGTCGAGATCTCAGGGAGAGTAAGGCAGGGGGTTCGGCCAGGCAGCGAGTGTCTCTGCAGCGGACAGGGCATCTGCAGAGGGTGTGGGGTGGAAGATGTAGGGACAGGAAATCGTTGCTTTCTCTAATGTGATTTCAGATGCGGCTCCTCAGCAAAACCTTTGCAGCTATCTTTAAGGTGGGAGTATGGGGAAAATAGTTAACAGTGAAGACCCTTCTGAAAATTTTGCACATCTTTCTGGCAGCTTACCAGGGCCCGAGATATTTTTAGTACTCAATTTTGAAGCACAGTCCTCAGCTGGTTTCCAAAGGAGTGTCTATGCTGGCCTGACACTGGCACTCCAGAGTTCTGCATTGTGTCAGTTGGAAACATGGAATCATTTGCAGGAAAAGCCCTGGCCAACCGCTGGTTCCAACCCCTCTCTATTTATGCATTCTCTTTCTTTTTTTTTTTTTTAAACCTGTGATTCATATGATTTGAGATCCTTTTACAAATTCTATCACATGATGCGCAGGGGAGAGCTGCCTGCCACAGAGCTGAGCACGAGAGTCTAGCACCTGCGCTGCCTCCTAGGTTGGGGTTCCACCCTGCCCCGAAGGCTTTTGTGACTCTGCGTGTCAAAAGGGGTGGCACTCAGAGGCGCCACAAGGAAGCAGCAGGACTATGCATTGCAGAGCATTTCTCCTGTGTGCCCCTAAGCACTTAGCATGTATACAGAGTAGGTCCTTGGAAAGTTCTTGTTGAATAAATGACCAACTTTTCCTTCCAGTTTTATGGTCCCAGGATTGGCGCACTTTATATACGAGGACTTGGTGAATTTACCCCTCTCTACCCTATGCTATTTGGAGGTGGACAAGAACGGAATTTCAGGCCAGGGTAAGGCAGAAAGTTAACAAAGTCTCTGACCTACTGACCGTGTCATTTGTAGAGCAGTGACATTGTAAAGAAACATGGCGCTGTTTCTTGGTCTCGTGGAGGCTCTGTAGCATGTCCACACTGCTGCTGTGTCAGAACTGGCTCCACTGATTGATTTTACACTGAGGGCTCACAGGACCTGCAGTCTCTTTGGGAATGATTGAAAGCAATGAAGGAAATCTCTGTTTCTTTTAACTGCTCCAATGCATCCAATTCCCCTTGTAATTTTGGCCCAGCCCACTGAAGAGAACTGTTGGACCCTTCATGGCTGAGGCCTGCTGCTGTTTTAACTTCGGGGATCAGCAGGACCACACAGAAGCACTGGTCTCCTTTCTGATAGCTCCTGTGTCCCCTCTATGTATAGTGACGTGTTAACTGGGAAATTAGTTGTTGCCCCCACCACACCTTTTGTTAGAAACTACTTAACAAGAGAGAGAAACAGGAACAGCATGGTGGTGAGTTCCTGGGTTTTCTTTTCACCTTGTGTATCCCACACTTAGTGCTGAAGAAGCCGGCAAACCTGATATGCTAGTAAGGGCAGACACAAAAATGCCCCAACCAAAGCCTGTCCTCTCTAGCCAGTGGACCAGGAAAGGAATGGCCTAGCAAGACAGAAAACTTTGAGACAACACTTGCTTTACTCCAGCCAGATGCTACAGGGGAAATTGTGCTGCCACGCCTATCCACACCTGCAAAGATGGAGTGGGAAACCCAGACTTCCACCAATACAGGCTGTAACAAGGTATCCCACACCACCACCGGGTGTGTCAAGAAGGCCAGGTAGAGAACCGGGACTTAGGCACTCCCACCATGGTGTCAGTAGAGACCATATCGGGATCTTGGACCCACACCTGTCAGTCACAGGGAGCGTCCTCCCATTGGGTGTCAACATCAGCCAAGTAAAAAATCTAGATGTTGGCCAGGCACAGGCTCATGCCTGTAATCCCAGCACTTTGGGAGGCTGAAGTGGGCAGATCACTTGGGGTCAGGAGTTTGAGAGCAGCCTGGCCGAGATGGTAAAACCTTATCTCTACTAAAAATATAAAAATTAGCCAGGTGTGGTGGCGCATGCCTGTAATCCCAGCTACTTGGGAAGCTGAGGCAGGAGAATTGCTTGAACCCGGGAGGCTGAGGTTGCAGTGATCCGAGATGGCACCACTGCACTTCAGTCTGGGTGACAGAACAAGACTCTGTCTCAAAAAAAAAAAAAAAAAAAAAAAGCCCAGCACGGTGGCTCACTCCTGTAATCCCAGCACTTTGGGAGGCCGAGGCGGGTGGATCACAAGGTCAGGAGATCGAGACCATCCTGGCTAATATGGTGAAACCCCATCTCTACTAAAAGTACGAAAAATTAGCCAGGCGTGGTGGTGTGTTCCTGTAATCCCAGCTACTCGGGAGGCTAAGGCAGGAGAATCATTTGAACCCGGGAGGCGGAGGTTGCACTGAGTCGAGATCGCACCACTGCATTCCAGCCTGGGTGACAGAGAGAGACTCCATCTCAAAAAAAAAAAAAAAAAAGAAACCTAGACTTCTACTTCCACTTGGCAGTGATGGTGGCATACCCCTTCTCCTGCCAGCACAACGTCAGAAAATGGCAGCCCAAACAGAAAGATTGAATAAGATCCAGGTTCTCATAAAGTAAGGCAAAAATGTCCAGGTTTCAAGTGAAAATCATTCATCATACCAAGAACTAGAAAGATTTCAAATTGAATGAACAATAATAATCAATATACGCCTGCACTAAGATGATGATGTTAAAATTATCTAACAAATATTTTACAGCAGACACAGTAAAAATGCTTCAATGAGAAATTGTGAACACCCTTGAAACAAGTGAAACAAAGTGTCAGCAAAGAGAAGGACAACATAAAAGAAGAACCAAATGGAAATTGGAAATTGTAGAACTAAGAACAGCAGCAGCCAAAATATAAAGCTCAGTGGATGGGCTTAATAGAAAAATAAGAGGACAGAGAAAGAAATCTATGAGCTGAAAGACAGAACAATAGAAATCCAGACCACAGAGAAGAAATAGAGTGGGTCTTCGGCTGGGTGCTGTGGCTCACACCTGTAATCCCAGCACTTTGGGAGGCCGAGGTGAGCGGATCACAAGGTCAGGAGATCGAGACCATCCTGGCTAACACGGTGAAACCCCATCTCTACTGAAAAAAAAAAATACACAAAAAATTAGCCGGGCTTGGTGGCACACGCCTATAGTCCCAGCTACCCGGGAGGCTGAGGCAGGAGAATCCCTTGAACCTAGGAGGCAGAGGTTGCAGTGAGCCGAGATCGTGCCACTCCAGCCTGGGCAACAGAGCGGGACTCTGTCTCAAAAAAATAAAAAGAATGGGGTTTAAAATAGAGCTTCAGGGACCTATGAGACGATAACAAATGATATAACATTCGTTTCATTGAAATCCCTGAAACAGAGAAAGATGACAGCCTGAAAAAGTGCTTGAAGAAATAATGGCTAAAAAATTTCCTGAATTTGGCAAGAGACATAAACATACAGAATCAAGAAACTGAGTAAACCCCAAATAGCATAAACGCAAAGAAATCTATGCCAGAGACATATGATTAGACTTCTAAAAATGAAAGACAGAATTCTCTAAAGCAGTCAGAGAAAGATGACACTTCACCAGTATGGGAAAAAGAATTTGGATGACTGAATTTCTCATCAGAAACCAGAAAGACCAGAAGAAAGGGACACAATTATTTTTCTTCAAGTGCTCAGAGAAAACCGTCAAGCTAGAATCCTGTACCCAGTGAATATATCTTTCAGGAATGAAGAAGTAATCAAAACATTCTCAGATGAAGAAAAACTAAGAATTTATCACCAAATACAATAGGCTTTCCTTCTTCTTTAGAGTTTTCTGAATTACGTTTGATAGCAGAAGCAAAAATCTTAGCAATATCTGATGTGGTTCAAAATGTACATAAAGGACATATTTAAGATAATTATAGAAAGGCAAAGGTAAAGGAACATAATAGGAGATGAGGTCTGTGCTTCACTGGAACTGGCAAAGTGACAACAACACAGGCTGACACGATGGCTCACACCTATAATCCCCCTGCTTTGGGAGGCCAAGGCAGGAGGATTGCTTGAGGACAGGAGTTCCCAGCCTGGGCAACATAGCAAGATCTCATCTCTAAAAAATTTTTTTTAATTAGCCGACATGGCAGTGCGTGCCTGTAGTCCCAGCTACTCAGGAGGCTGAGGGGGAAGGATCACTCGAGCCCAGAAGTTCGAGGCTGCAGTGAGCTATGATCACACCATTGCACTCCAGCCTGGGCAACAGAGCAAGACCCTGTCTCTTTAAAAAAAAAAAAAAAAAAAAGACAATATTGGCCAGGCACGGTGGCTCACGCCTGTTATCCCAGCACTTTGGGAGGCCAAGGCCGGTGGATCACCTGAGGTCAGGAGTTTGAGACCAGCCTGACCAACATTGAGAAACCCCATCTCTACTAAAAATATAAAATGAGCCGGGTGTGGTGGCGCATGCCTATAATCCCAGCTACTTGGGAGGCTGAGGCAGGAGAATCGCTTGAACCCGGGAGGCAGAGGTTGTGGTGACCCGAGATCGCACCACTGCACGCCAGCCTGGGCAACAAGAGCAAAACTCCGTCTGAAAAAAAAAAAAAAGACAACATTAGCTGGGCGTGGTGGCTCACATTTCTAATCCTAGCACTGTGGGAGGTCAAGGCAGGTAGATTGCTTGAGGCCAGGAGTTCAAGACCAGCCTGAGCAACATGGTGAAATCCTGTTTCTACAAAAAAAAAAAAAAATGGCTGGATGTGGTGGCACGGGCCTGTAGTCTCAGCTATGTGGGAGGCTGAGATAGATGGTAGGATTGCTTGAGCCCAGGACAGACCTCTAGCAAGACTGACCAAAAAAACAGAGAAGTTATAACATCAGGAATGAAACAAGGAGTACCACTCCAGGCCCTGCAGCCATCAAAAGGATAATGAGGGAATGCCACAAACAGCTCTACACATAGGAAGTTGACAACTTAGATGAAACTGACCACTTCCTCAAAAAACACAAACTACCACAACTCACTTGATATAAAATAGATCATTTGAATAGCTCTATAACCATTAGGAAATTGAACTTACAGCTTTAAAACTCCCCAAAGAGAAGTCTTCAGGCCCGGTGGTTTCATTAGAGAATTCTATCGAAGAATTCTTTGTTTAAAGAAGAATTAACATTTCTATACAGTCTCTTCCAGAAAATAAAGAGGAAGGACAACTTCCCAGTTCATTTTATGAAGCTAGTATTATCCTGACACTAAAACCAGATAAAGACAGTACAAAAAAAATCCTTTACAGACCAACATCCTCATGAATTTTGATGCAAAAAATATTTAACAAAATGTTTACAAATAGAATTCAGCAATACATAGAAAGAATTATACACTGCTGGGTGTGGTGGTTCACGCGTGTAATCCCAGCACTTTGGGAGGCTGAGGCAGGGGATCAGGATCACTTGAGCCCAGGAGTTCAAGACCAGGCTGGGCACCATAGTGAGACCCCTCTACAAAAAATAAAAAAATTAACTGGGCATGGTGGTACATGCCTATAATCCCAGCTACTCAGGAGGCTGAGATAGGAGGATTGCTTGAGTGAGCGTGGGAGGTCAAGGCTGCATGAGCTATGATTACACCACTGCACTCCAGTTTGGGTGACAAAGTGAGACTCTGTCTCAAAAAAATAAAGAATGATACACTGTGACCAAGTGGCATTTATTCCACAGATGCAAGGCTGGTTCAATATTCAAAATGCGATCTAGAGCCGGGAGTGGTAGCTCATGCCTGCAATCCCAGAACTTTGGGAGGCCAAGGCGGGTAAATCACTTGAAGTCAGGAGTTCGGGCCCAGCCTGGCCAACATGGTGAAATCTCGCCTCTATTACAAATACAAAAATTAGCCAGGTGTGGTGGCAGACGCTTGTAATCCCAGCTACTTGGAAGGCTGAGGCACAAGAATCGATTGAACCTGGGTAACAGAGTTTGCATGAGCTGAGATGGCAGCACCACACTTCAGCCTAGGCAACAGAGCAAGACTCTATCTCAAAAAAAGAAAAGAAAAGAAAAAATGCAATCAAGGCAGGTCACAGTGGCTTATGCCTGTAATCTCCCAGTACTTTGGGATGCCAAGGCGAGAGGATCACTTGAGGCCAGGAGTTCAAGGCCAGCCTAGGTGAACTGCAAGACCCAGCTCTACAAAAATAAAAAAATTCAATCAATGTAATCTACCATATTAACAAGCTAATGAATAAAGAAGATAACATGATCATATTTGATGCAGCAGAAGCATTTGACAAAATTCAACCATTCATGTTAAAAACTCAGAATAATAGGATTAGTGGGGAACTTTCTCAACTTGAAAAAGAACATCTACATAAAACCTACAGCTGATATCATACTTAGTGGTGAAAGCCTGAATGTTTTACTCCTGTGGCTGGGGGAACAAAGCAGGGATGTCCACTGTCACCACACTTATCCAGCATAGTGCTGGAAGTTCTGGTCAGCGTAGTAAGGCAAGAAAAGGAAGCAAAAGGCATATAGATCAGAATGGAAGAGGTAAAATTGTTTCTAATCAGATCACACGATTGTCTATAAAGAAAATCCCAAGGAATGTACAAGAAAACTCCTAGAACTAATAAGTGAGGATAGCAAGGTTGCAGGACACAAGATAAACATGCAAAAATCTATCTTATTTTTATATAGTGGTAATGAACAGGTGGACAGTAACATTAAAAATATAATACCATTTACAATGAAACAAAATTACTCAGATATAAACTAGCAAAATATAAAGGACTTATATGCTGAAAATAATATAATGTGGATGAGAAGAAGATCTAAGCAGAGACACATGCCGTGTTCATAGATTGGAAGATTCTACATACCAAAGATGTCAAAGGTGGATATACAAGCCTAACAATTTCTATCAAAATCCCAGCAAGTAGATCAATGGAGGAGAATAGACCCAAACAGAAATAGGCCCATATGAGTTACGGGTGCAGATACAACCGCAGGAGACGCAAATCAGTTCAGCAGATGAAAGTTAGCCTTTCAACAGATCGTGCCAAGGCAGTTAGACATCCATAGGCAAAAGATGAACCTTGACCCAAGTCTTACACCAAGCTTGTCCAACCTGCGGCCTGCAGGCTGCATGCGGCCCAGGACAGGTTTGAATGTAGCCCAACACAAATGCATAAACTTTCTTAAAACATTGATTTTTTTTTTTTTTGCGATTTTTTTTTTTTTTAAAGCTCATCAGCTATCATTAGTGTATTTTATATGTGGCCCAAGACAATTCTTCCAGTGTGGCCTAGGGAAGCCAAAGCATTAGACACCCCTGTCTTACACCTCATAAAATAGTGTCTCAAAATAGATCTTGAAATTAAATGTAAAACATAAAGCAATAAAACCGTTTAAAAATAGAAAATCTTCAAGTTCTAGGACTAGGCAAAGAGTTCTTAGACTTGACACCAAAAGCATCCATAAAAGGAAAAATTGATAAATTAGACTTCATCAGAATTTAAAGCTTTTGCTCTGGGAAGGACCATATTAAGAGGATGGGAAGATAAGCTAAATCTAGGAAAAAATATTTTCAAATGACATATCTGACAAAGAAATGGTATCTAGAATATATAAAGAACTCACAAAACTCAACAGCAAAAATAATATAAAAAATTCAATCTGAAAATAGGGAAAAAATATAAACAGACATTTCACCAAAGAGGAGACCCAGGTAATAAGCACAGGAAAAGATGTTCAACAGCATTAGTTATTGGGGGAATGCAAATTAAAACCACCAGATATCACTAACACCTATCAGAATGGCTAAAATAAGAATAGAGACACCACCAAATGCTGGTGAGGGTGCAGAGAAAATATCTATTGGTAAACAAGCAATAGCCGAGTCCAGAGGTTTAAGAAAACTTTGTTCAGGCAAACTTAAGAAATTAATGGGCCGGGCGCAGTGGCTTACACCTGTGATCCCAGCACTTTGGGAGGCCGAGGTGGCTGGATCACGAGGTCAGGAGTTCGAGACCAGCCTGACCAACATGGTGAAACCCTGTCTTTACAAAAATTAGCTGGGCATGGCGGCACATGCCTGTAATCCCAGATACTCAGGAAGCTGAGGCAGGAGAATCACTTGAACCCGGCAGGTGGAGGATGCAGTGAGTCGAGATCCACTGCACTCCAGCCTGGGCAACAGAACGAGACCCCATCTAAAAAAAAATTAAGAAATTAATTATTAAGTTAATTTTTTTTTCCTGAAAATAGGGTAATGAGTTCTGTTTTTCGGTTTGTTAGGTCAGAGTATGCAAGCCATTGTCTTTAGGGGTCTCTTGCCCATCTCCTGTGTGTGTGCACACCCACACGCGCTTGCACACATACACACACACACACACCCCTCTTGTTTGCTGATGCCTGAAATGTTGAGAACAAAGGGTTCTCCCCTGTTCCATACTATACTGATTTGGCAGTGAGGACTAAAGAGAGCTGTGCCTTGGGGCCTACAGGAGGCAGAGTGCTTGCTTTGGGTAGGAAAAGGGTCCAGATAGAACTGTCACAGTGAACACCCAACACATCACCCACAGTGGGCCTCGTTGACCTTCACTGGGCCAGGGCAAGTGAAAACTTGGCAGGGGAGGTTTCTGGGGCCTGCAGCTGCCATTGAGATAGCCACATGGCGCGTGCTTAGGAAAGATGTAGCGTGAGTTTGATTTTATTTTAACACAATGACTTTCATGGAGACAGGATTCCTTCCTGAGACATTTGTTTATTCTTGCTTAATCCCTTGTTTCTTACAGGACAGAGAACACCCCAATGATTGCTGGCCTTGGGAAGGTGAGCCCTGGTGAGCTTGAGGAGATGAGTTGATTGCTTTGTCATCAGTGTCCCCAGCGGCTCTAGTAGGAATCTGGGGCTTTAGGGAGATCATATTCGTGATCTCATAAGCGGACTGACAAGAAAAAGCCTGGAATCTGATTTATCAACCTGGAGAGCTGTACTTTTTCAGATCTGTGGATTAGTGGCACTTGTTTAGCATTTAAAAGGGAAAAACTCCTTGTCTGTGTCTCTTCTGACATGAGAAACAGTGATACTGTTACAGCAGAGGTGAAGTGTCAAGCTGCAGGTTCACCATTCCCAAAGGCGTCGGCAGCCCCCGCACCATCGACGTTCTGTCCCCGATTGGTCTGTGGGGTGGCCAATCCAGCACCTGCCACCAGCCCTCCACTGGGGCCTGTCCTGCTTCTGCGACAGTAACCAGGCTCAGGTTTTGCCGTGCGAAGGCAGAGGTACTGGTTACACCTCGGCGTCTGCAGGCTGCTCCCTCACTGTGCGGCCTCTGGTCAAAGGCCACCACCTTCAAGCAACCCTCCATGAACCACAGCTACATTGGTTCCCCCATGTCCCCTGCTGTCACCCTCTATCCCTGACACTGCTTTATTTCCCCTATCTGATGTTTCTCTGTAGTGTGTTCAGATGTATGCCCCACCTTCTGCTTCCCCGAGAGCAGGGGCTTGGCCATGTCGGCCTCAGTATCCCCAGTACAGAGAAAGGGCTTAGCGCCCAGGAGGCCGGGCCTTGGGAAGAGTATGAATGGATTCCCTGTTACTTAGAATATTCAAAATTATATTATTAACAGTGATAACTGTGGCTACATTTACTAGAAGGAAGAGTGTGTGTTTGTTTGAGATGGAGTCTCACTCTGTCACCCAGGCTGGAGTGCAGTGGCACGACCTTGGCTCACTGCAGCCTCCATCTCCCGGGTTCAAGAGATTCTCCCACTTCAGTCTCCAAGTAGTTGGAACCACAGGCATGCGCCACCATGCCTGGCTAATTTTTGTATTTTTAGTAGAGACAGGGTTTCACCATGTTGTCCAGCTGGTCTCGAACTCCTAACCTCAGGTGATCCACCCGCCTTGGCCTCCCAAAGTGCTGGGATTACAGGCATGAGCCACCACGCCCAGCCGGAAGAGTGTGTTTTAAGTGGAGTCCGGTACCTGCTCGTATTGACCTGAGTGATGAAGTAGTGGTGCCGTCCACAGGCTTTGAAATACCCAGGGTTCAAATCCTGGCTTGAAGCTTCACTCACCGTGTGCCTTGGGTCAGGTCGCTGGAACTCCCTGAGTCCTGGCTGCCAGATGGGAATCACGGTAACAGCTTCCTAGGTAGAGCTTCAGCTCACAGTGCTGGAAGCCCCCCAGCCCCTGACCTTCTCCGTGCTCCTGCAGCTGCATCTGCACCTGTAATGGCACAAGTGCCACAGCTGGGTCCCAGCCACAGCACCACACCCCCACTGGTTCTTCAGCTTCGCCCAGCCCAGACCCCAATGCCACCAGCGCTCTAGACAGCCCCCCTCCGCCACCCAGCCTAGACTCCATCCTGCACACGCCCTCCCCAGCGTGCTTTCCCTCACCCATTCCTTTCTGCCTTGGTTGCGTGCTGGCAGCCCTGCACCTGAGCCCTTGTGGGTCCGTCTGTCCTGTCACTGTGATGCTAGCTTGTGCTCCTGCCTTTAAACTTGACATCTCAGCTAGGCCCTGGCCCATGTCCTGAGAGATCCATTCCTCTGAGTTCAAAACCTGTCCCGACTGCTCTCCTCCAACCCTCTTCCCACCCTGGGCACCTCTTGCTATCCAGGTTCTCACCTCTGAAGTCCGGGGGATGCCCTCAGTCCCTCCTTGTCATCGTCCCCTGCCTCCAATGCAGCACCTTCCTGTCTGTCTGGATTCCAGAATACACCCACTACCGGCCTCATGTCCATTTTCATGGCCACCAACCCTAGACCAAGGGTCTGGATGCCTGCCATGGCCTCCTGGGGGCCTGCTGCTGCCATTTTCCACACGGCCACAGAATGACCAACAGACAGGCCAGTCAGACCATCGCATCCCTCCCTCAGCCTCACTGCGTCTGCCCCGTGGCCGGGCCTGCAGGGCCTGTCGATCTGTCCCTGCGCCTTCACCCCCTCCACACTCTCCACCCGCCACGCCAGGCCCCTCTGTTCTAGAGACAGAATGTCTGTCTGTCCCCTGCAAAGCCCTTGCTGGGACGCCATTCCCTGCCCTTGTACAGCCATCTCTGTCACCACCCCACCTTGGGCCTGCGAGGTGCCTTCACAGCGCCAACTGGTGGGTAGGAGTCTGTTCCCCTCTTCCCCTGCTTTTGTCCGTCTGCCTCTCTGGGATGCTGGCTCCTCGAGGGAGCCCTTTCAGGGCTGCTTTGCTGAGGCATCTCCAGTGCCTGGTGCTGTCAGGAGGTACCTGGTGAAGTCAGTTTCTGGGGCACTTCCACACCCTCCAAATGGCAGCACTCAAAAAATATGGTCTGTCTGTGACTGTCAGGAGAATGAGCAGTTTCAGGAAATGCCACCTGTACCGTTGAAAGCTTTTTGGCCCTCCTTTATTTTGCAAGAATTGTGCATCCACTTGTTGTGTGTCTGCCCCCAGGCCGCGGAGCTGGTGACCCAGAACTGCGAGGCTTATGAGGCCCACATGAGGGACGTCCGCGACTACCTGGAAGAGAGGCTGGAAGTGAGCGCAGCGTGGGGTGGGCACCAGGAGGGGGAGGGTGCGTGGGGCAGGTGCCCAGAGAGGAGGGGTGTGGTGCTCCCAGACCCCAGGACCTGTGGGGATTGCAGCGTAGCCTGGAACTCAGCAGGATGCAGTGAGGGAAGAAAGAACAGTGGCAGAAAGTACATTGGGATCTGAAACCCCGAAAGCAGGACCCTAGGCCAGGGGCATGATCTTTTTCAGAGACACAGGATCAAATATGCAGAGGTGGTATACCTCATGGTTTATGTGGAAGGTTCATATGTTTCTGAATATTTGGTTTTTCTCCTAATTAACTTTGCTTTCCATAGTCCGTCCCCGTAACTATTCTGGGTAGATGCTGATTGAAAAGTATGCACCTGCTGAAGTTGTGTTTCTGGAAAAGTCTAAATTTCAAACAGTTGCTGGTGGTGGTGTCTTTGAAGCTGTCACCAAATATTTCACTTATTTTTTTCAGGCTGAATTCGGTCAGAAGAGAATCCATCTGAATAGCCAGTTTCCAGGCACCCAGCGGCTTCCCAATACCTGTAACTTTTCCATCCGGGGACCCCGGCTTCAAGGTGATGGCCCCTCACCCTGGTCTTTCCGAGTGTGAGCACAGCTCCCTCGGTGCGTGGATTCTGGTCCGAGCCAGTGACTCCCACTCGCCCTGCCCTGAGCATGACACAGCTCGGGCTGTCAGAGGGCCTTGCTGGGGTTGCCAAGAGCAGGCTCGGGTGGCTGTGCTGTGGTCCACAGGGCTCTCGCCGCTGGCCCCTCCTCTCCCTGACGTGGCTCATTTTGCTGCTGCTGGGATGTGGACTGTGGCAAACTCTCGTGTCTGGCATTAGCGCCACCCCAAAAGCCGTCAGGGAAGGAAGCAACATTAAATTCTAGACATTTGTCTATTTTGTTGGCAGTTTTAATTAAATATTTGAGTGAGGGAAAGGGGAGGTGATCAGTTTTAAAAACTGGCAGAGGCTGGGCACAGTGGCTCGTGCCTGTAATCCTAGCACTTTTGGAGGCTGAGGCAGGCTGATCACAAGGTCAAGAGATTGAGTCCAGCCTGGCCAACATGGAGAAACCCCATCTCTACCAAAAACTACAAAAAATTAGCCAGGCATAGTGGTGTGCACCTGTAGTCCCAGCTACTTGGGAGGCTGAGGCAGGAGAATTGCTTGAACCTGGAGGTTGCAGTGAGCCATAATTGAGCCACTGCACTCCAGCTTGGGTGACAGAGTGAGTGAGACTCTGTCTCAAACAAACAAAAAACAACAAAAATAACTGGCAGAGTAAGGATCAAGTGCAAATCTGGATTTCCTGCAACATCTGCCTCGGCTAGGAGCAGTTAGGATCACCCCCGTCCCAGATGCACCTAAAACCTGGTCTGCCCTGACTCCCTGAGAGTGGAAGTCCAGGTGATTGACCAGCCGCATGTCATTTGGGAGGAGGTTATAGTGGCCCTGAGATCACGATGAGCTGCATCTGTAAACAAGTTTTTGACTTCTTAGAAGATGAAAGTGTTGCTTCTTTCTTCTTCCTGGATCACGCAGAGAAACCCAGCAGTCGTGTTTGGCCCATGAAGAAGAACCCGTGGGTAACCGTCATGATGGCTGCGTTCATGAGAACCTGGGCTGAAATGCGTTCTTGTGGGCAGTGAAGCCTGGGTCTCCTTGACCATCTCAAATTCCTCACCATGGAAAGGAGAGTTCTCTGTCAACGTTCCCCTTGTTCTGGGGTCAGACTTTGTGTTCAGTGACAACCTGTGTTACTTTAAATGAGACAGAGGTTCTCATTTTATTTATTTATTTTTTGATTCAGGGTCTCACTCTGTCGTCACCCAGGCTGGAGTGCTGTGGCGCAATCACAGCCCACTGTAGCCTTGACCTTCTGGGTTCAAGTGATCCTCCTGCCTCAGCCTCCCTAGTAGCTGGGACTACAGGCATGCACCACCACACCTGGATAACTTTTTTTTTTTTTTTTGAGATGGAGTTTCACTCTTATTGCCCAGGCTTGAGTACAGTGGTATGATCTCGGCTCACCACAACCTCCACCTCCTGGGTTCAAGCGATTCTCCTGCCTCAGCGTCCAGAGTAGCTGGGATTACAGGTGCCTGCCACCACGCTGGGCTAATTTTTGTATTTTAAGTAGACACGGGGTGTTGCCATGTTGGCAAGGCTGGTCTCGAACTCCTGACCTCAGGCGATCCACCCACCTTGGCCCCCCAAAGTGCTGGGATTACAGGCATGAGCCACTATGCCCGGCCTTGGCTAATTTTTAAAAAATATTTTGTAGAGATAGGGTTTCCCTGTGTTGCCCAGGCTGGTCTCAAACTCCTGGCTCAAGCAGTCCTTCTACCTTGGCCTCCCAAAGTGCTGGGATTACAGGTGTAAGCCACTGCACCTGGCTGAAATTCTCAGGTTAATTACATCAGCAGTCATTAATGGCTGTGCTTGTGAAAGAAGAGGGAAATGCCTTCTGGCTTAATAGAACTCCCACGTGTCTCTACCATCCAGAACACAGGTGGAGACGTGATATTGCCGGGGCTGCCAGCTTGTAAGGAAGGAGCGGGTCAGGACTCCAGGTGTCTTAGCAGGCAGTTGATTACAAATGCGATTTTCAAGGCCAGCTTTGTGAGGCAGAATAGTGTCTGCGTTTGTGCAGCCAAGGGAGAAAGGAAGCGTTTTCTTCGGCTCCTGCTGTGAGATCTCTCCCCAGCTGCCAGAATGGCCAGTGCTGGAATTCCACCAGGTGGCACAGAGGGAGGGAAGCAGCCTGCGCCCAGCAGGACCCCGGGAAGGGACAGAAGGGCAACCTGGCTGGAGCCCCATCTCAGGGGCATGTGCTCTGTCTCCGCAGGCCACGTGGTGCTTGCGCAGTGCCGAGTGCTGATGGCCAGTGTGGGGGCCGCGTGCCACTCGGACCACGGGGACCAGTAAGTGCTCTTCACAAACCCAGTCCAGGGCATAGGGGTCCTCCGGGCACTGGGTGTGGTGGGCAGGCGGCAGGATCCGGCCACTGGGCCGCACTCTGGCTGGTGAAGGACAGCCCTGTCTGGGCCCTAGGAGGGGCAGAGGGAGGGCTTCCTGGAAGAAGTGACTTCCAAGCTGCCATCTGAAGGACTAGGACTTGTGCGGGAGAAGAGGGCTTCTCGTGCTCAGTTCTGAAGGCGGAGGGAGGGCAGGGCCTGGAGGGCCAGCGTGGCCGGGGCTGGGGAGGGCTGGGGCGGGCTGGGGTGGGCTGGGGTGGGGATGGCCTGAGTGTCAGTGCTTACTTAAACCTCATGGAAGTGGGAGCCCTGAGGGCCATGGTGTGAGCAGACTCAGGTGTCAGATCAGCCATCTGCAAGATGCAGCAGAGATTCTCAGATAGCAGGGCCCGGGTGAGCGGGTGGGCTGCCTGGCGGAGACTGTGGGGTAGAGGGCGTGGGGTGCCCGAGCAGCGGCCTGCTGGCAGCAGGGGAGAAGTGGTTCTGGGTCTGGTCTGCTGAAAACGTGAGGCCCCTGTGGGAGGTCGGAGTGGACGCAGGAGGAACACTCAGGGTTCTGGGGAGAGAGCGGAACTGTAGCCAGCAGCACGTGGCCATCAAGGTCAGGGCAGAGGGATTGTGCAGGAGCACCTGGAGCGAGACAGTGGTGGGCCTGGCTCCAGGGAAAAGGAGGGGCAGGATGGGGCCCTTTGTTGGGGGGACAGTGCCCTGCTGCAGGAGGGGCAGGGGAGGAAAGGGACCCGGGTGTGATGAGGTCAGGCCCCTTGACAGAGCCCACATCTCGAGCCTCCAACAGCCTTGCTTCAGGATGTCCCCACGCAGTCATCTGTTCATGGCTAGATACTGACTGGGTCCCTAGTGTCTGCAAAGCCCCATGCTAGGTGCCATGAAGTTACCAAGTGGCTCAGGTGGGCCGCATGGGTAAGGCACTGTCTGTGTCGGCATCCGTGTTCTCCAGGACCTCAGACCCCTCAAGGACAGGAGAGCCCCTGGCCCCAGAGCTCAGTGCGAGAGGGAGGCAGTGTCACCTGGGAGTGCCAAGTGCAAGAGAACTCTGCAGGGAGAACGGGGGCGACTTTGAGCCACACCTTGATGTGGGTGATCTTAGGGGTGTGCTTGGTCTGGGAGTTTAGCAGGAGGTGGATGCCAGGCGAGGCAGGCGCACATCCGGGTGGGCAGAGCCCCACTAGGGGAGTGGTCCAGAGCAGGGGGGGCTGTGTCTCTTCCATGTGCCCTCAGCAGCAGCTGCAGCTCGGTCTCGCCCTCCCCAGGCCGTCCCCAGTGCTGCTGAGCTACGGTGTCCCCTTCGACGTGGCCAGGAACGCGCTCCGGCTCAGCGTGGGCCGCAGCACCACCAGGGCCGAGGTGGACCTCGTCGTGCAGGACCTGAAGCAGGCCGTGGCGCAGCTGGAGGACCAGGCCTAGCACTGGGGCCGCCTTCCCCACCCCGCTTCTGGGAAGCCCGTGGCAGGGCACAGGGTTGTCCCTCCAGTTCCCTCCTGAGGGCTGTGCCAGGATGACTGTCTCATGCCCCCTCTGCATTTTGTCCTGGAGTGCCAGCGAGTGTGCACCCCCAGTTTCCTTCCCTGGACCCCTGCAGAGCTCACAGGGCCCAGGACACCAACGCCGCATAGGACTGCCCACATGGGACCGCCCACATAGGACCGCCCACATAGGACCGCCCACATGGGACCGCCCACATGGGACCGCCCACATGGGACCGCCCACATAGAACCGTCCTCCAGTGGTGAAGCGGAAACACTTAGCTTTATCCACCCTCCCCACTGGGAACTGGGCACGCCTGTTGTGAGTGCCCTTTCCTGGAAGGTGTTTTTATCTGGAAGATAGAATCCAAGTATTTATAACTCATTGTCAGCCAAATGCTATCATGAACGTAGGAAACTTGATTTTTTTGTTTTGATCATGGCCTCTACATGCACCTTTCCAGAGTGGTCTCTTCTCAGGCCCTTTTTAGTCCCTTTCCAAAGCTGCCCCCACCACCCTGCTCCTCTGGCCTCAGTGCACAGTGGCCCCCAGCCTCGGCCAGGCCTGCTCTGCTCAGCGCCCACCGCCCACCACCCCTCCTGCTTCCCCGAGCCTGACCCTGTTCCGCCCACTGGCAATCAGGGCTGCGCACTTCCCTGTCCACGGTCCCCAGGCCTTCCTGTCTTGTCCCTTTTGATCATTATTAACTCAGGGTTTCAGCTCCAACCTCGCTGAGTTGGTGCAGCTCCAGGTCATTCCTGGGGTGGGAATCGGATCATCCCTGACTCAGCTTTTACCTTAATTTTATTTGCAGAGGATTCTTTTCTCAAAATGCTCTGGCATTTGGACACACATCACATGTCGATATTTGCATAGGAGTCATTTTCAGTGGAATAACATTTTTAATGTGTGGTTTTACGGTTCAAGGAACTACTTGATGATTTTGAGGAAACACTTGCCAGAAACTAAATTAACGAATAAAAGATTTCAGTGCCCGACTTGGGGATCCTGTGGTTTCTCTAGTGGGCACTGCGCTTGGGCACAAAGTCATCTGACAGAGCCTGTCGGGGGGAAGCCAGGGGTGCAGCAGCCCCCAGGTCACCATTGTGTGATGATGCGTTAGCCCAGAAATCCAGCTTGAGGCTGTGTCTCCGGAAGCCCCTACAAATGTAATGGGTCCCCCATCTGCAGCTTCCCATTGCTGCCAGGAAGAGGCTGTGGTGGTCCTGACTTCCCTAAAGAAGAACTATGGATTGTCCAGAACAATCTGGAAAGGGGTTAAATGTACTTGGGCCCTTGGGGCTGCAGCCCAGAGACTTGGTCCGTGTAGTTGGAGAGGGGGCCGAGGCAGGGGCTGACACCTTCTCGCCTCAGAGGCCTGGACACACCCAAGTCAGGGTCCTGAGCCCATTGCAGGCCCCGTGGAGCCACTGTGTCCCCAGAGATTCCTAGGAGCCTCCAGGGCCGAGGGCCGGGACCCAGAGGCGGGGCGCTCAGCTCTGTGGGTGTCAACACAGCCAAACATGTAGACCTACTGGGCACCCTTTACTTCAGACACACTGTGGTGGCGGCTGGGGGTCTGCCCTTCTGTGAGAGTTGGGGGAACTGTCTCCCAGGCCACTCGGGGCTCCTGTGAGAAGCTCAGTGGCGTGTATCCTCAGCCCTCGCTCCACAGATGAAGTTCCTGCCATCTGGACAGATCTGAGCAGCCTCAGGGCCAGCCTCCTTTCTCTGCTGGCCATACCCAGCCCTGACCTAGCCTGGTGTGGGCCTTTCCCTGTGCCCTGTACTCCATCCTCCCAGCTCCAGGCACCTGGCACCCTCACACTGTGGGAGTGGCTTGGGCAGGTCCTCAAGGCCTGTCCCCCCACCCGACCCCACCCCACCGCCTCCCATCTGCCCTGTGGCAGCTTATCGGGTAACCAGAGCCGGCAGCTTCATCCACGTCTGAAACAGGAAGCCCCAGCCTGTGCATGAGTCGCCACTGAGAGCCCGGGCCAGAGGATGGAGAAGCAGCGGGCACTCGTGGCCGCCAAGGATGGGGATGTGGCGACGTTGGAGCGGCTGCTGGAGGCTGGCGCCCTGGGCCCGGGCATCACCGATGCTCTGGGGGCCGGCCTGGTTCACCACGCCACCCGGGCTGGCCACCTGGACTGCGTCAAGTTCTTGGTGCAGCGGGCCCAGCTGCCCGGCAACCAGCGGGCCCACAACGGGGCCACCCCAGCGCATGACGCCGCTGCCACGGGCAGCCTGGCCGAGCTGTGCTGGCTGGTCCGCGAGGGGGGCTGCGGTCTGCAGGTGAGCGGGGATGGGGCAGCCTGGCTCCACGAAGCTGGCTGGGGTGGAACCAGGGAGGTGTGAGCCACGGAGGATCAGAGTACTGGCCACCCCGGGCTCCATGGCCCTGGGCCCTTTGTTTCTCTTGGGGACTCAGTCAGTGGTTACCGTCTCTGCCCCACGCCTCTCAGAGCACAAAGGCTTGAGAGCCAAGAACACCTCCTAAATTTTCTTATCACCTTCCCTGCCAGGAAGCTGGGCGTTGCCAGTGGGGGTCTTGCCAGATATCAGGACCCCTGTCTCTGATCAGGCCTGGTCCACAGGGCCTGCCTCCCAAAGGGTCTAGAAAGGGATCCTTACAGAAGCACTGTGGGAACTTGGGCTTGAGAGCTGGGAGCCTAGCCCTGGGGGACGGGAGTTAGGGCTGCTGATGGTGATCGTCTTGTCCGGATCGTTTCTACTGGGCCCCCCTCCCCTATCCTGCCTGCCCAGTCCCCTTTGTGCAGGCGAGGCCCTTAGAGCTGTCGCTCAGCCCTGTGGAGCTTTCAGGGCTGAGGGTGAGCAGGACTGACCGGCCTTAGAACGCCGCCGCCCAGAGGTCAGAGTTGAGGTGGGGGCCGGTGGGGCCTGCTTAGACTGCGGAGCGGGAAGGTTCCCCAGCACCTGGCTCGCCAGAGCACCTGAGAGTCCCGGCCCAGCATCCTGTTCCTGTCGGCCCTTCCGCCAAACCCAAGGGCAGCAGGCGGGAGCTGTGCCTGCCTGGGGATCCATTCTGACAGGGCCCTTGGAGAAGGCCCAGGTCTGCTGGACCCCTGACACCTGTGGTAGGAACGCTCCCTGGCCCCGGGACCCTGTGGCCAGCGGGAGGGCACTGGGGCAGGGGACCAGCCAGAGGTAGGTGTCCTGGGAAGCCTTTCTGACCATGAGCAGAGTGGGCAGGTGTCTGCGGGCACCCGACTGCGTGGGAAAGGGCCTTCTCCACACTGGGGACGGGCCCAGGAGAGGGCAGGGTTGCCAGAGGTGGCCTCCCAAGACCTGGACCTGAGTCCTGGCCCTCCTCTCACCTCAGTCCCAGCAGGGAGCACCTCCCTCCATGTTGCAGGCAGAAACGGAGGGAAGGAGGAAGGAGCTGGAAGCCCCTTCACTGGGTTGCAGGCAGTGTGAGCCCTCGCCCAGGGCCCACCTCCGGCAGCTGGCTCTGACCTCACGGCCTACCCCCCACTCACTGACCTACCCGGGGCTTGGTAGGACCAAGATGCCTCGGGCGTCTCCCCGCTGCACCTGGCCGCCCGTTTTGGACACCCAGTGCTGGTGGAGTGGCTGCTCCACGAGGGCCACTCGGCCACGCTAGAGACCCGGGAGGGAGCCCGGCCGCTGCACCACGCTGCCGTCAGTGGGGACCTGACCTGCCTCAAGCTCCTGACAGCCGCGCATGGCAGGTAAGGAGCCCAAAGTCCCGCCTGGGGGGGCAGCCTGGGGCGAGCTGGCCAAGGGGAGGCTGCACCATGGAGGGCCAAGAGGACAGGCTGGTGGCCTTTGAGGTGAATCCTGCAGGCGGGCATGCTGTCACTGTGGGGGTGAGCTGGCAGGAGCCAAGGGCAATGAGGCCTCTACCCACAGGCCAGGCAGTGGCAGTGCCATGCCAGGGCCCAAGGGGACACAGGCCAGTGCTTCAGCTTGGAGAGTGGCTGGGGGCGGTGACGATGGCAAGATGCTGCTGTGATGCCCAGGGCAGCTCTGGCCCCACCTGGGGGCATCTCGGGACCTAAAACAGCTGGGGACGTGGGCAGCTGGCAACCTGTGAGGGCACCCTCCCATCACCTGACAGGAGTGGGGACTGTCTAGTGGACTTGGGGACACAGAGGCTGGAGCTGCCTCTGCACTGCCCCACCCCTGTGCTGGGACCCCTAGAGCCGGGCGCTGGCCTCATCGTCTCTGGGGCCCTGTGCCCCCTGCTGGAATTAGTGGATGGGCAACGAGGAAGGACCAGGGTCAGGACAGCCAGTAAGGCAGATGGCCTCCCTCCCCACCTGGAAGCTCCTCCAGTCCTCGCCCTGCTTACAAAGGTCACTGTTGTCATAGGAACAGGCCCTCTGCCTCCTACTGTCTTGGCTGAGGGCGAACCTTCCTGTCCCCCAGGGACCCACCTACCTCTGACCACGGCTCTTCTCTTTTCGAGGCAGCATCTCATTTTCCTGTCGCTGCCCCAGAGGCCTCAGTCCCCCACACCCCCTTAGCTCCAGGACAAGCCCCGACAGCTTGCTTGTGGAATCGGGTTCTCATTCCCGGGTGTTCCCATCCTGGACTGCTTGGCAAAGGCCTTTGGGATTCGCTTCTGTGGCTTTTCTCCAGAGCGTCCACACCACCCTCAGCCTTGGCTGGCCACAGTCTCTCTCAGACCCACACGGCTTTTAAAGAAGTTTCCACCATTGAAAACTGGGAGACTTGGGCCGAGCACAGTGGCTCATGCCTGTAATCCCAGCATCTTGGGAGGCTGGGGCTGGAGGATTGCTTGAGCCCAGGAATTCAAGACTGGCCTGGGCAATGTAGCGAGACCTCCATCTCTACAAAAAAATTTATTTAAAAATTAGCCAGGCATGGTGGTGACTGCCTGTAGTCCCAGCAACTCAGGAGGCTGAGGTGGGAGGATCACTTGAGTCTGGGAGGCGGAGGTTGCAGTAAGCTGGGATTGTGCCACTGCACTCCAGCCTGGGCGATAGAGCAAGACCATGTCTCAAAAAAAAGAAGAAAACCAGGAGGCTTCATGTTAATATGCACACACACACGCACACACGCACACACAAATGGGAAGGTCCTGTACCCCCGGCCTAGTTCCCGCCTGGCATTGACCAGCAGCAGCCGAGAGGTGGCTGCCCCTGGCCAGACCATGCCCCCTCCAGTTGCCCCCGACCCACTGGCTGCATCATGGCCTGCTCCCAGCCACCGCGCTGGACACCACCTGTTCCAACCCTGGATGCAGTCAAGGACACCTGGCAGAGTCTGGTGAAAGCACGGATCCTCCCCTGAGAAGGGCACCAAGGCATACTGGCAGCCCTTTGGGGCACATTCCATGAGGGAGTGGACCCTCAGGCTCTGCAGGTGCAGGGGACGATCCCTGTGTGGTCCAAGGCCAGAAAGCAGCCACCAAGGTCCTGTGTCCCCCTTGCTAGGAGCAGGGGAGAGGCTGCTAGGGGGCTGGTACTGGGGGACTTTGTGAGGGGAGGGGAATTCAAACCCAGGTGCAAGTCCCTGGACAAATCAGCTCCCAGCCTCTGTTTCCCCTCTGCCAGCTGAGGCCTGTGACTGGACTCTCCTCTGGGGTGGACACTGAGTTGCTCAGATTCGTCTATCAGAAGTGGGGAGCAGGTGTGGGGGTGCTCGTGAGATCCCTTCATTACTCCTCAGCTTCCCCTCCTGAGAGGGGAAGGGCCCGGAGGTGGAGGGTCTGGGACAGGGTGGCGTGGTCAGCAGGCTTGGCGGGAAAGCAGGCACGAGCCCGAGAGTTGACCCTCCCCGGTGACTTTGGCCCTGCCTCCACGCCGCCACTGTGACCCCAGCCCAGCCAGTGCAACCCTCAGCTCCACAGCTACCAGGCACCCAGCGCCACCTGCCACAGGGCACAGGGCAGAGGGAAACCCTAAGGGAGTCGGGGGTCAATCCTGGGCCTCCACTGGGACAACTGAGAACCTGGAAGCCAAGACTGTGACCCCTCAGGTCTAAGAAGATGCGTGTTTCAGACCTGGACCCAGGAGTCCCCAGAAAAGGACAGGATAGGAGAGTGGGGTTGCACAGCCACCTGGGGGAGCAACCTGGAGGGGGGAACCCCGCAGCAGCAGCTGGAAAGCATGTGGGAAACTCAGTCATCACGGGCAGGGCCAGGGGGCAGCGGTGAAGTCCAAGCAGCCGAGGGATGGGCTCAGCCATAGGCAGGGACTGGGCCTCCAAACCCTCCCTTCCCTGCAGCAGCGTGAACCGGCGGACACGCAGTGGCGCCTCCCCACTCTACCTGGCCTGCCAGGAGGGCCACCTGCACCTGGCCCAGTTCCTGGTGAAGGACTGTGGCGCTGACGTGCACCTTCGTGCTCTCGATGGCATGAGCGCCCTGCACGCTGCCGCCGCCCGTGGCCACTACTCCCTCGTCGTCTGGCTGGTAAGTGGGTGCCAGAGGTGGGAAGGGGACATCCAGGGAGTGTGGGCCCTCCAGCAAGCAGAGCCTGGAGCCTGGATGGGGGCTCCAGAGGGAACTGGGGACACGCAGGGCTGTTGGGGCATCCGATGAGCTGGTCCATGGCTCCCGAGAATCTGCAGCTCCGGCCAGGCTGGGCCCCAGAAGTTTTGACCACCTGTAGTGCACTCTGCTCTGTGGGGTCGTGCCACGGCTCCCCTGGGGCTCTCCTAGTCCCTCTCTCCCTGGAAGTCCTGGTAGGCCTCCCAGGTGCTCTCACAGTTGGTGGTGGCCCGGGTGCTTTGTCTGCGCCCACACCAGCAGTGCCCAGTTTGGGCCACTCGACCACTTGTTCAGGCCCTGCCGCCTGAGATCCCCAGGCCAGCCCCCACCTTCCTCCACTTCTGGCCTCTTTGGGGAAGGAAGACCTGAGACCCCAGAGCAGAGTGGCTGAGGTTGGGGAGGTGCCATCTTCAAGGGGGGGCTGGGGACTTCCTGCCTCTACAACAGAAAAGCAGAGCAGGTGGGACCTGTAACCCCAGCTACTCGGGAGGCTGAGGCAGGAGAAGTGCTTGAACCTGGGAGGCGGAGGTTGCTGTGAGCCAAGATCACGCCACTGAACTCCAGCCTGGGCAACAAAGTGAGACTCTGTCTCAAAAAAAAAAAAAAAAAAAAGAGTAGAGGAGGCCCTCTTTGAGGAGGGGACTTGGGGGCAGAACTGAGGATGGACAGGAGGCGGCCGGACAAGGAGTGGGGCCCAAAGCAACTTCCTGAGGGGGGCACAGGTCATTCAGAGGCGGGGAGAGCCTGGCCCATGGGGCCCGGGGGCGGGCAGGAAAGGCAGACAGAGGCGCTGGGAGGACCGGGGCTCTTTCCTGAGGGTCCTGGGGAGCCACGGAAGGCTCGGAGCCAGGAGCAGTAGGATCTGACTGGCATATTGGAAGGTCACTGTGGCTGCTGATGGAGAAGTGAGAGCTGCCTGCCCCCAGACCTCCCATGCTTGCCTGGGGCCTCCTGTCTCCTGGCTCCCACCCACTCAGTCCAGCTCCTTCTCCAGCAAGCCAGGCTGGCTCTGCCCCCGGGGCCTTTGCATGCACTGCACCCTGTGCCTGGCACACAGCTCCCCAGCTGCCCCTGGGGCCTTCCCTGCCCAGCTGGTTTATGGGGGGAGCCGCCTGCCCCGACCATCCTCACTCCTGCTTTCCTCCCCACCGGCGCACCAGCACCAGGCACACGGCGTGTCTGACTCCTGGCCTTGGTGGTGGTTTCCACCAGCCGGCGTGTAGGCGCCAGGAGCTCCGTGGGTGCAGGACTTCACCACCTGCTACGTTCCCCGCACCTGGCACGCAGTCAGGCTCGGGAGATGTTTACTGAAGCAATGGGTGGGCAAGTGAAGGAACAGGGGGCCTGGTCCCTTAGGATGGCGCCTGCTGCTCACCATGGCCCTGAGGCCCTTGGGACGGGTCCCGCCTGCTCACCGTGTCCCCGGGCGCTCGGGATGGCGCTGGCCTGCTCCCCGTGGCCCCAAGATCCTCAGGCTGCTGCCTGCCTGCCCACTTTGTCCCCAAGGCCGCCTGAATTGGCCTCTAGCCTCCCTTCGTGGAGACTGCAGCCCCTCCCGGTGCCTCGCCTGCAAGTGCGCCCCTCCCCACCCCGGGGCTGCCTCTCCAGCTCCTCCTGCTGGAGCAGCCTACCCCAAAGGAAGCTCTCTGGACCTGGGTCCCACCCTGGCCATCCTCCCTTTGCCCCTCCAGCAGTTCTGACCCATTCACTCCAGACCTCAGCCTCCCAAACTATGCCTGGCTCCTGGGATGAGCGGCGGCTGCACACAGTGGGCAGAGCAGCAGCAGCTCACCACAGGGGGTCCTGAGGGAGGGAAACAGGGTGTCCACTGAACCCCTAGGACTGTGCTGAGGCATGAGCGGCCTTCCTGGGGAGAAAGCGGGCAGGCCTCGGGGTCTCAGGGCCAGAGAGGCCACTCCAGATGCGAAGGAGCCCCACGGCAGCCCTGTCCCTGTCTCTGTTTCCAGCTCATTGTGCTTTGCCCAACAGACACTTCTGAGTACTGATCAGTCAGGAGCGCCCTGGCTGCGCTAGGAGGCACTCACACCGAAGGCGACGGGCTGCTGGCGGCTCTGCTGTTCTCGTGGCCTCCCCAGTGGGGAAAGCGGGCACACTCAAGGCAGGAAGGAGGGTGAAGGCGGGGAGCCAGCACGCCCATCACCCGTCTGTCAGGAAGGCAGGCTGTCCTAGGAGACCCCCGCGTCCCACTGGCAGGCCCAGGCCCCATGTCTGTCCCAGCTGCACAGGTTTCCGCAAGTCAGTGTAGAGGACTGTCACCTGGCTGGTGCTGTGGACCACAGCAGGGGCCCTTCAGAAGGCAGATGAGGCCCCAGAGGCAGGGCTGGCCTCAAGTCGCTCCAGCGGTGGTGGCCGGCAGGTCAGGGCCCCAAACCTCATTGCCTGGCTCGAATCCAGGCCCTGGAGGGAGGCCACAGGACCCGCTGCTCCAGCAAAGGGGCTCAGTGCAAATGCCCAACGAGGCAGCGCCACCCTCGGGCCAAATGAAGTTCTTCCCTCCCCGCCCCTCCCTCCCTTCCTTCTCTCCTCTCCTTCCTTCATAGCAAACACATGTTTACTCTTCCCTAGGTGTTTTCATTTGCCATGATGTTTGCTTTCAGATTTGGGACCATGGTGTCTGCAAATTAAGCTACTGCGCTCACTTCACCCCCACCTGGACCCCAGAGGTCCTGCTGCCCCAGGGTGACGGGGACGCACGTGCTCAGCCAGCCCTGTCCGGGGTTTCCTGAGGTTGTACCCTGTGCCCCGAGAGGTACAGCCAGAGTCCACTTTCACTTCTGCTCCAAGCCCCTCCCACTCTGTGTGCCTCCTCCCTGGGAGGATGGCTGCTCCCTCTGCCCCTCCTTCCCCAGGTCACATTCACCGACATCGGACTCACGGCACGGGACAATGAGGGGGCCACGGCCCTGCACTTTGCAGCCCGAGGCGGCCACACGCCCATTCTAGACCGACTCCTGCTCATGGGTACCCCCATCCTGAGAGACTCCTGGGGTGGGACCCCCCTCCACGACGCAGCAGAGAACGGGCAGATGGAGGTAAGGTGGGCGTGAGGGAGACAGGGTGAGCAGTCACAAGTGCCAGCCATGCCCAGTGCTGTGTCACTGACCCTCACAGCAACCCTGTAAGAGTGATGACCCTCTTTTACAGATAGGTAAACTGAGGCTCTAAGTGGCACTGTCACTTGCCCAAGGTCAAGATCCCAGGGTCAAGTGGCAAGATCCAAGCTCTATGCTCTCGTCCTGCGTACCATCCTCCCTCCCTTCGCGCAGAAACTCCCTCGTGCCTGGTCAGGGCTTGGTCTTGGTGACAGTCTTCTCAGAACAGCCCTTGGGGCGGACCCTCTGCTGTGAGCAGCCTGCGAGTAGAGCTGTGGCAGGGGTGTGATGTCAGCCCCTTTGCTATTACCCAGATAAATCTTGGGGGCTCACATGGCCCAGCCTCAAGGACACGACATCCAAAAACCCCACGTAGGCAGGGATGGTATTCAAATGTTCAACAACATCAGAACCACACCCAGCCTTTGAGGGTGGGTGCAGCCATCAGCTGCTGGCCCTGCCCGGGTGCCCACCCGATGTCGACCTCATCTAAAGGCAAGGCCCCATCTCAGGAGAATGCACACAGTTTACTTCTCCCCAGCCCCATCCGGTCCTGAGCAGTGTCGGGTCTGTTCACCTCCATGAAGTCTCCTGGTTCCCCACGTTCTTCCAAAGCCTCCTGGGCCCAGGCTGCTCAGTCGGGAGCCAGCAGCGTGCTCCAGGCCTCTGCAAGGCTAGTCTGGGGGGATTTTAAGTGGAAGTGCAACCAACCATCGCATTCTGGGTCTGCAAGTCTAGACAACTGCTCCCAGCTAGAACCCAAGGTCTTCCTGGGGCCCCGGGTCACCCAGTCTCAGCAGTGCCATTGAAACAATCACACACGGTGCAGCCGCAGAGCCATCGGAAGGCACCGCATTCCCTGCAGAGCTGAGCCTTTGGCAGAATGCAGAGGAAACCCAATCCCCCCTCCCGGCAGCGCTGCTGAAAGCATCTTTCTCTGAGGCCCCCCAGCTACCGCCCTTCCTCTCACCATCCCCCGTCCACTCAGCTCTGCACAACCCAGCTCTGTCTCCCCAGTCTCTGTCCCCAACCTAGACAGAGATAGGAAGTGGGGGGAGGGGTGACCCGCAGGCCCTGGGAGGCATGTCCCTGACAGGTGGCTGGTGGCAGGAGGAGCTCTGCTGAGTGGCTCAGGCAGGCCCCAGGAGACTCGGCTCAGAAGGGGTAAGTGGCCCCTGGCCAGGGGTTTTTAAGCTTTTTTAAAGCAGCAAAATCTTCTTTCAAATGAAATATTTGATAGCAGCCCAAGAAGTTTAATAAATCAGCTGACTCCTCTGGCTCCTCAGCTTCCCTCTGTAAAAAGAAAATTACTCAAGCCTCAAAACAGAGACTTCTTCCCTTTTAAATTTCTTACTGTGGAATTCAAAACACACAACAGCGTGTCATCACCGTGTGCAACCTCTAACTCCTAGGCTCAAGCAATCCTCCTGCCTCAGCCTCCTGAGTAGCTGGGACTATAGGCGCACGCCACCACGCCCAGCTAATTTTTTAAAAAAATTTTGTAGAGATGGGAGTCTCACTGTGCTGAGCCCAGGCAGGCCTCAAACTTCTGGGCTCAAGCAATCCTCCCACCTCAGCCTTCCAAAGTGCTGGGATGACAGGTGTGAGCCACTATGCCCAGCCTTTTCCTCCATTCTTGACAACTTATGTTAGTACAGTACATTTGTCACAATTAGTGAACCCAAACTAGCACAGTGTTACTAACTAGAGCCCACACTTCATTCAGATGCCCTTAGCTTTTACCGAATGTCCCTTTTCTATCCCAGGATCCCATTTAGGATGCCATACGTTACCGAGTGTCCCTTTTCTGTCCCAGGATCCCATTTAGGATGCCATACGTTACCGAGTGTCCCTTTTCTGTCCCAGGATCCCATTTAGGATGCCACACGTTACCGAGGGTCCCTTTTCTGTCCCAGGATCCCATTTAGGATGCCACACGTTACCGAGTGCCCCTTTTCTGTCCCAGGATCCCATTTAGGATGCCACACGTTACCGAGTGTCCCTTTTCTGTCCCAGGATCCCATTTAGGATGCCACACGTTACCGAGTGTCCCTTTTCTGTCCCAGGATCCCATTTAAGGTGCCATATGTTACCGAGTGTCCCTTTTCTGTCCCAGGATCCCATTTAGGGTGCCATATGTTACCGAGTGTCCCTTTTCTGTCCCAGGATCCCATTTAGGGTGCCATATGTTACCGAGTGTCCCTTTTCTGTCCCAGGATCCCATTTAGGGTGCCATATGTTACCGAGTGTCCCTTTTCTGTCCCCAGGATCCCATTTAGGGTGCCATATGTTACCGAGTGTCCCTTTTCTGTCCCAGGATCCCATTTAGGGTGCCATATGTTACCGAGTGTCCCTTTTCTGTCCCAGGATATATCCACACCGCCCATTTAGGATGCCATATGTTACCGAGTGTCCCTTTTCTGTCCCAGGATCCCATTTAGGATGCCATATGTTACCGAGTGTCCCTTTTCTGTCCCAGGATCCCATTTAGGGTGCCACACGTTACCGAGTGTCCCTTTACTGTCCCAGGATCCCATTTAGGGTGCCATATGTTACCGAGTGTCCCTTTTCTGTCCCAGGATCCCATTTAGGATGCCATATGATACCGAGTGTCCCTTTCCTGTCCCAGGATCCCATTTAGGATGCCATATGTTACCGAGTTTCCCTTTCCTGTCCCAGGATCCCATTTAGGTTGCCATATGATACCGAGTGTCCCTTTTCTGTCCCAGGATCCCATTTAGGATGCCATATGATATTTAATTATCAAGTCTCCTCAGATGCCTCTTGGCTCTGACAGCTTTTTCCCATTTAAAAATAAAATGTCAAAACAATGAGTTGATCCTCCAGCAGCCTCTAAAGAGGAATGATGGTTACTTTTAATAGGTTTTGTGTTTCAGTATATCACATTAGTTATTCTTTTTTTTTTTTTTTTTTTTTGAGACGGAGTCTCACTCTGTCGCCCAGGCTGGAGTGCAGAGGCTCGATCTCTGCTCACTGCAACCTCTGCCTCAGCCTCCTGAGTAGCTGGGATTACAGGCACGCACCACCACACCTGGCTAATTTTTGTATTTTTAGTAGAGACGGGGTTTCACCATGTTGGCCAGGCTGGTCTTGAATTCCTGACCTCAAATGATCCGCCCACCTCGGCCTCCCAAAGTGCTGGGATTACAGGCATGAGCTACCGTGCCCGGCCTAGTTATCCTTTGAATGGTGTGAATTACACTAATTATTTTTTTAATTGTTAAATTGTGATTAAAAAATACGTAACATAAAATTTACCATCTTAGCCATTTTCGAGCACACACTTCAGCAGCGCTAAGTCTGTTCACGTTGTCGTGCAGCAGAATTTCCACAACTTTTTCATTTTGCAAAACTGAGACGCTATGGCCATCAGACAGCAATTCTCCGTCTCCCTTATCTCCCAGCCCCTGGCCAGCAACATCCTACTTTCTGTTTTTTATGAACTTGATGACTTAGGATGCCTCATATAAGTGGAATTGTACAGTATTTATCCGTTTGTCTCTGGCTTAGTTCACTTAGCATAATGTCCTCAAGGTTCATCCCTGTTGTAACGCATCAGAATTTCCTTTTTATAGCTAAATAATATTCCATTGTATGTATATACCACATTTTCTTTCTCTAGTCATCTGCTAATGGACATTTGGGTTCTTCTGCCTTTTGACTATTGTGAATCATGCTACCATGAACAGGGGTGTGTAAATATCTCTGAGATCCAGCCTTCAAATCTTTTGGATATGTATACCCAGCATTAGAATACCTGGATCTACCCTGATTACTTTAAAATGTTACACCAACCTTTCATTCCTGGAATAAATTCAACATGACATATTATTCCTTTTAAATATAGCTGAATTCAATTTGCTAACATTTTGTTTAGGATTTTTGGCCTTATATTCTTGAGTAAAATTGGCATGGAATGTCCTTTTTTTGTTTTATCCTTGTTAGATTTTGGTATCAAAATATGCTATGAATTAGGGAGTGTTTCCTCTTTTCCTATTTTTTGAGACATTTTGGTTATATTAGACTTATTTTTTTCTTTAAAGGTTTTGTGGAATTCACTCGTGAAATCCTCTGGATCTGGCTGTTTCTTTGAGGGAAGGTTTTTTATTACTAATTCAATTTATTTAATTATAGAACTACTAGGGCTTTCTATTTTTTATGTGTTGGTTTCAGCAAATTATATTTTTCTAGGATTTATTTCCTAGAAATGTTCTAGGAATCAAATTTGTCTAAGTTGTTAAGTGTATTAGCATGAAGTTATTTTTAATATCCTCATGATCCTTTATTGTCTGTATGTAGTAATTTCCCCACTTTTAATTCCTGATATTGGGTATTTTTGTGTTTCTTTTTTTGTCTCAATCAGCCTCACTAGATGTTAGTCAGTAGTTTTTCCAACGATCAGGTTTTAACTTATTCAAGGTCCTCCAAAAAGCATTAATTGTCTCCAATGTATGTTTGTTTTTTATTTCATTAATTTCTGCATTTATCTTTGTTATTACTTTCTTTCCTAAATTACTGAGATGGGTGCCTACCTCACTTACTTTTCAACCTTTTTTCTTTTCTAATATATTTATTGAAGGCTATAAATTTTCCTCTAAGTACTGCTTTAGCTGTATCCCACTGTTTGATAATTGTTCAGTTAAAAAATATTTTCTAATTCCCATTTTGATTCTTATTTGCTCTAGGGATTCCTTGGAATTATGTTTCTTAATTTCCAAATACGAAGGTGTTCCTTCTAGTTATCTATTTGTTATTAATTTCTGTCCAAATTGCATTGTGGTCAGAAAATATGCTCTGGTCATTTCAATCCTTTGATTTTTTGATAAGTTACTTTATTGCCCCGTGTATGGTCAATTTTTATCAACGTTGCATATGTTCTTGGAAAGACTGTAGAGTTTGCAGACTGTTCGCTACATGTCCATTATGTCATTGTGTTCTTCAGATCTCCATAGGTACACATTTTAGTTTACTGGATTTCAAGTGGATCGAGAGAATTGTGTGAACATTCCTGGCTATTATTCTGGATTTGTCTGTGTTTCCCTACAATCCTGTCACCGTTTGTTTTATATATTTTGAACCCCATATCTAGTCTGTTTTATCTGATATATGTATACACATGACTTTTCTTTCTATACTTATTTGATGGTGAAGCTTATTCATACTTTGCTTTCGGCCTTCTGAATCCTTATGTTTGCCAGTACCTCTGGTTAACCATATGCAGTCATGTTTAATTTTTTTCATCAGCCTGACAGTCTTTACCTATTGGTGCATTTAGACCATCTATAGTCAGTATAATTACTAATGTTTAGGGGTTTATTTTTACTCTGTTATTTTGAGGAGATGTGATCTGGCTGCCTGGATTTTTCTTTATTTAAAAGTAGTAAGCACAGTTGTTTTTTGTCTGTTAGTTCTCAGAGCTTTATTTCTATTTCTTTGTGGGCTGGGTCTTCTGGTTCTTGTTCATGGTATTTTATTTCCTTGTATTTTTATTTTTGTTGACATATGCTGACATGAAAAATGAAGCGTAGGCATAACTGGAGGCCTTAGCAATATCTTATTTGCCTTTGCTGGGCACATGTGGGCCTAGGATCATCTTAATCCGCATTCCAGGCAGGAAGTTCCCAGGACCACCTCCGTGACAGGAACCAGGGGCCTGGCTGGCGTCTGGCTTCCATTTTCTCTGAGGGTGGAGCCCTTGGCCACATCGGGAGGTGGTCAACCAGAGCCCCCACCCCTGATGGAACCCGCACGGTTCCTGGCCTCCCTGGTCCCCTGAGGCTGCGGGAGGACGGCACATCATATAACTGTTCTTCCGTCGTCAGCCCAGGCTCAGGGCAAGAGCAGTTCTGAGTGCTGGGCTCCCCGACACCCCTCACCCCCCAGGCTTTCCTTTTCTCCTGAGTGTGGCCGTGTCACTCCTGACTTCTGCGTTACCTTACTGAGGCTGTCAGCAGGTGACTTTTACAGTGAATCCGTGTTTCACGTCCTTGGGCAGTGGGTTGGTCTGACCCACCTGGTTCTCTCCTCCCTGGAGTGGATCCATCTGCTCACCTGCTTTTCCACTGCTGTGGCCTCTGCACAGACTTCCAGACAGAGTTCTGTCTGTCACTACCCACCCTCTGCTGACAATCCCAGCGGTGATGGGGTCCGTCACTCTGGGGGAGAGGTTCCCTTCCTCCTCCCCATGGCTCTGTTCCTATCAGGGCTTTGCCCTCTCTCCCCAGCACCATTTGGGGCCAGGTCTGACACTTGTCCCCCTTCCTCTGCCGTGACACCCCTCATACTCCTGCAGACCCCGTAACTCCCCTCCTCCGCATCCTGGCCTCCTCTTCCCAGCAACAGCTCCTTGGGGACGCTCCGCCTCCACCCACCCACACACCCACCGCGCCCTGGCAAACCTTTGCCATTCCCCCAGCCCAGAGCCTCCGGGAGCAGTGCCTCTCTCCAGCGACTGGCTTCAGCGACCTGCCCCAGCCTCCCCAGCCCCGGTGTCCTTGCACATCTGACAAATGCTTCCTGCTTCCTCAGCCACACCAGCCACTGGCTCAGCCCTTCTGGGCCTCCAGGAGCCTTCAGGCGTTATCTGGTTCAAGCCTCCCAGCAGCCCCCGGGGAAGGGGTGTGCGCACGCCTGATTTTGTGTGGCCCCACAAGCTCAAAATAGTTTTTCCCTTTTTAAATGGGGAAAAGGAAAAAGAATCACATCTCATGACACATGAAACTCATCTGAAGTTAAAATGTCAGTGCCCACAAATAAAGCCTTGTGGGCACCCGGCCACGCTATGGGTGGCAGCTTTCGCACCACGACCAGGGTTGCATATTTGTGCCAGAGCCGGCGGCCCCCGGGCTGAGCTGCTTACTCTCTGGAGGGCAGCACGGCACCCAGGAAGGCAGGCAGTGCGTGAGCAGACACCCCAGTCTGCAGCTTAGAGGCGCAGGGTCATCATCCTCAGGCAGTGACAAGCCCTGTGGCTCTGCGGTTCTGGCGCTGGTCTTGCGGCGGTTCTGGCTCCGGTCTTGCGGTGGTTCTGGCTCTGGTCTTGTGGCGGTTCTGGAGCTGATCTTGCGGCGGTTCTGGCACTGGTCTTTCGGACCTGCAGGGATTCCAGGGAGCAGGGCTCTATCTTTTTGTCCACCTTCCCCTGGTGGCGCTGTGGCCTCCTCAGGCTGTGGCCACCTTGGAGGCCATGGAACTCAGGGCAGAGGAGGGAGGGGAAGGAAGCCCTCCAGAGGATTCCCCCAGGACAAGGCACTCGCCCTCGAGGTCTCAAGCTGACCTGCTAGCTGCGCAGGTGAGTGTCGGTAGGGGCCGGGGCAAGGGAGGCTGGTGGTGCCGACCATAGATCAATGCAGGTGTCCTTACTTTACAGACAGGCCCAGTTAGCTGGCCAAGTTCTCTGACCAGCAAGTCACAGAGCCAGATGAGCTCAAGGCCACTGGACTTCGCTGCCAGGCCCCCTGCCACACACGACAGCGTCACGTTGTATTTACTCACGGCATGGCACACCCGCCGCTCCACATGCATGCTGAACCTGTATTTATCTGTAGAGAATGAACACTAATTGCACCTTTTATAGGTGAGGCACTGCAGTCCAGAGAGGAGCTGAAAATTCCTTTGGGGTCTCACAACTTGTTTGAGGTGGAGTTTCACTGTTGTTGCCCAGGCTGGAGTGCAGTGGTGCCACCTTGGCTCACTGCAACCTCCGCCTCTTGGCTTAAAGCAATTCTCCTGCCTCAGCCTCCTAAGTAGCTGGGATTAGAGGCGCCCGCCACCACGCCTGGCTAATTTTTTGTATTTAGTAGAAACAGGGTTTCACCATGTTGGTCAGGCTGGTCTGGAACTCCTGACTTCAGGTGATCCACCCGCCTTGGCCTCCTCAAGTGCTGGGATTACGGGCATGAGCCACTGCGCCCGGCCAAGGGTCTCACAACTTCTTACTTAGTTCAATTCAGTGTCACCCAAAGATGCTGAGGCCCAGCTGGTCTATCTCAGAGATACATTTGGGTCAAAGGCACAGTTTTGTGAACACAGCGTTCGCCTAACTCGAGTTCGTTTTTGTGTTTCCCTGGTACTACAAAAGAGACACAGAAATGTTTACAGAATAAAGTACAGAATTCATTCTTGAGGTCCCCCGTCCCTCTTCCAACTGAATCCTTCACAGGCCAAGATGTCCTCTAGCCTTCCAGTCCTGTGGACTCCCTCCCCAGCTTCCTTCCCTCCCCTCTTCCTCCCCATTCCCATCACAAGAGCCCATCAGGTACAAGGAGACAGGAGGGTCCTGGCCCCAAGTTGGCTGGGTAGGAGCATGCAGTGTGGCTGGCAAAGGTGGTGAGCGGCTTGGTCAGGCATGAGCTGGTGCTCCAGGCACTAGGGGGGAACCTCATTGGGCCAGGAGGATGGTCCCACGGAGAGTGGGGCTGTGGCAGGAAGTAGCCCTGAGTCCCTGGGGCAGGGGCCGGTTGCTTGTCTCTCTGAGCCTCGTCTCTTCACGTGCATTGATCCACACCTCCAAGGGTGGCAAACATGGAAACTGGTTCTGCATTTGACACTTGGGCCATGGCAGCTGTGAGGGGTCTGGACGGGGCACCCTGATGCCTGTCAGCTCAGCACTGCTTCATAAGCAGTGCCTGGTACTGTCTGGGCCAGGACAGGGTGGCTGTGGGATGAGGCTCGGGGGCTCCTAGGCAGGTCTCTGGCACCCCACGGCCCAGATTCAAGTCCTGCCCCTGCTGGGAAGGGCATCAGGGCAGCCTGCGCCATGGGGCAGGGGAGCGGCCCGCACAGGGCCAGTCCCATGGGCACCTGGTTTGTGTCGTGGTGGGTCACATGTGTGCCCTCCTCACTGCAGTGCTGCCAGACCCTAGTCTCCCACCACGTGGACCCCTCCCTGCGGGATGAAGATGGTTACACGGCGGCAGACCTGGCGGAGTACCATGGACACCGGGACTGCGCCCAGTACCTGCGGGAGGTGGCCCAGCCGGTAAGGCTCAGGGTCCCCAGCTGCCCTGGAGGCATGGGGGGTGGGCCCAGACCCCAGCCAGGACCCCACTGCTGAACCTGCAGCATAGTCAGCTGGGAAGCTCACCATGTCCAACTCATACATGGCATTGGAGCCAGGAGCAAGGGCCTGGGCAGGACTGAGGCGCCACAGGGCAGCCAGTGCTAGGGCCAGGCTGTAACAGGAGCTGTGACAGGGGCCAGGACAGGGGCTGTGACAGGGGTGGGGCCAGGGCTGTGACAAGGACAGGGGCTGTAACAGGGGTCAGGACAGAGGGCATGTGACAGGGCCTGGGGCCATGGCTGTGGCCAGGGCCCGGCCTGGGCTTGTGGCTGGAACTTGGCCAGGCCATGCCTTTCGTCTGGGTCACAGAGACCACATCTGTGACTCAAGAGCCTCGGTGGCCAGAGTTCCTCGTGGGTGATGTGGGTGATGTGGGTGATGTATGTCAGACTGAGGAGCCCCAGGAGTGGGAACGGAACCTCCCAGAGGTGATCGCAAGGCGGCCAACAGCCCTGCAGCAGCCGGAAGGCAGCAGATTCCAGCCCTGGCTCTCGTCTCTCAGCCTGGGACCCCACAGCCTCTCATTTCCCCATTTGTAAGGACACGGATCTTGTCTATCCCACTGGTCCCCAGCCCTTAGAACGTGACAGAGCTCAACAAGTGTTTGCTGAATGAACTAATGAGCAAATGGACAGAAAAGCAGGTGGATGCATGAGGGTGAGCAGAGGAAGGGATGGATGGGGAGGGAACAGACAGAGGAGGAATGAATGGGGCAGGGAGGCCAAAGGAGTGAAAAATGAGGAGAGGGATACATGGAGGGGGGAGAGCTCTGGAGGGTGGACAGAGGAGAGATGGGTGGAAGAGGAATGGATGAAGAAGGGTGGAAGGAGGAGGGTGGATGGAGGGGAGGTGGACAGAGGAGAAATAGATGGAGGAAGGTGGATGGAGGAGGAATGGATGGAGGAGGGTGAATGGAGGAGGAATGGATGGAGGAGGGTGAATGGAGGAGGAATGGATGGAAGAGGATGGATGAAGGAGGGTGGATGGAGGAGTTGGATGGAGGAGGGTGGGTGGAGAAGGAATGGATGGAGGAGGGTGGATGGAGGAGGAATGGATGGAGGAATGGATGGTGGAGGATGGTTGGAGGAGGGCAGATGGAGCAGCAGATGGATGGAGGAGGGTGGATGGAGGAGGAATGGATGGAGGAATGGATGGTGGAGGGTGGATGGAGGAGGAATGGATGGAGGAGGGTAGATGGAGGAGGGTGGGTGGAGAAGGTGGATGGAGGAGGAATGGATGGAGGAGGAATGGATGGAGGAGGTGGATGGAGAAGGGTGGATGGAAGAGGGTGGACGGAGGAGGGTGGATGGAGGAGGAATGGATGGAAGAGGTGGATGGAGGAGAGTGAATGGAGGAGGTGGATGGAAAAGAGTGGATGGTGGGAGATGGAGGAGGGTGGATGGAGAAGGGTGGATGGAGGAGGAATGGATGGAAGAGGTGGATGGAGGAGAGTGAATGGAGGAGGTGGATGGAGAAGGGTGGATGGAAGAGGGTGGATGGAGGAGGGTGGATGGAGGAGGAATGGATGGAGGAGAGTGGTTGGAGGAGGGTGGATGGAGGAGGAGAGATGGAGGAGGGTGGATAGAGGAGGAATGGATGGAGGAGGAATGGATGGAGGAGGGTGGTTGCAGGAGGATGGATGGAGGAGGGTGGATGGAGGAGGGGAGATGGAGGAGGGTGGATGGAGGAGGAATGGATGGAGGAGGAATGGATGGAGGAGGGTGGAAGGAAGAGGGTGGATGGAAGAGGACGGATGGAGGAGAAATGGATGAAAGAGTTGGACGGAGGAGGTGGATGGAGGAGGGTTAATGGAGGAGGAATGGATGGAAGAGGATTGATGGAGGAGGGTGGATGGAGGAGGGTTAATGGAGGAGGAGTGGATGGAAGAGGATTGATGGAGGAGGGTGGATGGAGGAGGGTGAATGGAGGAGGAATGAATGGAAGAGGATGGATGGAAGAGGGTGAATGGAGGAGAGTGGATGGAAGAGGATGGATGGAGGAGAAGTGGATGAAGGCCTTGGATGGAGGAGGAATGGATGGAGGAGGGGAGATGGAGGAGGGTGGATGGAGGAGGAATGGATGGAGGAGGGTGGATGGAGGAGGGTGGAAGGAAGAGGGTGGATGGAAGAGGATGGATGGAGGAGAAATGGATGAAAGAGTTGGACGGAGGAGGTGGATGGAGGAGAAATGGATGAAGGAGTTGGATGGAGGAGGTGGATGGAGGAGGGTGAATGGAGGAGGTGGATGAAGGACGTGGATGAAGGAGTTGGATGCAGGAGGTGGATGGAGGAGGTGGATGGAGGAGGGTAGATGGAGGAGGGGAGGTGGAGGAGAGGAGGTTAGATGAAGGAGGAATGGATGGAGGAGGTGGATGGAGGAGGTGGATGGAGGAGGTGGGTGGAGGAGGGGAGATGGAGGAGGTGGATGGAGGAGGTGGATGAAGGAGGAATGGATGGAGGAGGTGGATGGAGGAGGTGGATGGAGGAGGGGAGCTGGAGGAGGGGAGGCCTGGGGCAGTTACTGTGACAAATCCCTCTAACCTAGCTCGGTTTCTGCCACACCTCTTTTACTGGTCATCCCTTCAGGAAGGTGTTCTGAAATCACCTGGCCCTTCTTTTCGGGTGAGGGGACTGAGGACTGGAAGGTGTCATCGCCCTCCACCCCCCAAACCCTTTGTCTCCCCAAGGGGTTGCTGTGCCTCCTCTTCTCTGATGTGTCCCCTCAGAGCATCTGGGACCAACTGGGGCAGAGCCACAGTCCCCCCCACCCCAGCCCCTGGGGCCTGCTGGACACTTGTCACACTGCCACCACTGGGGCCTCTGTTGGCACTGACGGAAACCCACACCAGTCCTGCCGTGCTGCACAGGTGGCTCAGGTGGCCTCCGGGGAGCACGGCTCTGCCCTGGTTTTTCCCTGGTGCAGCAGTTTCAGGAACTAGAATTCAGTCACTGTTGGAAGTCACGTATTTACTAAATGGTGTGCTTGCTAGGCGTCCAGCGGGTCCTGGTTCAGCAGAAGGCTGTCTTTCTGGCTTGGCTGAGAAGGTGGTGGCGCTCTGCTGGCTTCTGCCACAGAAGATGGTGCTCCATGGCCCACAGCCCAGGAGTGCCGGCTGCCTGGGTCTCCCCACAGCTCCTTCAAGGCCGCTAGGTCAGCCTTGGCCTTTTTTGGGCCCCTCCCTGCACTTCCTCCCTGGATGGCAGCCGAGATTAGCAGGTGGGGACAGCAGCAGCTCTGCAGGTGTCCCAGCCTCCACAAGCCCCTGGCACAAGGGAACAGCCCCGCCCGACCTCCTGGGAGTCCCTGACACTGTTCCCGCCCCAGCCATTCTGGGGTCCCATGCCTGGGCTTTCTGTCCAAGCAGCGCCTCTGCCTTCTGTCCCCAGACCCCGTGGTAGTGGAGGACGGGTCGTGTTAGGCTCGCCACGTCCTTCCCATCCAGAGTCCCCTCCTGCCCGCGCCTGGGCGCCCCCTGCCCGGCGCATGAAAACCCAACCCCGGGGCCTTCCCGGCTCCTCAGTCTGCAGCTTCAGGAGCCGGTTTGGGAGCTCGGGGTAGGGACTGGAGCCTGTCTCCGTCTTCTCCCTCTGGGAGGGTCTGGTGACGGCAGGGGGTGCTCGTCTCTCACCACTGGAGCTGTCCCCTCTTCAGGCCTCTGAGGGAGGGCAGGCTGTCAGCTGTGGGCTGGGGGAGGCCGTGTGCCTGCTGCAATATTGATGGGAATGCAGTCCGCAGGGGCTGCTCACACTGGCCGCCTCCGAGCTGGCCTCAGAAGAGGTGGTGAAATCCATCATCTTCCCCATGACAGCACAGCCTGTATCTGCCCCCAGGGGACTCGTGCATTCCAAGAGCAGCAGCAGCTTGGGGAGCAATGCTGGACAGGAGTGCTGAGACCTGCCCTGTGGGAGGTGCCCCCTCGGTACCTCCTTTGTGTTGGGTCTGTGGGGCCCGCCCAGCTCGGGCTCTGCTCAGGGTGCTAGGGAAGGCCAGCCCTGACCCTCCCTGGGCCTTGGGGCCCCTCTCCACGCAATGAGGGATGCGGTCTTGAAGGCCAGGGGCTGCCCTCGAGGCAGGCCCCCTCCCCTCTGCTAGCCAAGGAGCTGGGATCCTGGCTGTGGGGCTCTGAGTGCCCTGTCTGGGCAGGAATGGTGAATAGAACCCTCCATGCTCGGGGAGCAGAGCCTCTGGCATCTCCCATGGTGTCCAGGGCTGTCCCACTCACCCCCACCCGCCAGCACTGGTGCTGCCCTTCCTGGGCATGGGGCACTGGCAAGTTCTGAGCATCTCTAAACCCCAGTTTTCTCACCACAGGGTCTCTGTCACCCAGGCTGGAGTGCAGTGGCACAGTCTCAGCTCACTGCAGCCTCAGCCTTCCAGGCTCAAGTGATCCTCCCACCCCAGCCTCCCAAGTAGCTGGGACTACAGGTGTGCGCCACCACACCCAGCTAATTTTTGTATTTTTTGTAGAGACGGGGTTTGGCCATGTTGGCCAGGCTGGTCTTGAGCTCCTGGGTTCTAGTGATCCTCCCGCCTCTGCCTCCCAAAGTGCTGGGACTACAGGCATGATCCACCGTACCCGGCCCAGAGCCTTGTTTTTTGGGTAGAGGAGAAGCTCCTCGAGCACCCAATGAGGCGCCTGCCCTGGTGGGCCCTCCGGACAGGTGTACTCCCTCCCCTTTGGTCCAGAAAGGTACTAAGACATCTTTATTTTATATATGAGGAAACTGAGGCCCAGAGAAGGTGAGAGGCTTCCTGGGCACTCTCCTCCCGCTGGGAAGGGTGGCACCCACACAGCCAGTAATGGAATCTCAGCCATGGCAACGGGTGTCCGGCACCCATCCGTGGGCCGTGATTCTCTCTGACCGGGTGGCATTACAGGCCTGTGACCTGGCTCACCACGATGCTCTCCATGTATAATGCATGCAGCCTCCGCGGTGCTCAAATCTCACCAAAAACCAGGGACAGCGACAGCGGTCGGGGCCGTGGGGCCACATGACCACCAGCCTCAGGGCAACTGTCCAATGCTGGGATTCGGGGCAGCACATGTCTAAATGTTAAGACCCCAACGGACAGGACCCTGACATCTGCGCCTCCAGATCCCTGAGGCTCCATCGTGTCCAGGGCCTTCCTATGGGAGCCAGGGGTGTGGTTACTCCCGTTGCCGGAGAAACGCCACAGCCAGACTTCTCATCCCTGTTAAACTCAGAGACCATCCTAATACCGAGGGTGGCAGCAGCGTCAAGGTCTGAATGCCACTGTCTTGCAGGCCCATGCCAGGTGCTCTCCATAGTCCCTCAAATTTCCAAGAACTCTGATTTACAGGTGAAGAAATGGAGGCTCAGGGGGTGGCGTCCCGGGCTTCTCGTTGGTGAGGAGTGGAGCAGGGCTGGGCCACAGGGACCTCGAGTAAGGTCCCCCAGGCCACAGATGCTGTGCTGGGGCCAGAGTCCGGTAGTCCCCTGAGCCCCAGACTAACTTCCACCTCTTTTGTCTTCCCCAGCATAAGAGGGCGGCTGCCATCCTGCCAAGCCCCTCACTCTGCCAGGGGTGGCCCCTCTCCACTGACAGCAGGTTCCATCTCAGGGAGGGGGCTGAGGGCTCCCAGGCAGGGGCAGAGAGGAGGCGAGAGGCACCATCCCACTCCCGGCTTGGTCCTGGCTGGGCAGGGGACAGTGCGGGGGCATTGGGGTGGCCTTGCTGTTGAGGGGCCCACTCCAGGCAGGGCTCAGCCCACCTCTGTCGGTGACACCACTTGTGTCTGGCTTTTCTGGCCGCGTCTGGTCTGGAGTCTGACTCTGCCCTGCTTGAAGCAGCGACGCCAGCCTCTCGCTATGTCTTGAACGTGGACAAAGACACCAGACTCCTGGGTCCAAGACGGAGGACCTTCCTTCAGCACGGCAGGGAGCACACATCATGCTTTGAGGCGTTCCCTTGCCCCCGAGTCCCAGGTGGTGCGAGTTGGGTCCCGATGGCAGCTGTGCCGCATAGGTCTGTATCTCCTCTGAGGACCGTTGAGTCTGGGGAACACGCCGTTGCTCAGCAGACAGCAAGTCAGTCCTAGTCCCTCAGTCGCTCCCTGCACACACAGCCCTGAGAAGTGGCCCAGAAAGGACAGCCAGGCTTTGTGTTCTTGGTCTTTCCCTAGAGGCTGACCTCTGTGGTGTCCCCCACCAAGGAAGCAGCTGTTCAGGGGCACTGGAGGGAGCAAAGACTGAGGTCTCCAGTGAGACTCTCATCCCGGCTCTGCGGCAGCCCGGCTGTGGGGCTTTGAGAAAGCCCCTTGCCCTCTCTGAGCCTCAATTTCCCCATCTGTGCCCTGGGGGCCGTACCGTAGGTGGGGCTGGGGATTCCTCTGGGTGGTCTCTCTTCTCATGGGGCCCAGGGATCTCAGGTCCCCTTCCATCTCCCAGAGCATCCCCTCCCCGGCCCCTGCTCTGTGGACAGTTAAAGGTTCCGTGGTAACAGATCCCACACCCGGCCCAAGCCCGCCTGGCCACCTGACACCTCGGCCTTCAAATATTCATGTGACACCTCCCACTCCTGGGGGCGGCAGCCTCAGCAGCCCCCGGTGTCCCAGGACAGCTGTGCTCCCTGCACTCTGCAGTTCGCGTCTGAGGGCCTCCGGGGCTGGGGCTGGGCGGTTGCTCCCCAGCCCACCGCGCACCAGGGTTCCTGGGCTGTGGGCACAGATTCCTGGAAGGAGTGAGGTGCGTGGGGGCCGGGCAGATGGGCTTTCAGACTGTGTTCCCTTCCCCGTGGCCCAGTGGGGTGAGGGTCCTGGAGGGGAGGTGGCCGAGGGGCCACCCAGCATCCTTGCTGGGAGGCAGCCTGTGCCACCTTGTCCATGAGCAAGGGAGGCTTAGGGAGGCCAGAGATTTGCTCAGGCAGGGCCAACTTCACTGCAGTCCGGCCCCGGTGCAGCAGGAAAATGGGGGCCCTGCATTCGGAAAGGAGAACGAATTTGAAGGCAGAGACAGCCGTGCATTCGAGCAAGCTGCAGCATGGGTCCCTCCCCCTCCCACGACGGGCCCTGGGCCCAGGCCACATGTCCAGAATCGTGGCCGATTTGAGTGCTCTGCTCTGCCCAGGGCTCTCACTAGCACTGACCCTGGAGCCCTGATGGCCACGTCTGGCTTCCAGTGCCCACTGGAGGGCAGGGACAAGAGCTTTGGTCTGACAGGCACAGTGGGGGAGGTGCCCAGAGGGACGGTGGCATGCGGCCCTGCTGGCTGGGGACAAGGGCTGCCCATGCCCTCGGCTGGTGGGCACATTGGGGACCCCATCCTAGTCCACTGCCCTTCCCTCTCCTCACCAGGTTTCTCACTTGGCCATCCACCCCCAAGACACTGACAGGCCCCATGTCAGGGCTGAAGTTCCAGGCGGACCACAGCACAGGAGTCAGGGCAGTCGGGGAGGGGGGTGTGCGGGAGAGTGTACGTGCGTGTGTGCAGGAGAGTACGTGTGTGTGTGTGCAGGAGAGTGTACGTGTGTGTGCAGGAGGGTACATGCGTGTGTGTGCAGGAGAGTGTACGTGCATGTGTGCAGGAGAGTGTACATGTGTGTGTGTGCAGGAGAGTACGTGCATGTGTGTGCAGGAGAGTACGTGCATGTGTGCAGGAGAGTACATGCATGTGTGTGCAGGAGAGTGTACATGCGTGTGTGCAGGAGAGTACGTGCGTGTGTGTGCAGGAGAGTGTACGTGCATGTGTGCAGGAGAGTACATGCATGTGTGTGCAGGAGAGCATACATGCGTGTGTGTGCATATGTGTGCACATGTCTTTGTGAGACCACAGGGCGCTGGGCACAGCTGGAAACCAGGCCCTAACCCAGTACCCGGAGCCCCAGAGCTCAGCTGCCTCCAGAGGGAGCCTGGAAGCTGAGCTTTGAGATGGGGGTGGCCCACCCAATAGAGGTGAAAGTGGGCGGGGAACCAAGGTGGGGTGCCAGGAAGTGATGGCACTCAGGCAGGAGATGACCCTGGGACAGAACCCTGATCAAGGACCTGCCCCTCTCCTGCCACCTCCTTACCTGTCCCAGCCCTTCTCAGATGCACAGGCTCCCCAAGGCTCGTCCACTGGGTGCCCCTGCCCCTGTCTAGGTGAGCAGGGAAGAGCCCACGGGGGTCCCCCACTGACCAGGCCCATTCACCCACAGGTGCCCCTGCTGATGACGCCCCCACCACCACCGTTCCCCCCACCTCCACTGTTGGCCACGAGGCGCTCCCTGGAGGATGGAAGAAGAGGAGGCCCAGGGCCAGGGAACCCCAGCCGTGAGTGCACAGCCCCAAGTGGGCCACCCAGGGCATGGGCCTGGGAGAGGGTGCCACTGGCCTCCCCTCCGAGGTCCTGGACCGGTGGGCAAGTCTGCGGGCAGCCGGGCACCCCATCACCCTCCCTCCCCAGTTGCTTCCAGGTTTCCTTGACTGTCTTTGGTGCTTTGGAAACATGAGGATTAGCATTTTCCGTGGTGGGCACTTACAGCTACAGCAACTTATCCAGGGGTAAAAGCGGGGAGACGGGCCGGTTGGGCCCAGGCCCCTTGTGGATGGGCTGCTGTCCCTCAGACCCCAGCACACCTCGCATGCATGGGCTAGCAGGGCAAGCAACAGTCCTCACGCTGTGGGCCACCACCATTAGGGGTCTGTGACCAGCTTGGAGTGGAGTGGAGTGGAGTGGAGTGGAGTGGAGTGGAGTGGAATGGAATTATCAACAGGTGCCACAGGTAGTGAGGGCGAGCTTCCTCCACGGGCCCTGCTGCGGCCCTGTACTCACATGTGGGAGTGTGCTTCTGTGTGTGATTGTGTCTGTGTGTTCTGTGTGTGATACACATAGATACGGGGACCCTTCTCTGTGTGTGATTGTGTCTGTGTGTGATTGTGTCTGTGTGTATCTGTGTATGTTGTGTCTGTGTCTGTGTGTCTGTGTGATTATGTCTGTGTGTATGTGTGTGATTGTTCATGTGTGTCTGTGTGTGACTATGTCTATGTGATTGTGTGTCTCTGTGATTGATTGTGTCTGTGTCTGTGTGATTGTGTCTGTGTGCATCTGTGTGTGATTGTGTTCGAGTGTGTGATCGTGTCTGTGATTGTGTCTCTCTGTGATTGTGTCTGTGTCTGTATTGTATGTATGTGTATGGTGATTGTGTGTTCTGTACATCTGTGTATTGTGTTTGTGTTTCTGTGCATGATTGTGTATCTGTGTGTGATTGTGTCTGTGTGTCTGTATGTGATTGTGTGTGTGATTGTGTCTGTGTGTGTCTTTGTGATTGTGTGTCTCTGTATGATTATGCCTGTGTATGTGTGTTTGTGTTTGTGTGTCTGTGTCAGTGTGTGATTGTGTCTATGTGATTGTGTGTATCTGTGTGATTGTGTGTCTGTTCTGTCTGTTTCTGTGTGTGATTGTGTCTATGCATCTGTGTGTGATTGTGCCTGTGTGTATCTGTGTGATTGTGTTTGTGTGTGTCTGTGATTGTGTCTGTGTGTATCTGTGTGTGATTGTGTCCGTGTCTGTGTGTCTGTTCTGTGTTTCTGTGTGATTGTGTCTGTGATTGTGTCTGTGTGATTGTGTGTATGTGATTGTGTCTGTGTATGCTTGTGTCTGTGTGTCTCTGCGTATGATTGTGTCTGTGTGTATCTGTGATTGTGTCTGTGTATCTGTGTGTGATTCTGTGTGATTGTGTTTGTGTATGTCTGTTCTGTGTCTGTGTGTTTCTCTGTGTGTGACTGTATCTGTGTGTGATTGTGTCTGCGTGTGTGATTGTGTCTGTATGTCTGTGTGATTGTGTGATTGTGTGTGTATGATCGTGTCTGTGTGTCTGTGATTGTGTGTGTCACTGTTATTGTGTGTCTGTGTGTATGTGTGTGATTGTGTCTATCTGTGTGTGATTGTGTATCTGTGTGTGATTGTGTTTGTGTGTCTGTTCTGTGTGTGTTTCTGTGATTGTATCTGTGTGTATAATTGTGTCTGTGTGTATGATTGTGTCTGTGTCTGTATGTGATGTGATTGTGTCTGTGTCTGTGTGATTGTGTCTGTGTTGTGTGTATGTGATTGTGTCTGTGCATGTCTGTGTGTGATTGTGTCTGTGCGTGTCTGCCTGGCTGTGATGCAGACGTGTTCTTCACTCGAGGTTGACCCTGAAGTGTGTGTTTTCATCGGGGCAGGGAGCATTGCAGGCAGCAAGGGAACCAGCTTTGGGGCCTGCAGAGCTGCGTTAGGGGCGGCCTCAAGCCCTTCCCAGCTCCTCCCCTGCTGCAGGAGGGGCCGCGGCGTGGCCCAGCGGTGTGCCGCAGGCTCTCCCATCGACCAGGCGGGGGCGGGCCCCACTGACTCCCCAGAGAAGGTCCAGTGGGGCCCCCGAGGTGTTCTGGGGCAGGGTGGGCTGGGGTCAGCTCCCAGCTCGCAGATCGTTCAGGAGGTCAGCTCTGCCCCCAGGGCCGGATCCCCGAGGCTCTGGGTCTCTGCTCCCCAGCCCTTGCCCTTTCTGCAACACCCTTCTTCTTCTTGGCAGCCATGTCCCTCAGCCCGGCCTGGCCTGGCCATCCTGACCAGCCTCTTCCCAGGGAGCAGATGACCAGCCCGGCCCCTCCGAGGATCATCACCAGTGCCACGGCTGACCCCGAGGTTCGTCCTCCACCCCTGCATTCCTGTCTCCCGGGGCCCCTAGCCAGCCTCCATTCCCATCCTCTTAGGGGCCCAGAGAAGCCCCCAGCACAGCCAGGCCTTTCCTGAAGGGTGGATGCCAGGCTGCCTGCGTCACTCCGCTGCTCTCGAGAACACCCTGAGTTCTGAAGAGACAGGAATGTCAGGGCGACGGCAGCTGTCCCCCCCACCACAGAAACACGGGGACCCTTCTCTGTTATCCCAGAGGGCTGCAGTGGCCCAGGCCCCTCTCCCTGACCTCTGAGCTCAGGGGTGCTCCGTGCCCGCTTGGAGTGCGGAGATCGCAGCAGCCATCCATGGGCAGGGCCCCGCTGCCACCGTCCTCCTCCTCAGGGCCTCGGCCAGCCCAGACCAGCAGAAGGGTCCTGCTCCCCCTTACTCTCCCTTTCCTGGGCGCCGGGCCCTTAGAAAGCCAGCCCAGACTTTCCCTGCGTGGTACTGCAGATTCTCAACCATTGAGGTGTTCGGTGGGAGTCTGGGAAACGCCACGTGGCGCTGCTGCCCGTCGTGGAGAGCTGGAGCGCGCACGGCACATTGAAGGCTCTGACAAGCCCTCCGCGGCACAGGATTGGCTGCCAGGCTTTGTCTATGTAGCTGTGCCCAGAGCAAGTTTGCCCAGGGATACGGTGCGCTCCGCGAGCATCTGCTGGGCTTGCACAGGGGACGGGGAGGGACCTCTGGTTTCATTTCTCTGCCGACAATCCCCTCACACACATCTTACCCCGCCCCCTCCAGTCCCTCCCCTCTGAGGCCTCACTCTTAAGCTGGGGATGAGGGGGTGGGGTGCTGTCCGTGGCCCCCACTGTCCCTCCTCTCAGGGCGCCCTGTTAGCGTGCCCTGGGCGGAGCCAACCCCCCACGTCCTCTCGGATCTTCCCTCCACTCAGGGCCTGGGTCCCCTTCGGGCCTGTGTGACCCACCCCCTTCTGCACAGGGGACAGAGACGGCGCTGGCGGGGGACACCTCAGATGGCCTGGCCGCACTACAGCTGGATGGGCTGCCCTCAGGCGACATCGACGGGCTGGTGCCCACGCGGGATGAGCGCGGCCAGCCCATCCCAGAGTGGAAGCGGCAGGTGATGGTGCGGAAGCTGCAGGCGCGCCTGGGCGCAGAGAGCTCCGCAGAGGCCCAGGTAGGCCCCCGGCAGGGGCGGGACCAGTGGGCGGGGCGGGGCCTTTTCCAGGTAGGTGGAAGTGGAAGTCAGGGCGCCCGAAGCCCAGAACTGAATCCAAGACCCAGGGGCCCCTCTCCTCTGTGGCCTCAGCTGCTGCTTCCGCCGGAGGATGAAGTGAACCTGACCAGAGGACTCTGAGCAGAGCCCCTTCACCTGCTCTGGAGGCATGGGTCCCACGTATCCTTCCACTTGGCGGATTTGTGGCACATGCCTGCCTGTGCCAAGCGTTGTTCTAGGCCTTCCTGGGCGCAGCGTCTAGCAGGGAAGACGGTGGCCCATGGGCAGGTGCCGGCAGGTGTGTGGGGTGCGATTCCCACTGCTGTGGAGAAAGCAAAGCAGTTGGGGGACTATGATATATGGGTGCTTAGGGGGCCCCCTCTGGGGACGTGGCCTTGAGCAGGGGCCAGAGGGAAGAGAGGGGGAGCCCTGTGGGAATTTGGGGCAAGCACCTCCTAGGCAGAGGGAACAGCCAGTGCAAGGGTCCTGAGGCCGGGCTGGCCGGGGGAGGAGCAGGAGGAGGCGCCCTGGCATGGAGTGGGCGCCTGAGGTTGGAGAGGAACCTGGCTGGGATTATTGCACCTCTGTGAGGCCGTGGGGAGCCACTGAGAATCTGAGCAGAGAAGGGCTGTGATGTGCCTTGGATTTTAACAGGCTCCCCGGGCTGCTGTGCAGACAGGAGTTCAGGAATTATGTCCTCAGAGTCCTATGATTTTGTCAAGATGATTGAGTTCTGTGCCCCCGGCCCAGCGCTGTGTCCAGCGCAATCCTGCCAGCCACATGCAGCCACTGAAATTCATTACAATTTAAGGAAAGTAAAAGTCCTGCCCCTCCGTCGCACCAGCCACCTGTCGTTTCTGTAGCCACAGGTGGCTCCTGGCTGCTGGAATACAGCCTGTCTCCATCGTCTCAGGACTGTGGGACAGCCCTGTCTGAGGGCCCAGCCTGTCCTTGCCTGTTGGGCTGGGAGCCGTAGGGGCTGAAAGCCACAGGGTTGAGAGCAGAGCAAGACGGGCAGAGCAGGTCAGGGGCTTCTGCCCTAGCTGGGAAGCCCTTTAAAGTCTTACCTTGGGGCAGGACCAGAGGCTCTGCAGAGATACTGAGAACTCAGGGACTTGGAAGCTAGGTGGGCTGATGGTGGGTGGGTGGGCTCACCCTGCTCACCCTGCCCTTCCTGTGCCCAGGACAATGGTGGGAGCTCAGGCCCCACGGAGCAGGCGGCCTGGAGGTACTCACAGACTCATCAGGCCATCCTGGGGCCCTTTGGGGAGCTGCTGACAGAGGATGACCTGGTCTACCTGGAGAAGCAGATTGCAGACCTGCAGCTTCGGCGCCGCTGTCAGGAGTATGAGAGTGAGCTGGGCCGGTTGGCGGCTGAGCTGCAGGCCCTGCTGCCCGAGCCCCTGGTCAGCATCACGGTCAACAGCCACTTCCTGCCCCGGGCGCCCGGACTGGAGGTTGAGGAGGCCTCAATCCCAGCGGCTGAGCCCGCAGGGTCTGCGGAGGCCTCAGAGGTGGCCCCCGGGGTGCAGCCCCTGCCCTTCTGGTGCAGCCACATCTCCCGCCTGGTACGCAGCCTGTCCCTGCTGCTGAAGGGCGTGCATGGGCTAGTACAGGGGGATGAGAAGCCATCCACCCGGCCCCTGCAGGACACCTGCAGGGAGGCCTCGGCCAGCCCCCCTCGGAGCGAGGCCCAGCGCCAGATCCAGGAGTGGGGGGTGTCTGTGCGGACGCTGCGGGGCAACTTCGAGTCGGCCTCTGGCCCACTCTGTGGCTTCAACCCTGGCCCCTGCGAGCCGGGGGCCCAGCACAGGCAGTGCCTGAGTGGCTGCTGGCCAGCCCTGCCTAAGCCCCGCAGTGGCCTGGCTTCAGGGGAGCCCAGGCCTGGCGACACAGAGGAGGCCAGCGACTCTGGCATCAGCTGCGAGGAGGTGCCATCAGAGGCGGGTGCCGCAGCCGGCCCAGACCTGGCCAGCCTGCGCAAGGAGCGCATCATCATGCTCTTCCTCAGCCACTGGAGGAGATCGGCCTACACGCCGGCCCTCAAGACAGTGGCCTGCAGGACCCTAGGAGCCCGCCACGCGGGGTTGCGGGGCCAGGAGGCCGCCAGGAGCCCTGGGCCACCCTCCCCGCCCAGCGAGGGCCCCCGGCTGGGCCACCTGTGGCAGCAGCGCAGCACCATCACCCACCTGCTGGGCAACTGGAAGGCCATCATGGCTCACGTGCCCGCCCGGCAGCTGCGGCGGCTGAGCCGGCAGCCCCGCGGGGCTTTGTCCCCCGAGCAGTTCCTGCCCCACGTGGACGGGGCTCCGGTGCCCTACAGCAGCCTCTCACTGGATCTCTTCATGCTGGGTTACTTCCAGCTGCTGGAGTGCGACCTGCCGGCGGAGGAGCGGAAGCTGCGCCACCTGCTGTGCTTCGAGGTCTTCGAGCACCTGGGCACCCACGGCTGGGAGGCTGTGCGCGCCTTCCACAAGGCCGTGACCGACGAGGTGGCCGCCGGCCGCCGGGCCTGGACCGACGGCTTCGAGGACATCAAAGCCCGCTTCTTTGGCTCCAGCCAGCGTCCCGCCTGGGATACGGAGCCTGGCCGCAAGTCAGGTCTGACCCTGCTCGGGCCCCTGCCTCACGCCGCCGTCCCCTGCAGCGGCCCTGAGCCCACAGCACAGCGGCTGGGGTCCCGCTCCCAGCAGGGCAGCTTCAACGGTGAGGACATCTGCGGCTACATCAACCGCAGCTTTGCCTTCTGGAAGGAGAAGGAAGCTGAGATGTTCAACTTTGGAGAATGACCCTACTGGCAGCCTGCTTTCCAGAATGTGGTTTGGGGGTGACTTGGAGTTTCTCTTTTCTTTTCCTTGCTCACACCCTTGGTGTTCAGGTGAGCCGGGCAAGGCTGCCTCCAGTCCTACCAGTTATCGGAGGCTGCGGGACTGTTCTGTTGTGGCATGGTTCTCCTCCGAGCTGGGACTCAGACTCCTTCTCACCACTGCACCCAGGAAGCCCCTTGGCAGGTCCTGAAGTGAGGCAATGGGCCACCCCAGTCCAGGGCACCTCTGCCCAGCCGGCCCCCGAGACCTGGGATGCTGCCTGTTTCTCACTTGTCCTTCCCCAGTGTCACCAGTTCCCTTGGCGTCCTGTCCCTCAGTTTCTGTGGTGCTGGTGGCCTCGGCCACATCCATCTTTCATGTGAGTCTGAGGTGGCCCCAGGCCCTGGTCCTGCCCCTGTTTCTCCTGCTGACCTTGGGTCACACCCCTTCACCTCCCATCTGTGAATTTGGGGGAGCTGGAGTGATTCCGAGGACAGATTCCATGGGCAGGAGGCCTTCCTGCCAGGCCATCCCTGCTGGTCACACACCGATGCCCGCCAGGCCAGTGCCCCAGCCCAGGGTGCTCCGGAGGCCCTGCTTCCTCAAAGGAGGCTCCCCATGGGGCCCCTGTCCTCCAGCCTGACCAGCCCTGGCCTAGTCGTGGGCCCCAGCAAGGCTGGAGAGCAGGGACGTGGGAGTAGCAGTGGCTGAGAGAGTCCTCCAGGCAGGGTGGCTGGTGCCCACTCTCAAAGGCTGCTGCACACAGAGGAGAATGCCGGCAGGGGTGGGCAGCAGCCAGACCTCAGGGGGGCGTGGATACTCCGTGAGGGCACCTGGGTGTCACCCACAGTGCACCTCTTCACAGGGGCCTGGGTACTGGAGGGAGGGATACAGGAAGGGAGATGGATTCCGTCCTCGGGGGCTCTGGGTGCTGCGGAGTATTCCTGGGCATGGTGCTGGGCATGGCTGGCATAGGGTGTGGCTTGTCCCCAGCTTCTGATGGCAGCCAGGAGAATGGGTCATCACCCAGGCTCTGGGGCTGAGGAGGGCTGGGCCCAAGCCCACAGGGACTTTGGAGGTGGGGCTCTGCAGCTGTGAGATGGCCCAGCAGGGAGTGGCAGGGACGGGAGGCTTCAGGAATATTCCTCCTGGCATCCAGGCCCCCTGGGACAGAGGAGGGTGCAGTCAGGCGACAGGCTTATCAGGACTCCCTGCCTCAATCCCTGGGGATTGTCCAGGCAAAACCTGGAGGGCAGCGGGCAAGCTGTTGGATGGAACAGAGAGACCCTCGCAGCTGACTAGGGCCCAAGGGGACGGACACTCAAGAAGATGTAAAATTGGGAGGGGTGGTATTGGCCATTGGGGCAGGCAGGGCCGGGAAGGGAAGTAGCACCGGCCGCAGCCCCAAGCCAGTGGCTTTTCCACAAGGGCCTATCCTGCAGCCGGCCCGCTCCGGCTTCCTCCACTGCTGAAGACCCTGCTGTAGAGCTGAAGCTGAACATGTGTTTGCTAAATAAAGATTCCCATTCCTAGCGCACCCCCTCTCTTGCACTTGTTGTTCACCCATCCCTGAGAGCCGCCTACGCCCTCACAGAGCCCGGTACCAAACCCGAGTCCTCAGCTCAGCTCTGCCGAAATACCAGGGCCATTGTCCTTAGTCCCTCAGAGCCTCTGGTTTCTCATTTGCAGCTTGGGATGCATGCGGACCTCATGCTCCTGGGATTGTGGTGAAGGAGGATGCAGGTCCCACATGGGAGGGGCCTCTGTGCTGGGGAAACAGCATCGTCTCAGACACTCACCAACGTGCAGCCAGCATTTCAGAGTTCCTTCTCTTTGTTTCTTTCTTCCCTTTTTTCCTTTCTTTCTTCCTTTCTTTCCTTCATTTTCTTTTCTTTCTTTCTCTTTTTCTTTTCTTTTCTGTAGATTCAGTGGCTGAATCTACAGGTGTCAGCCACCATGCCCAGCTAATTTCTTTTTATTTTTTGTAGGGACAAAGTCTTGCTATGTTGCCCAGGCTGGTCTTGAACTCCTGGGCTCAAGCAGTCTGCGCGCCTCAGCCTCTCAAAGTGCTGGGATTACAGGTGTTTCTGAGCTGCTTCTAACGAGCAGGGCACTGGGAGCAGCCAGGAGCATCCTGAACGCTGCCTCTCAGTCAGTGGGGCCCTGGCTCTTGGCCACAACACGCCCCCAGTGGAGACAGAGCAGGGCTGCTCCACCCAGTGCGGTCACTGCCCAGGGCTGGCAGAGGGCAAGGGGCAGCAGGTGGGTCTAGGGAGAGCCCTTGGCTGGGGGCATCAGAAGGTTTGGGCGCTGCAGTGTCTCCTGAGATCCCCTCATGCACCAGCTGCTGGCAATGTTGTTCTGAGGGCCCTGACAGAGGAGGGGGCTGGAGGCAGGGGCAGCAGGCCTCAGGTCACTCCCTGGCCGAGGGTGCTCAAGAGAGAGCACTGGGCAGGGAGTCGGCCCTCCTGGCTCCGGCTGTCCCTGCCCACTCGCTATGCCCTTGGGCAAGTCCTCCATAGCCTCCAGGCCTCAGTTTCCCAGCTGAGGAGCTGGATCAAGGCCAGCAGGGGACACACACATCAGGGGTCCCAGGAGAGCCTGGGGTGGGATGAGCCAGGCGAGGGGTGAGATGTGGCTCAGATCCAGGCTAGGCCCCTGGAGTGCTGCTGGGGTGACCCCTAAATGACCTTCTGCCAACACCCTGCCTCTGGGGGAGCTGCCCCAGGGATTCTGATTCCCTTGGCCTGGGGTAGGTCTGGAAAGCTGGGGTTTTAACACATTCCAGGCGGCTCCGATTCCCAGCAGCTGGCACCCGTGGCCCACCAGCAGCTCACCTGTGGGAAGCACGTGTCCCCGGGGGCAGGCAGGCACTGGCCCCTGCGCCACCACACTCACAGCTGTAGGGCCCATTTGGTGCCTATAAATCTGTTGTTCAATTGACAAAAGACTCACTGAGGACCAGAGACGGAATCTACAGCACCCCGGAGGTGCCGATGTCAGTGAGGTGGTCACACGCAAAGCAAAGGCGCAAAGCCTGGGGGCTTCCCATGAGTCAGAAACATCCAGGAGAAAGGGAGCCCCGTGTCCCCAGTCCATAGATGGCAGGATGGAGATGTGGAAAAACAGAAACCCTCCCCAAGGGCGGTGCTGGAACCCCAGCTTCTCCCTCGCAGCTGGGTCAATGTGCAGAGGGGCGGGCTCCCTGCATGTCGGTGCACAGGCTTAATGCAAAGCCCAGCTCATTTAAAAATTCAATGTCGGCCGGGTGCGGTGGCTCACGCCTGTAATCCCAGCACTTTGGGAGGCTGAGGCAGGTGGATCACGAGGTCAAGAGATCAAGATCATCCTCGCCGACATGGTGAAACCCCGTCTCTACTAAAAACACAAAAATTAGCTGGGCGTGGTGGCGGGCACCTGTAATCCCAGCTACTCGGGAAGCTGAGGCAGAATTGCTCGAACCTGGGAGGCAGAGGTTGTAGTGAGCCGAGCTCATGCCACTGCACTCCAGCCTGGGTGACAGAGCAAGACTCTGTCTCAAAAACAAAAAAGATTTTCAATTTCATCTCAATAGGATGACGTTGCTCTTTGTGAAGCTGGGAGTGATAACCTCCTTCTGTTCGTGGACGCTCAGGCTGTTTTCCATTTGGGACTATTACAATGAAGGTGGTGTCACCTGTGTGATTATTCCCTCAGAATGGATTCCGAGCGTGAAATCACCGAGTTAAAATCTGTAAGGCCGGGTGCAGTGGCTCACGCCTGTAATCCCAGCACTCTGGGAGGCCAAGGCAGGCAGATCACTTGAGGTCAGGAGACCATCCTGGCCAACATGGTGAAACCCCATCCCTACTAAGAATACAGAAAAATTAGCTGGGCATGGTGGTGCATACCTGTAATCCCAGCTACTCAGGAGGCTGAGGCAGGAGAATCGCTTGAACCCAGGAGGCGGAGGTTGCCGTGAGCGGAGATTGCACCACTGCACTCCAACCTGGGTGATAAAGCGAGACTCCATCTCCAAAGAGACAAACAAACAAACAAACAAAAAACTGTGTGAGTGAGCTCCCCTCTGCTGGGCTGGGGGCCTTCCAGCTGTGAGGATGTCCCAGGCTGGGTCCGCATATCAGTCTGCCCCCTTCTCGGGGGCCTTACAGCCCTGCACAGCACCTCTCACTCCATCTGGGGTGATTTGGGGCCTGGGTTCCATCGGGCTGACCTTGTTTCCCTTTCACCAGCACTCTCACACGTCAGACGGCCCCTCCTTCCCTGCGGACTTGCCGTGGCACCGCTTTCTGTGCATTGGCTGTTGGGATTTGTTTATTCTTGGGTCAAAACCACCTTGTTTGATGGCATTTTACGCTGTAATGATGACATCTTCGTATCTGAGATGGAAGCCCCCCATTGCTCTGCTGTTTACATGTTTTTGTCTGCTGTACTAGTGACCTAGTGCTGCATAGTCAACTGCCTGAAATCCAATGTCCTTGAACAGCACACACGCATGGTCACACGCATCGTCTCTCAGTTTCTCCTCGGGAGCACGTGTGTGGGGTGGCTGCACCTCAGGATGTCTCAGGAGGGTCCCATGAAGTGCTCAGCCCAACTGCAGTCATCGGAAGCCTGGCCTGGGGCGGGAGGGTCTGCGGGCTGGGACTATAGGTGTGCACCGCCACTACTCCTGGCTAATTGTTGTGTTTTTAGTAGAGATGGGGTTTCACTATGTCGGCCAGGCTGATCTCAAACTCCTGACCTCAGGTGATCCACCCGCCTCAGCCTCCCAAAGTGCTGGGATTACAGGCATGAGCCACCATGCCCGGCAGAAATTCAAAATCTTCAAGTGCTGATCCCATCAGAAACGCCCACAATATAACAAGGTGTGAGGAAAGGGCGCTGACCCACACACGCAGGCAGGCTCATTTTGACAACAGGAAAGAGCTGGAAGCATACTAATGGCAAATGATCTTTTACTAATGACACTTTCTGCTTTTTATTTTTCTGTTTTCCAAAAGGAACTTGTGTTATTTTTATCCTCATAAAAAGAAACAAGTGGTGTATTTTTAAAAACTGCGCCACTCAGTAGCAATCTCTTGATGGAGGATCTGTTTTGCGCCCCCGGTGTTGAGTTTCCCAGACTGACCTGTCATCTGAGGTGCTGGGGCTCCGAGCCCCACGACGGCTGCTGTGAGGCCTCCACACTTGGCAAGCAGTGCTGTTCCCCGAGCAGAGCCAGCTCCCCGTGACAGCAGCCTGTCATCAGAATCCCCTGTCCTCATTTCCTCCAGCCCGAGCCAGGACTGCAAACAAGGGGGACAGTACGGAAACCCAACACTCTAGCGCCCACCCCATAGTGGTCCTGGACACAGCGAGAGTTGGGGTCCTCCATGAGGGTCCCCCACACAACATGAGGCTGATGCCCAAGGCTGGGGAAAAACCCTGGGACAGTGTGGGACACGAGCAGGGGAAAGAGCAGGAGCAGGGGCCAGGCTGGGCTGGGCTACGGCTGGGCTACGGCTGGACTATGGCTGAGCTGGGCTGGGCTATGGCTGGGCTATGGCTGGGCAATAGCTGAGCTGGACTGGGCTATGGCTGGGCTATGGTTGGGCAATAGCTGAGCTGGACTGGGCTATGGCTGGGCTATGGTTGGGCAATAGCTGAGCTGGGCTGGGCTATGGCTGGGCTATGGTTGGGCAATAGCTGAGCTGGGCTGAGCTATGGCTGGGCTATGGCTGGGCCAGGCTGGGCTGTAGAGGAAGCATGGACTCAGGGAATCTCTATGGAAGGTAACCCTAAGGGCACCTTGCAGACTTGGCAGTAATTTGTAGGTGAGCTTCCCCTCCATAGGCTGTGTGCATCTCAGGACCAGGAGTGGGGTTCTGTCTCCCTGGGGGCCGCCTGGACCTCTCTGGTCTGTAAGAGCATTAGGACAATCCCTAGTAGCATCAAGAGGCCACAGCCAGACCCAATACTCCCCAGTTCCTCCAGGTCGCAGCACACCTGGAAATGGTCATACTGCTCAGGCCCACATGGCCGATGGGTAGAGGGCTGAGGGCTGAGGGCTTCTCTCCCATGCACCTGAAGTCCCTCAGCCACAAAGCTCTGCTCTGGTCACTGGTGTGAGAAATGTCCAGTGGCCTCTTGGGTCCCCAACTCAACCCACCTGACCTTGGTCAGGGCCTGTGGTTCTGAGCCCATTTCAGTCCCAGGCGTGAGAGCTTCCCCCTGCGACTACCGTGAACCAAGTGCTGGACGGGAGGCTGATAGTCCACTGCTGTATTTTTAGGTGACCCTGTTTCTTAGCCGTCCTGGGCAGCCCCGAGGCCAAGGCCATGGGGTAGCAGGGCAAGGAGCCCCAAGATCTCCCCTATCCACGCTAGCTGGGCGGGGCAACTGAGTGTGGCACCTCCCCTCTCTGGGCAAAGTTTCCCTACCGCCACCATGGACCCCAAGCTCGGAAAGCCTCTGCTGACCAACCTGTGCTTATTCATGATAATCACGTTTTCCCACGTGACAACAGAACAAGAGGACACATAGGTGCCGCTGACATCAACAGCGAGGGCAGCACCTGTCGGTGTCCTGGCCCTGGGCTGAGGGTCTCTGTGACCCCAGGCCCCCACCACGGGCTCCACTGTACTCAACTTGTAGACGAGGAAACAGGTGGGGAAGCTGCATCCCTGCCCCCACCAGCCAGCCCAACCGCGACAGCTTTCACCTGTCCTTGCCCTGGAGCCCTTCCTGATGTCTGTCCTAGGCCACAAGTCCCTGGAAGGCCTCAGTGGGCTTTCTGAGCTAACAGTCACCAAGGAGCCGGCATCTCACTCCTTCCCCCACCAGCCCAGCCCTCACTGCCTGACCCTCCCCTCGCCCTGCAGACAGAGGCTAAAAATACCCTCCCCACGTGGCCACCAGACCAGCCCTGCCCCGCCCTGCAGGCCTCCGTGTCCCCTGGCTGCCGGCTAGGCAGTCCTGCTCTCTCGGGTCTGTGTTCTCAGCTTCGAGGTCCAGGCTGAGTGAGAGGTAGGATCCAGGGGGCTCTGGGGCAGGGGACAGCAGAGAGGGCAGGGGGAACCCAGCCAGGAGCAGCGGGGAGGGTGGGTTAGGCCCCCGAGGCCAGGGATCACAGCAGGGTGCTTTGGAGACGCCCCCTGGCCCTTGCCAGCGGCCAAGCCAGGCTCCTCAGGGTGGGGGCTCAGGAGACAGGTTTCCCTCCATGTCCCAGCCGGAGAGGTGGGAGGGGGAGGCTGGGCCACCCCTCAGATGGCAGCCAGGGCCACTCAGCCACAGTCGCCAGCCTGGCTGGGCTCAGGCCTTTTGTTGTCCTGCCCACTCGGCTTCCTCACTCCGGGCCTGGGCAGGCACTGGGGTGAGGCTCTGAGACCCTCAGGAAGCCCCGACCCATGCAGGGACTGCAGGGTGACAGGTGTCAGCAGGCACCCCGAGGCCCCCAGGGGAAGTGGGGGCGCTCATGCGTGCCTGCCCATCGCCCGGCAGCAGCTGGCCCAAGGGAGCACAACAATGACGGGAATGTGAGGCCTGCAGGCGGTGGCCCAGGGACAGCCCTGTCACCTACTCAGGCCCCAGCTCATCTCCCGGCTGCCCAGGGAGGGCAGAGCCGCCTTCACCGGGGCCAGCGCCTCCTGGGGAGGGGCCAGGCAGGAACCCCATGCATGCAGTGTTGGGTGGGTACTTCGTGTACCGGCCGGGATGCTGGGGTGTGGGGCCCCGGCCACGTGAGCTGCCCTGTGCGCGAGCCCGGGTTGGTCCGCGAGGCCCTGTGGGCTCCCAGGTGCTTCCCCGCTCTGGGGTCAAGAGGTGGCACCGGGGTCGGGAAGTCGGGGAGCCCTAGCTCCCATCGCCTGCACCTGTACCTGCACCGTGGCTGCCCGGGCCAGATTCTTGGCCTCCTGGTTCTCCAGCTGAGCTTTGTCATTTCCATGCGTGGCGTTCCCACGCATTTTGTACCTGTGGACGCGCGGCCGCCTCTCCTGCCCGGGATGGCCCCGCGAGGCGCCCCCTAGCGGGCGAACGGCCTCTCCGCTGCGCAGCCTTTCGCCCTGGGGTGACCCGGGTCGAAGGCTTGTGCACAGACTTGATCTCTCCTAGGGATGGTTGTCTTAGGGTGCGATACCAGAAGGACATAAACCACATGCACATAATTACATGAGCCTGAAAGCGGCCTTGCTGACTTCAACCATGCGGGCGTGGTGACGCGAAACCCTCCAGAACGCTGCCTTTGGCTGGCCGTTTCTGTTTAGCAGCCTCCACCCGGCCACGTGGAATGCAGGGTTCAGAGCCTGGGCCCCCAAGCCTAGCTCTGAGTTCAAATTCCAGCTCCACCACTTCCTAAATGTGTGATCTTGGGCAAGTGACTGAAACCTTCTGTGCCTCAGTCTCCCCAGCTGTAAAAGAGGCAATGATTGCACCCACCCTCCAGGACTGTTGTGGGGCTGAGTGGTGAATGCACAGCTTCTCTGCATGCTTGGCACGTGGCCTGGCACCTGGGAGCACCGCGGGAGCAGGAGCTGCTGCAGCCCCCAAATGGCCTCCCCAGCAATGTGGGATCTGGGACGGAGGACGCCTCCCGGGAGTTTGGGTGTCTCCGGGGTCCCTGGGGGGTGGGCTCAGTGTAGCCCAGGGTTGCAGATGACACCCAGGGCATGGGTTCTTTTGCCAACCCTGTTCTGCCCTGAATGCCTGGCCATGGGTAGGTCTCCCACCCTCTCTGAACCTCAATTTCCTCACTGCAAATGGGAATGACACCTGCCCTACCTTGCAGGGTTCTGGGGGTGGCTTGAGGCAGATGGGGGGTAAAGTGACTGGCATATGGTCGATGCCCATCCTGTGTTTATCAAGGGGTGGAAAGGGCTGATGGACAGACCGGGTGGGTTGCTCAGGAGGATGAGACCATCCCCACTTGGCTGACCCTGCTCTCTTCTCTCCTAGGAGCTCGGGCGGCTCCAGGCACTTCTTCCCTTGAGTGGGTGGACTACTGAGGTCCCCTGGGCACGGCGTCATGGTGCGGAACGTGGATGACCTGGATTTCCACCTGCCCTCGCATGCCCAGGACATGCTGGATGGCCTGCAGCGCCTGCGCTCTCAGCCCAAGCTGGCCGACGTCACACTGCTGGTGGGCGGCCGGGAGCTGCCATGCCACCGCGGCCTCCTGGCGCTCAGCAGCCCCTACTTCCATGCCATGTTTGCGGGTGACTTCGCCGAGAGCTTCTCTGCGCGCGTGGAGCTGCGGGACGTGGAGCCCGCCGTGGTGGGACAACTGGTGGACTTCGTGTACACAGGCCGGCTGACCATCACGCAGGGCAACGTGGAGGCGCTGACACGCACGGCTGCGCGCCTGCACTTCCCCTCGGTGCAGAAGGTCTGCGGCCGCTACCTGCAGCAGCAACTGGATGCCGCCAACTGCCTGGGCATCTGTGAGTTCGGGGAGCAGCAAGGGCTGCTGGGCGTGGCTGCCAAGGCCTGGGCCTTCCTGCGAGAGAACTTTGAGGCTGTGGCACGTGAGGACGAGTTCCTGCAGCTTCCCCGAGAGCGGCTGGTCACTTGTCTGGCCGGCGACCTGCTGCAGGTACAGCCGGAGCAAAGCCGACTCGAGGCCCTGATGCGCTGGGTGCGCCATGACCCGCAGGCCCGGGCCGCCCACCTGCCCGAGCTGCTCAGCCTAGTGCACCTGGACGCCGTGCCCAGGCCCTGCGTGCAGCAACTGCTGGCCTCAGAGCCCCTGATCCAGGAGTCAGAGGCATGCCGGGCAGCCCTGTCCCAGGGCCATGATGGGGTGAGTGAGCGGCTGGGAGGCCCCATCCCTGGGAAGCAGGGAGGAGAGCCCCAGAGACCCCACCTGAGTAGGGACAGAGTAAGGAGTGGACATTCCAAGGTGCACTCTGACCTTGCCACGCTCCTTGTTTTGGGCCAGTTCCCCATGAGGACATCACTATTCAGCCCTCAAGTGCAGATCATGCCTCTGTGTGTGTCACGCCCTGTGTGCAAGGGGCAGGGGAATGTGGAAGTGGTAAGATCTGGCCCTGTCCTGAAGGAGCCTGCAGCTCAGTGGGACAAGCCTGGAAACAGACCTCAGGCAGTGTGGAAGGGCCAAATACATGCCTAGGACGCATTCTGGGTGGGCTGGCAGTCAAGGAGGGCTCTCTGGAGGAGGCAGCATCTGAGCTGGGCCTTAGAGGAGGGATAGGAGCTCACAAGGAGGAAAAGAGGGGAAAACCATCCAGGAAGGAGGTGCAGCTTGTGCACAGGCAAGGAGGCACAGACAGGCCTGGCAGTCCGCCTGAGCTTTTATGGGGTGCTACTTCCTGTTTGTGCTGGCAGTGTGCCTGGCAGGCATGGCAGGTCATGATGGAATGACAGGTCTGGGAGTGGCTGTTCGGTCAGCTGCCGGGCACCCTGCTCAGGGGCCTTGCTTCGGGGCACTCCTTTAGAGCCAAGTCCGGGGACAAAGAGTGGCTCAGACTGATGGTCCTCAGGCCAAGGGTGGAGTGAGTAGTGGGCTAAACCCTAACCCCTGTCCCCACTGGATTCCAGCCAGTCACAGAGCGCCCGGCCTCCTGCTGGAGCTGGCTTCAGAGCCTTGCCCGTGGACGGTCACCTTGTATTCTAATTCCTGGCAGTGGGAGATCTGGGGGTTCCATATGGGGGGCCAGGGTGGATGGCTGTGGGAGAGCCTGGGGTCCTGGGAGACCTAGGCAGTGACTGCTTACCGGCCGTTCCTAAGACAGCCAGCATTTCCCACTGAGCCGGGACACCCTCGTGCCGCCTGCTGGAGGCCACCCAGGGAGCAGGGGCAGGGAGAAGCTTATGCGTGGCGCTGCGGACCTGCTATGGGATCGGTTCTGAAGATGGTTCAGGAACTCCAGGAATGCCCCTGAAAGGCACATGGTGCAAGGAGGGAGCAGCTTGTGCACTCGGGCACACGCCATCTCCAGCAACATGCAAGCACACATGCACTCACATGCTGAGGCCTGCCCAGGACACGCGGGGGCTCAGGGCATGGGGACACATTGCTGTTGCCCTGACCCTGGCCTCCCACCCCACAGGCACCACTCGCCCTCCAGCAGAAGCTGGAGGAGGTCCTGGTGGTGGTGGGCGGGCAGGCGCTGGAGGAGGAGGAGGCAGGTGAGGAGCCCACCCCCGGCCTTGGGAACTTTGCCTTCTACAACAGCAAGGCCAGTGAGTACCCCTCCCGCGTCCAGACCCACCTGCTGTCTCTCTGTCCCAGCGGGAGCCGCTGTGTCCTCCTTGCAGGTGGAGCGCATGAGGCTCGCAGAGGACCGGGAGCTGTGTGAGGCCCCTGTGAGGGGCGTGCCTGGGTGGGCCTCACCTGGGGGCTGCAGAGGAGCCCGAGGTACCCCGGGAGGGGGAAGGCTGGCGGGCACTGCTGCTCCCTCTCCCTGCAGCCGGAGCCCAGGACTCTGGTCCCTTTTAGGCCCTGGAGCCGGTGTACAGGCCTCCACGGCCAAGACTGCACCCTGTGGGGTGGGCGGCCTGGCCGCTGCCTCCTCCCCATGCTCCCTGCTCAGTGCACCTGCCGAGGGAATCGAGACCCCAAGGGGAGAGTGGGGTGGGGGGTGAAGGGGTGCAGGCAGCTGGAGGAGCGAGAACTCAGCTTCTGGGTCAGCCCAAACGGGGTTGTAATCCCGGACCTCAAACAGGTGACCTCACCTCTCTGAGCCTCAGCTTCCTCATCTGTGAAATGGGCTCCTGCTGCTTCCTCACACAGTTGTAGGGAGCCCTGAAGTGGGCACTGAGGCCAGGTCTGCCATTTGGCGGGAAAGGAGGCATGAGGGGCCCCGCAGCGGCTCTGGAGGCCCCCTGCGCTGGCCCCAAGAGGTGCTCTGGAAAGGGCTGATGCAGGCTGGCTGGTGTGGGGCCACCAGGCAGGTCGCCAACCATCTCCTTGGCGTCAGCGGCTGGCAGGCTCCAGGAAGCCTGAGGCCAGCTGTTCGGGTCAGGGGCTGAAGAGAGGGGGTTTGGGGCTGACATCAGGAGGGAGCAGCTGTCTCTCAGACCTGGCCGGGAGGTGGGGACGCTGGCAGGAAGAGCCTGTTGACGGCTGGGCAACCCCCACCCTGGGGTGACAGAGCCATGAGTCATGGGGACACGGTGCCTGCCCACAGTGCCAGGCTCTGCTCCCAGGGAGGCCTGGAATTCCGCATCTCCCAAAAATGGTCATAAATAGTAAACAGAGTCTTCCTAGGGGACATCCCAAAGGCCTGTGTCTCTTCCACAAACATCCAAAATATGTCCATTTATAGGACTTTACCATTTCCACATTTATTGTCTTGATTTTCCAAAGCATTTTCTCATCTCTTGCCTCAGTTTACCTCTTGTAGCTCCGAGAGGCAGGCCTGACTTGGGCACATTGCTCTGCCCCACGACCCTAGGAACAATAATCCTAACAGCTGTCATCAGCTGAGCAGTTCTGTGAAGTCCCCATAGCTCCCGGGAGGCTGGGGTCATCCCCATTCTACAACAAGGAAACTGAGGCTGGGGTTTGCCCACGGACACACAGCTGGGGCACCACATCTGAGATTTGGACCTGCTCTGCCTGCTGCAGGTCCTGATCCCCTGTATGTGCCTGGCTGCCAGGAGGGCAGGGAGGGTGCTCGGAAGGAAGGAAGGAAGGAAGGAAGGAAGGAAGGAAGGAAGGAAGGAAGGAAGGAAGGAAGGAAGGCAGGCAGGCAGGCAGGCAGGCAGGCAGGCAGGCAGGCAGGCAGGCAGGCATGCTGTTGGTGTTATCACCCACTAGTGACACCCACAGATCAGGCCACTTAACCCACACCGCATCTAACCGACAGACCAGACTCAGGGGCTGAATGGTCCATTTGGGGTCAGTGGGGTCAACTGCAGGGTCAAGGTGAGACCCCGGCCTCCAAAACCTTGCTGCTTCTCCAGGGGGCTATCCTGTGTCCACTCTGAGTTCCAGGCTCTGCGGAGTGGGTGGGGGAGACACAATGAGCCAGAAGCACCCAGGACCCCCCGGGCCCCCGTACCAGTGTCACCCTGCCCCTCCCTTTCCCCACCAGTGAGGGGGGCATTTCTGCACCCGGTGCATGGAAAGGCACCTGGGAAGGGGGAGTGGGGACCACCCCAGCAGGGAGCCTGGCAGCCTGACCCTTCTGCCTCTCTCTTCCTGCCAGAGAGGTGGATGGCACTTCCAGACTTCCCCGACTATCACAAGTGGGGTTTCTCCCTGGCGGCCCTGAACAACAACATCTATGTCACAGGTGGGCAGCTCGGGGACCCTTCCAGAGATGCCCTGCCCAGCCAAGCACTGGGCTCAGTGCAACTCCCCGCACTCCGTGGGGTCCCTGAGGGTTAGTCAAGGCTTGCCGAGGCCTTTCCATGCATGTGAAAACAAGGACATTTAAAATCCGTGGTCACTCGTGGGAGCTGGGAGCCGCTTCTGTACACAGGCTAGTGTGGGCCCACCCCTGCATCACACAGCTCCTTCAGGTGAGGCTCCAGGCCTCCCGCTGAGTGCCACGCTGGCGTGGCTGCTGCAGGCCTTCAGCATGGGGTGCCACGAGGTTGCAGGCGGCCTCCTTCAGCAGGAAGCCCCAGGCCTGGGTGGTTGACCAGGTGTCTGTCTTGGTCCCCAGAAAGAGTCGTGTGTTGCAGGGGTCACTTTGCTCTTTCCTATCTCAGAGATTGGGGTTCCTTGTAAGATTTGGGAGGGGATAAGCTTCTGCTGATGGGGGCTTGAAACCACCGATTTTGTCGTCCTTGTTTATGGGGATGGAGGGACCTGGGCAGTCACACAGCTCGGCTGCGCTACCCTGGTCCCACCTCTGGCTCACCACGTTGGAGATCATGGCCTGGCATGGGAGGAGGTCCCTGGACATTGGTATCCACACCCCATGGCCTGGTGCCCCAGGCTGGTGGCACCCATGTAGACAGAACTTCTCCCGGCAGGTGGCTCTCGGGGCACAAAGACAGACACCTGGTCAACCACCCAGGCCTGGTGCTTCCCCCTGAAGGAGGCCTCCTGGAAGCCCGTGGCGCCCATGCTGAAGCCCCGCACCAACCACGCCAGCGCGGCCCTCAATGGGGAGATCTACGTTATCGGCGGTGAGGCCTTCCTCTCCACCCTTCCCTGGGGCCTGGTTCTAGCCTCTCATCCCTGCAGCAACAGGAACCGAGAGCCCCATGCTGGCCTCGGAGACCACGGAGATGCCGCTCCCACTGCCACCCTCAGGGCTCGCTGTCTGGTGGGGCGGGCAAGCCACAGGCCAGGGCTCCTGACCAGGCGGGCCATCAAGACCCACAGCCCAGGTGTCCTCCCTGGCCAGCTCCCATTGCCTCTGTTGTGCTGGGACAGCGACAGCAAGATGGTGACTCAGGCCCCAGGAGGGGTTCCTGCAGGAGCAGCCAGTGGGGACGGCCACACCCACCCACCAGCACCTGCAGCTACAGCAAGGAGTCACCCAGGAGCCGTCACTGATTAAAGGAACATCGAGAAACAAAATGTGGCCGGGTGTGGTGGCTCGCTCCTGTAATCTCAGCACTTGGCAGGGCCAAGGCAGGAGGACTGCTTGGAGGAGGACAGGGTCTCTCTATGTTACCCAGGAGTTTGAGACTAGCCTGGGCAACATAGAGAGACCCTGTCTCCCTTTTTAAAATTATTTATTTATTTATGTATTTTTTATTTTGTTTTTTATTTTTGAGACGGTCTTTCTCTGTCACCCAGGCTGGAGTGCAGTGGAGTGATCTCAGCTCTCTGCAACCTCCATCTTCCAGGTTCAAGCAATCTTCCCACCTCAGCCTCCTGAGTAGGTAGGACCCCAGGTGCATGCCACCATGCCCAGATAATTTTTGTATTTTCTGTAGTGATCGGATTTCACCATGTTGTCCAGGCTGGTCTCAAACTCCTGGGCTCAAGTGGTCCACCCGCCTCAGCCTCCCAAAGTGCTGGGATTACAAGAGGGAGCCGCTGCCCCCAGCCCATAAAAAAATAAAAAATAAAAAAAAATAGCCAGGCCAGGTGCAGTGGCTCACACCTGTAATCTCAGCACTTTGGGAGGCTGAGGCAGGCGGATCACGAGGCCAGGAGTTCAAGACCAGCCTGGCCAACATGGTGAAACCCCGTCTCTACTAAAAATACAAAAATTAGCTGGACATGTAATCCCAGCTACTTGGGAGGCCAAGGCAGGAGAATCGTTTGAACCCTGGAGGCAGAGGTTGCAGTGAGCCGAGATCAAGCCATTACACTGCAGCCTAGGTGACAGGGTGAGACTCCATCTCAAAAAAAAAAAAAAAAAGGCAGGCATGGTGTCACGTGCCAGCCGAGGTAGGAGTATCGCTGAGCCTGAGAGGTTGAGGCTGCAATGAGCTGTAATCGCACCACTGCACTTCAGCCTGGGTGACCGAGCAAGACCCTGTCTCAAAAAAAAAAAAAAGAAAGAAAAGAAAAACAAAACACATGGGGCCCAAAAGCTCTGTAGGTGATGAACTGGTCTTGAGGCCACTTCTAATGCCCCATCTGTCCCAGCTGTCCCCTTTCTCTCAGTGGCTACCGTGTCCCCAACCAGAGAGCAGAAAGCACCCAGGGCTCCCGAGCCCAGGGCTTGTGAGGTCCCCAGGTGCTCACAGAGGCCCAGGCCAGGGCCTGCTCTCCCCAGGAGGCGTCCCCATCACTGCCACACCCAGATTGTATCTGGGACTGGGAGGGAGCTGCCTACAGCTCCAGGGTCTCGCAACCCGCCCTCCCAGGGCTGGCATCCTCCATTCCAGTTCAGAGCACCCCAGGAAATGACTCCCAGCACATGAGGGGCCTGGGGGCGGGCAGCCTCCTGACAGCTCCCCGCCACCCCGTTCCCAAACATCAGCCCCAGCTCGAGCTCAGGAGTGGGGCATTTCTAGGCCCGAGTGTCCACCCCCACCCCCACCACTTCCTGGCGGGGCGGCCTTGGGAGGTGCCAGCACCTCTCAGAACCTCAGCTTCCCTGTCTGTGAAATGGGGAGCCCACCCCACCTCCCACCACTTTGCTGCCTTACAAAGCCCCAGCCCCTGAGTTTCCAGGCCTCCCCTCTCCTCCCCAGCCCTGAACTGCCCCCGCCCTCACCCCACAGGCACCACCCTGGACGTGGTGGAGGTGGAGAGCTATGACCCCTACACGGACAGCTGGACGCCCGTCAGCCCGGCCCTCAAATACGTCAGCAACTTCTCGGCTGCCGGCTGCCGGGGCCGGCTCTACCTGGTGGGCTCCAGCGCCTGCAAGTACAACGCCCTGGCCCTGCAGTGCTACAACCCTGTCACAGGTGGGTGGGGCTCAGGGACCGAGGATAGAGGACCACAGGCCCCTCTGACAGGCGACAGTCCGCTCGTAGTGATGGTGAGGATTGGGGCTCCTGAGGATAGACGGGGCCCGGGGTGGAGAGAGCCGGCGGCCGCAGGCCTCTCACAAAGAGGAGGGGATGTGGAGGAAGGCAGGGGCCTAAGAGGTCAGGGACCCACTGCGTCAGCTCCGCAGAGTCCCAGCACAGAGGCGAGCTGCACGTCTGTCCTGCTCAGGCCTTAGGGCAGCAGTGGGCTGGGGCTGGGGGTGGGGGTGGGGTGCCAGTGATCTGAGCCCAGCACCTGGCAGCTGCCTGGCTGTTCTTCTACCCAAAAGGGCCTCACGGGCCGGGAGTGGTGACCCCGACCTCCGAGGCCTCGAGGCCCATCTTGGGCTCTGGACTCTGTGCCAGAGTTTGAGGCCCAGCGCAGCCTCCCTGAGCTCTGAGCCGTCCACCCCGACCCTGGTCTCCAGTCCTGTTTCACCCTCTGGACAGTGTAGATGGTGGCGGGCCCTGTTCTGAGGCGTGGATGTGAGGACCCTTCAAGAGACTGACTGGGCCCAGAGTCCAGGCAAGGCCCACCTGGGTACCAGGCCCGGGGTTGGGGGCTGGGCAGGGAGGGGCCCCCAGCAGTCCCCAGTCAGGGTGGGGTGGGTGGGGCGGCAGCCAGGCCAAAGCACCCCCACCACAGGGAGAGTCCTGAGGGACCCCTGCACCCTCCACAGGCCCCTCACCTATGCTGCAGCCTTGTGAGGGGTCACTGTCCCCAGAGGGAAAGATCGAGGCTGGGTGAGAGGCAGGTGTGGGTCCCTCCCAGCTGCACCGCAGGGACCTACTCCCATTTCACAGACAGGTTCACTGAGGTTCAGAGAGGCACTGAGTCCAGGGTCCCTCAGAGTGGGGCACAGTGCTAGTGCCCGCTCTGGCAACCCTGGTGACGGTGGCCAGTGCCCGTGCCCCCCACAGATGCGTGGAGTGTGATCGCCTCGCCCTTCCTGCCCAAGTACCTGTCCTCGCCTCGCTGTGCTGCACTGCACGGGGAGCTCTACCTCATTGGGGACAACACCAAGAAGGTCTACGTGTACGACCCCGGGGCCAACCTGTGGCAGAAGGTGGGCCGCCCCCTCCCCCAACATGTGTGAGCCCCTGCCCAGGACTCCTGACATCAGAGAGCCAGCCTGGGAAGTGAGGGATGGGGTGCCACAGAGGGCCCACTGCGAAGGGGACAGCGCAGGCTGGGGTGCCCACAGAGGGCCCACAGTGAAGGGGGTGGCGCAGGCTGGGGTGCCCACAGAGGGCCCACAGTGAAGAGGGTGGCGCAGGCTGGGGTGCCCACAGAGGGCCCACAATGAAGGGGGTGGTGCAGGCTGGGGTGCCCACAGAGGGCCCACAATAAAGTGGGTGGCGCAGGCTGAGATCCCCCCAGGCTACAAGGTGACAATAGTGCCCTGGCCCGAGTCCCCTTGAGGACAGGGGTGACGGTGATGGTGGGAGAACGCGATTTGGGTTGCCGGCCACTGGTGCTCTGTCCCTGCACACCCAGCTTCCTACAGAGGAGTGGCCTGTCCTCCTTCTCAGGGAGAAAAGCCAGGTTCAGCCGGAGGGTACTATAGGGACCAGGAGGGAGGGCATCCTCTGCCCCAGGGTGGCCAAGTTGGGGAGGGGGTTCCTGAGCTGAGGGTGAGGTGAGAGCCACCAGCCTGGGGGCTTTCCTGTTGTCCTCAGTGCCATCCCACCATGGCCCACTCTTTGACCATCAGTGCCTGAGGAAGGGGAGGGAGGTGAGCCTCTGGGCGGCCTCCCTGGTGAAGGGGACAGTGCCCAGGAAGTTGGGGATGGGTCCTGGCACCAAGCCAGATGCCCTGGACCTGCCCACCTGCCCCAAGACTCCCAGTCCCTGCAGGCTGAGAAGGTGGAACTCCTTCCTGCAGCCCCCCTGCAGGCTGCTGGCCTGGTGACAGCAGGACTTCTGCAATCCTGCTGCCCACAGCTGTCCCCTGGCGTCACTGCTCAGCTGACCCAGGGCCCCCATTACAGCGGTGAGACAGGTGCAGGGTGGGCCCTGCCAGGCTAGCGTGTCTGCCTGGGCCCTCCCAGCTGGGCCACAGCCAGGCCTTCCTCCAGCCCAGGCCACTGTCCCAGGCTCAGGTCCCAGCACAGCAGGGCTCTGCCTTACCCTCTCCAGGCCTGGGTCCTCACCTCTTCCCTGTCTTCATCTGGAGGCCACAGACCGGCCTCCCGCTTCCCACCCGCCCGGGCTCTTCCTGAAGCCGCAGCTCTCTCCAGCCTCTGGAAAGCCACCCGCCCTCACCCCACAACCCCTCCCAGGGGCACTCCCAAGGCCATAGACTGAGCAGGGGGTGCAGGGGTGAGGCAAGGGAACCCACGGTGGGCTTGTCTAGGCTTTTCCTGATTGTCTGCCAGGGCTGAGCCACACCTGTCTCCTGTGAGACAGCGAAGCCTCAGTGAGGCCTCGAGTCAGCCCGGACCTCCCCGGGAGGCCTCAGGGCCCCCTCTGACTGCAGGGGTTGGAAGTGTCATCCCAAGGGCTGAGGGTCAGAGAGGGAAAGGGACCTCCCCACCAAAAGAAGAGTCTGAGGAGGCTGGAGGGGCTGCGGTGGGCTGCCCAGGGACTCTGCGCTCATGCCCTGGAGGGGATCTGGGCCAGGTGGCTGGCTGTCCTCTCTGCCACTCCCCCGACCCTGCTGAGGGCACCCTCAGCCCTGCTCTCCAGCTCCCGCCCACCGGACGCTAACCCGCTGACCGTGCACAGGTGCAGTCACAGCACAGCCTGCATGAGAATGGCGCGCTGGTGCCACTGGGTGATGCGCTGTACGTGACGGGCGGCCGCTGGCAGGGCATGGAAGGTGACTACCACGTGGAGATGGAGGCCTACGACACGGTTCGGGACACCTGGACCCGCCACGGCGCCCTGCCCCGGCTCTGGCTCTACCACGGGGCCTCCACCGTCTTCCTGGATGTCTCCAAGTGGACCCAGCCCTCCGGCCCCACCCAGGAGCACTAAACCAGGGCCAGGGTCCCCGGGGAGGAGTCCCCACAGCGGCCCCTCATCAGCCTGTGGAACGGCCCCTTTCATTTTCGCTTATTTGTTCACTCGGAGCTACCATTCCTTCCAAGCTGCGCTCAGGCCACCAGGGGTGATCAGACGGCATGGCTTGGAGGACACAGCCTTGGTCTCTGTGGCCACCACACTAAACTCTGAGCTGAGCAGTGACAAGGGCCTGAGTGCCAGACGCTGGCATAACAGGGACAGGAAGCTCTGCTGCCCCTGGGGTTCCCGAGACCTCAGAGAGGGGAGCCGGGGGCCGGGCCAGCATTCCCAGAGCTTGCGAGCCCCACTCCTGCCCCTGGACCCCAGCAGGGGCTTTTGGAGCAGTTGCATGAATGTGGGGTGAACACGGAGCGTCCCAGAAAGCTGAGGCTGCTGGGGAAGGCAGGCCCCGGAGATGGGATCAGCACCAGGTCCTCGTGGGCCTGCTTCTGCCCAGCTCACGGCAGCGTAACTGTGGCCAGCCACCTCCCCTCTCTGGGCTTCAAGCTCCGCGTCCACCACACACGGGGCTGGCTGTGTGGGCTTTGGGTCCCCACTCAGGCTTTGCATGTTGGTGCTGTGTTTCTGCTTCTGTGGACAAAGGAGGCCCCCACCCATCTCTTGCACCCAGAGGGCGGTGCCCACAGAGGCACCAGGAAGGAGGGAGGCAGGGCGTGGGGCGGGGCTGGAGGGTCCCAGGGAGGTGAGCAGTTTTGCTCTCAGAAGGGATTGCCTCCGTCTCTGTGTGTCAGAACAAAGGCTCTTCATTAGAATGGAATTTCCCACCAGGGGACGACTCTTGGGTGCATTGGTGGCAGCCTCCTGAGGGTGAGGGGTAGCATCCGATGGGCCCCTGCCAGCATGCAGCCCGACTCCGGCTGGCTCAGGCTCCGAGTGGCTTCTCCCTCATCCTGAATGAGGCACCCACCTTTGCAGCTAAGGAGACAATGAAGGACTCTCCCTGGGTGCCCAATGGCGTGTCCCTCCTGTCACAGGCTCCGCCCTGGGACATGGGGCTAGAAGTCAGGAGTCGGGCCCGGCCAGGCACAGGCCCTGGTGTTGCCCCAGAGGCCCTGGGCAGCTCCGGTCTCCCGCCGGATCCAGGCTTCCTCTCCAGGACCAGCCCCTGGGTTCCTCCTTAACACCCCCCGCCCCTGGGGACCAGAGGGGCCTCTGACATCCTTGGGTTCTGAGGACGGAAACCCCTGAGCCTCTTGAGCTTCTGTAGGTAGGGATCTGCTTTGCTCCCAGACCTGCCTCTCATAGCTTTTTTTTTTTTTTTTTTTTTTTTTTGAGACGGAGTCTCGCTCTTGTCGTCCAGGCTGGAGTGCAATGCTGAGATCTTGGCTCACTGCAACCTCCACCTCCCGGGTTCAAGAGATTCTCCTGCCTTAGCCTCTCAAGTAGCTGGGATTACAGGCACTCGCCACCACGCCTGACTAATTTTTGTATTTTTAGTAGAAACAGGGTTTCACCATGTTGACCAGGCTGGTCTTGAACTCCTGACCTCAGGTGATCCGCCCGCCTCAGCCTCCCAAAGTGCTGGGATTACAAGGTGTGGGAGAAGTGAGTTGACCCTGGAGGGCCAGACAGAGTGGGGCCTCTGGGTGCTACCAAAGGAACAAGAGCCCAGAGCTGAGGAGACCTTCGGTGGCAGATGGATTGGATGAAGCAAGGGTGAGGGTTTCTGGGGCCCTGGGCTCTGTTTCCATGTGGAAATCTGAAATGTTTTCTAGACAGTGATGGAAGGAGGTCAGCCAAAGGGCTGTTTAAAAACAAAGCCTCCATGTAAACCATTTCTGCAAGAATATTTTAAAATAAATAAAAATAAAACTGAAGACATGAAATGTCAAAATAGGCTGGCTTTGATCACAAAGTAGCCAAAAGGGCGGCGTGCCAGAGCAACGCCTGCTGTCCACCCTTGCACACCCTATGGGAATATGGGCGGTCCTCGGGTGGAAGGAGTGGGCCTCTCCAGGGCCTGGCTCCCAGCTTTGAGGTGCCAAAGTGCACCTCGTCCGATCAGCTGGGCTCCTGATTCAGGGGGCCATCGCAGCCTTCAGGGCACCAGGAGGAAAGGGGCGTCTGCTGGGTATTGAGGTGAGTGGCTAAGGAGAGTTTCACGACGGCCTCTCCCCATGCTGTGGGCAGGGTGAAGGGAGCCCAGTGGCTGGAGAGGCATCCCAGGACAGCAGCAGTGGGAGTGCCACCCCCCCCACCCCGTCTTGGGAGAAGGGAAAGGGCAGACGCAGACTCCAGGGAGCTGCTGAGAGAGGGCCTTGGCGGGGGAACGCAGCCACCACCCCTGTTGTCCAGCTGGGAGGAGGTGGCAGAGTCCATCTGCCCTCTCTCTCTGGCCTGCCCCCTGTCTCCCACTAGCGCCTCCTACAGGCCAAGCCCAACCAGAACCCAGAGGGAAGAGAGGCCATTGACAGGCTGTAGTGGCCACCTGGGGACACAGAACAGGTGGAGAAGGTGGCCAGGGCACCAGGACGGCGGCCAGAAGGTCCGGCACACGTCACCCACTTGAGAGCTTTGCACGAAGGGACATTAATGCACTCACTCACCAAGCGACAGCCATAGGGCAGCCAAGGTATCCCCTTCCATCATCAAAATCCAGGACAGCAAGGACTCATTAGAAGGCTTGAGGCTAATATGGGCTTCTAGAAAGGGGAGCGCGTAGCCTTGGAACATGTGCAAATGCCCACAGGGGTGTGCGGGCGAAACCCACCTCCAGGCCCCATGTGCTCATGTCCTCCAGGTAGGTGCGTGTTGTCTTTCCCATAGAGGATGCTGGGTAAACTGAGGCCCCTCAGCCTTCAGTGAGCACACAGGGCCCTCAGCCAGGCCCAGCACTGCCAACTGTATCTCAGCTCCCCCGGGTCCCCAAGTAAGCTGGGGCCTAGGCATGCTTCCAGCCACTTCCACCGGACTTGAGTTTTCCAACACCTCACAGACAGGCCCCTTTTATTATCTGGCATCTTCTCTATTCAGGCAGGGACAGTGGTTGCTGGGATCAGGCCATTGACACCCTCATGTGACTGTAATTAAATGGACTGGTCACCTGACAGTTTTCCATAGTCAGTATAGACCATGACATAGCTTGGAGATCTGTCCCCTCCGAATCTCATGTTGAGTCTGTTGAGTCTGATCGCTGGTGTTGGAGTTGGGCCTGGTGGGAGGCGTTTAGATCATGGGGGCGGATCCCTCAGGCATGGCATGGTGCAGTAACGCTGGTGCGTTCACGGAGAGCTGATCGTTAAAGAGCCTGACACCTCCCCTGCTCTCCCTTGCTCCCTCACTGTGTGACACACCTGCTCCCCTTCCCCTGCCACCGTGAGTGGAAGCTTCCTGAGGCCTCACCAGAAGCAGATGCTGGCACTATGCTTCCTGTACATCCTGCAGAACTGTGAGCCAAATAAACCTCTTTTCTTTGTAAATTACCCAGCCTCACATTTTCCTTTATAGCAAGAAAACAGAAGGATACAGGCCACTACTCCAGTTGGTTGGGCCATCAGTTGATCCAGCTGAAAGCATGTGTATGGATGGAGAATGTGCCAATGGCTTAAGGAGAGAGGGCACAGCCACGTACACAGGAAAGATGCTGCACCTCCGGGGCCGTGTCATTCACCGTCCCTCCCCAGTGCCCGGCGTGGTATCAGCTGATCGGTCTGAAGTGTGGCTGCTTCTCCCGGACTCTGCAGCACCAGGTACGTGGCAGGGCAGCCAGGTGTGTGGCTGTCACTGAGACTGAGGTAGACTAGGACAGGAATCTCCATGGGGGAAGTATCCTGTTTGGAACAAACCCCAGGAGACATCATGACTCCCTCAGAAGCCAAGACGATTTTGATCACAGTCACATTTAAGAATGTGATTCTTTCCAAAATGGCATTGCATTCAACTGAGAGGAGAGCTAAAGATGATTATTTTAATTAATCTATTAAAAACATGTAGACAATTAGCAGAAAACTCAAGAGACCCTCTGGGCAGGAGTGAGAAAGAATTGTCTCCCGAGAGACCCGAGACTGCCCACACACCCATGCAGGAGGCCACAATGTATTCCGAGTGCTCGGCCTGGTGCCGGCACGTCATGGGAACTGCACAACTGCACAAATGCTCACTGAACTGAACTAAATCTGTAGGTTCTCCAGAGCAACTGACCTCAAGTTGTAGGGGCCAGACCTGGATGTGGTTTCATTTATTGGCTCTGTGACCTTGGGCCAATCCCAAGATCTGAGCCTCAGTTTCCTCATCTGTGCAATGGGGATAATCACACGATTTGCAAATTAGATGACGTCGTGGGCTTGCAAGGCCCAGTAAACAGCGAAGGCTACCCGCCTGGGCCTCTGGAGGCCACACAACAAGCTGACTTCACGGTCCCACTGTTTTCAGGGCAGAGGGAGGTTTTATTCCCATGACTTCATCGGCAAAGGTCCTTCCTCTGGAGGAAGAGAGAAGAGTGGGAACAGCTTGGCTGCATCAGGCTGCTGGGAAGCCAGGCCCGGGCCGTGACATGAGGGCCCAAGAATGAGGATTAGATTTCAGCCAGGCGTGAAGGCGCATGGGGGAGGCCACTTCCTGCTCCAGTGATCCCCGTTCTGTGGCCATTCATTTAGTTCTTCCATCCTGGGATGTCCTGGCTCACCCCGATGCCAGCCCCACTTCTGACCCATGGGCTGCTCCTGCAGGGGGAGGCCCCCATTTCTGCTGCTCCTTGATCTGCGCAATTCTTTGCTAAGCTCCACCTTCCTCTGAGTGAAAGCCACTTTGAAATGTGAACGCAGACACATGCAGGGGCCCCACCTGAAGACCCCCGGCCTCTCTGCTCTCTGTCCCCAACCCAGGCGGAGTCATCCTCTCAGGATAGTGTTACAGGAGGCTGCCCCAGCACCAGAACCGATTGGATTTGGGCCTCTGGCAGGGCCCATGACATCATGAGGATTGTTCATTGTTTGGGAAAATAACTTTTTCACATGGCAACGGCTCCTGTCCTCAATGCTGGCCTGAAAGCTGGGGCCCCCCACTGCGAAGTGGAATGACATCACACTAGTATCTTAAGGGTAATGTTCCCCAAATCAGGGCACCTCATCCCTGCGTATCCTCAGTGTTGCCGACGGTGGCAGAGCCTGAGCATCACCTTCCCAGGGCTCGGGTGGGGCCAAACAGCATCCACCTTGAGCCATAGCTGCAGCCAGGGCCCCAGAGGGAATTCAGACCTGTGGGATGCCCATTCCTCACAGGGAAAAGATGGGGCTATGTTTTCTGCAGTAATGCTCCAACTCATCACGCACCTCTTATTTCACACCAACTAGAATAGGAGGAACCCTAACAAGCCAAACATAAGGCCGTGAAGATGTAACCTGTCCAGTGGGCAGGAGGGCCTCTGCAGCCCCACGCCGGCTCTGCCCATGGGCTGCGTCCTGGGCAAGCCGCCCACCTCTCTGGGCTAATTGGTGGGGAATCAAATGAGGTGCTGGTGTGGATGAGCTTCTCCAGAAGCAAGAAGGTGCCATTCACACAGCTGCAACTCCTGGGGACAGGAGCCCCTCTCTACCAGCAGAGTACAGGAGAACATGGCACGCCAGGGTCCTGTGGTCCACAGATACAGTCCCTCTGAATAAGTGAAACCGAATGAAATGTTAACACATTACACCGAATGTGCATGTCACATTCAGACATGTCATGACAAAGTTCCACACATCAGGCTTCTTAACAGACATTCCAATAGAACCAGACATGAAAACCCACCAGAGAAACCCTTCACTCTCTGAGGGCCTTAAGACATCTCCCTCATATGCGTGATTTTGGGAGCAAATGTCCTTAATTGTGACAAACCTGCAGAATGTTTGCAGGTGAAATAAGTTCAGATATCTTGCTGGGCACATATGACCTAAGCCAGTGTTTCTCATATTTCTCAAATGTGTCTTAAAGACTTGCATGTTTTATAGGAATTCAAATGTTTTCATTGTATTGGTCTTTTTAAAAAAAAAAATCATTTGTGGCTTTTTGTTGAGACGGAGTCTCGCTCTGTCACCCAGGCTGGAGTGCAGTGGTGTGATCTCGGCTCACTGCAACCTGCATCTCCCAGGTTCAAGCAATTCTCCTGCCTCAGCCTCCTGAGTAGCTGGGATGACAGGCGCTCGCCACCACACCCGGCTAATTTTTGTAGTTTTAGTAGAGACGGGATTTCACCATGTTGGTCAGGCTGGTCTCGAACTCCTGACCTCAGGTGATCCACCTGCCTCGGCCTCCCAAAGTGCTGGGATTACAGGCGTGAGCCACCGTGTCTGGCCCATTTGTGGCTTTTAAAGGCAGGACTTCCCTCTTGTGTCCTCACCTGCCATTGAAAGACATCTTCACAGAGTAAGTCCATGGGACTTACCCCTGCCGGGCAGATTCTCATGCTGGGCAGGGTATGTTTTTCTTTAAACGTCCTCCCCACCCAACTCTACACCATTCCCATATCCTATGGGAAAAGGGGTGGAATCACAGGGAATAATTACCTTCTGATCCCATGCTTTTCCTAAAGTATGAAGTATTTCCTGGTTTCCCCACCTGCCAGGCATGAGGCCAGCCAGGTGGAACATCGCATGAGTGGCCAGAAAAGGCAGGCGACAAAGGCCAGCTTGCATCTGAGGACGGAACTTGGCCCATCCCCAAGCCTGGGGGGCACCACCTGCGGCTGCTGGTGCCCCTTTCAGTCCCTGCTGCCACATCCTGTGAACCAGGACAGGGTAAGGCCTCCTTTCCCCAGCGGGCTCTTCTCAAAAGAGTTCCCCGGGAACAGCAGCCCTCGGTGTGAGTGTAAGGTACTTTTCCAGCGGAGCCTTCTCCCGTTCTTTAACAAAAAGCACTGTGTACCCACCAGGGGCAGGTGCCTCGGGGGTGGGGCAAGCGAGCCAAGTGTGCGACCCTCCTCGGCTTAGCGTCCAGTGGTGGGGCAGATAGTCAAAAGGGCATGCGATATAACAAAGCCAGGGGTAGGGTGGGGCTGGGGCTGGCTCTTTCCTGGTAGGGCCGCCCAGAGGCCTCTCTGCCACCTTCTCCGAGGCCTGCAGGGTCTGGTCCACCTCTGGGGGCACTGATTCCGGTGGGCGGTGGGCAGCCTGGCTTCCGGTCTGGTCTGCCCCCACACCCCCGCTAGGGCACGATAGGGGTCAGTTCTCCCAGCCCAGGCCCCGCTCAGCCCCACCAGGGCAGGGCGGCTGTCCTGAGTTGTTTCTTGGCTCCCTGCGTCTTCTGGGTCCCGGCAGGTGCGACAGGTGGGGAAGAACAGTGAATCCCTGCGCTCAGAGCACGCCAGCCATGGACGGAGGGCGGCCTGGAAAGGGGAGTTCCCGCCTGGGAAAGGGGCGCTGAGAAGGGGCCCTGAGGGTCTCCCGGCTCAGATTTGCTCCACCTGTGTCATAGAGGCCTGGGCCTTGCGGGGCGCAGCCAGGAGAATGGGGAGGGGGTACCTCGGGGGTCCCTGCAGAGGACGTGGGGGACAGAGCGGGGAGAAAGGATGCCTCGAGCCGTCTGGGAGGAGGCAGCGCCTGGCTCCCCGCAAAGAAAATGGGGTCGCGAGGGCCGAGGGTCCAGGGCTGGGAGAAGGGGCGCCTCGCTCCCCAGGAAGCAGAAGCGCTGGACAGCGCGAAGGAGGGATCCCAGAACCAGGAGTTGCAGGGGGGACGCGCCCAGCAGGGGAACACCCCTCGCTCTCCCTGCCCTGCCCCGCTCCCCGTGCCCCCTCCCCCACTCCCCCTCCCCCGCCCGGACACTCCCCCCATCCCCATGCAGCGCGCACGGGAGCCGGGAGGGGGCGCGGGCGGGCGCGCGGTCTCGGGCGAGGCGGGGGATTCAAGCGCGTTATAAGGCGAGGAGCCCGGGGCGTCCGAGACGCCGCGCTCGGAGCCGCGAGGGAACCGCCGCCCGCATGGCCCCGGCCCGCCGCCCCGCCGGAGCCCGCCTGCTGCTCGTCTACGCGGGCCTGCTGGCCGCCGCCGCCGCGGGCCTGGGGTCCCCGGAGCCTGGGGCGCCCTCGAGGAGCCGCGCCCGCAGGGAGCCGCCGCCCGGGAACGAGCTGCCCCGGGGCCCCGGGGAGAGCCGCGCGGGGCCGGCCGCTCGTCCGCCGGTAAGACGCCCGGGCCCGCTCCAGACCCAGCCCGCGCCCGCACGCCCCGGCTCGGGGCGGCGGGAGGCGGACGTGGAGGCCGAGCCCGCCCTCACCCCCGAGGGCTGCTGCATCGCCTGGCACCGGGGCTCCGGGGCTCCGCAGAGACTCAGGGCCGTGTAGACGCCGCCCTCAGCCCGGCGGGGCAGCCTTGACTTTGGCTTTGGGGTAGTTTGACTTAAAGCAAGGTTCTACTAGGTCGGCGAAACCCCCCTTTTCTTTTGGGACAGAAGGAAGTTGGGAAATAGATAAAGTGTAAATAACTTGATTTGAGGAAATTGGGAAGAACGCATTTGTAAAAAGTGTAAGCGAATTACTGCCACCGCCCCCAATCTATTTGGTGCAATTATCTGGAAAACAAAAAGTGTTTTCCTGCGGATCTGGGGTCGGGGGGCTGTGCAGGGTGGGGAATGACATGTGGCTTTGAGTCAAGTGATCAGGTGGCTTTTGGCCGTGAGTGGGTGATCTTGAGCTCTGCCCTGCCCCCTCCTCTCCAGGGTTTTGGAGCCTGGACTGCTGAGCAGAGGGTGGTCCGGTTGGGGAGGTGTGGCCCAGGCCTGAGGAGGGGAGAACTTCAGAGGAGCCCTCAGTGTGGCCGGGCCTTGGGTCAGGGAGACAGGGCTGCCCCAGGGAAGCCGGGGTGGGCGGCCGGTGCTGTTTATTCTGAAGATGCTCAGGGGCAGTAGAGGGGAGAGCCAGGAACGCATCTACTAGAGAGGACAGGGGTGCAGCCAGGCCTGGGGTCCCCCAGAGTTCTCTATCCCGGCCCCATCACACCCAGCCACTTCCCAGGGACTGAAGGCACCCCCTCCCCGTGCAGTTGGCCAAACCACCCAGGTGGGCACAGCAGCCAAATGTCAGGGCACTGTCAGCAGGAGGCAGACGGGGCTCAGGGGCTTCCAGGTGGAGTTTTGGCCTTGGACCCTGTTTGTGGGGGACACAGTGACACCAGAGGTCCTCCCAGGCTCCAAGGCTTGTTTCTGAGAGACCCCTTGTGGCTGGAACCAGGGCAGCTGCCCAATACCCACCCCCATTGCTGGGGCCGTCTCCTGGGACGCCACCTTCTGCCTGTTACAGCTCTACCTGCAAACCACACTGGGGTCAGGGTCCGGCCACAGGCCACAGGTGCAGCTGGGAGGGTCAGCTGGGCACACCCCTCCTGGCCGGTGTGCGGCATCCTCGCCCCATGTTTCCACGGAGGGCACACAGGAAGTGGAAGAGGGTCCTGGGAGGGGGTAGAGGGGAGATCAGCCAGCAGGTGGTGCAGTTGACCCTCTAAGGCACAAGGAAGCACTGAGCAGCGCTGAGGGCCCTGGGCCCCTGAACCCTTTCTCCGCCCAACCACAGGCTCCTCGGCACCGCAGCCCCCATCTTCCCACCACAACACCCTGGCCTGCGCATTGGTCAGCCAGCTCCCAAAAGAAGGCCCTGCATCCCCCCAGATCAGCCAGGAACCAAAGGCAGTGACTTGGCAGCCGGCTTTGTCTCTGATAAAAGGGCCCAGTCAGCTCTAAAATCCCAGGGTCCTTCCGTCAGCCCCCAGCGTCAGCACCCATGACCTCATCTAAGCCCTCTTGGGCCGGTTTCCTTCCCAGCTGGCAGCCTTGCCTGGAGCCCAGATAGCCCAAGGCCTCTCCCAGGAAGGTCCCTCCCAAAACTGTGCTCAGTGTCAGCATCAGTCAGGATGCAGCGCGGACAGGAATGGGAACTTCCGGAAGCATCACTGTCCATGTGTCAGTGTCTCAGAAGTGCTGAGGAAATGAAAGTCTCACACAGAGGCCTCGCGTCATGACAGCTCGCCTGGTCCTCTCCCCCACTGGACTGTAACCCGAGGCAGCTGTGAGAGCTGAATTTGCCTCCTTAGAACTTCTGACACTGGGGGAGGATGGACAGAGGAGGGTTGGCTAGTAGTTGGGCTCCCTGATAATCACAGTTGCTTCTTCCTGAGCACCTATGGGTGCTCCAGTGGTCGGATCCTCCTGGTGACTGGAGGACGGTGTGATCACTGCAGCTCCTCTGGAGGAAGGAGGCCCAGCAGTACGGGGATTCACCCCGATATCCAAGCCCTGCACCCCATTTTCCCTCCAGGCATCTTGGGTCTGCCTCTCCCATGAGTGCCAAGTCCAGGCCGAGGTGTGGCCCGTTCCCTAGGAGTCATCCTCCACGGGCCGGGGGAGAAGCTGTGAGGGGTTGGGGCCCCTTTGGGAGCTGCCTTTGAGGGCACCACAGGTGACAAGGACCAGGGTCCCAGAGTACAGAAGGCCACACAGTCACCTCCTGCAAAGTGTCCCACCTGCTTGGTAGGAGCCCAGTGAGGCCAACCGCCCTGCTGGGCTGGCTGTGTTCCAGGAGCCCACCGCTGAGCGTGCACACAGCGTCGACCCCCGGGACGCCTGGATGCTCTTCGTCAGGCAGAGTGACAAGGGTGTCAATGGCAAGAAGAGGAGCAGGGGCAAGGCCAAGAAGCTGAAGGTGAGGCCGGCATCCCGTCAGTGCCAGGCCGTGGGGGGTTCCGCCTCCTCGCTCCTCATCCACTCCCACTCCTACATCCTGAACATTTCCAATAGCACACCCCTCACGCCTCGGCCTGGGGACAGAGAACAGAGAGAACCCAGGCAGCCCCAGGGGGAGCCCCGAGTTAGGGGCCTGGTCCCAACCATTTCCCCACACCCCTAAAATGCCAGGCTCTCCCTCTTTTCTCCTCCCTCTGCATCCAGGCCAGGGAGGCTGGGCTAGCCCAGGCTGTGGTGAGAACCTTGTCCACACTGGAGGGGCCTGCAGGAGTGCCTGGCTCCCAGGGACTAGGGGCACAGGGTCCCTCTCACCCTCACTCAGCCTTAGGTCTTGGCCTGGGCAGAAACTTGGTGCTTGGTCCTGGTGCTGCCTCCTGCTTGGAGCCCCCAAAATGGAAAATACGGGGTGTGGGCTTCTCTGTCCCCTGGGGGCCAGTATCACCTGCCTGGGATCTGAACACACGATGGAAGGCCAGCTCGGAGTGCATGAGGCAGGTGCACAGGCCGCGCTGTCCTCGTGGCCTGGCCTTCTACCTCTGCCCAGCCTCCTGGCCCTGCCCTAAGCTTCTCCCCACAGGGGGCTCACTGGCTTCTGGTTCGGGTCCCAACCCAGCCTAGTGGGGACCTGCTGATGGTGGACTCGGGCCCAGTGCAGACCCTGAGATGCAAGTCCCCAAAAGCAGCCTAGAGTCTTCTTCCCTCCACGAGGCCTGGCCGCAGGAGCGGGCTTCAGCCCTCTGCCTCCCCACTCAGAGCAGAGTCCTTCCCTGCCAAAGCCCCGCCCCGAGGGCCCCCACCTCCAGCACAGTCCTTGTACTCACTCCAGGAGAAGCTTTCACTGAGGTAGATCCTTGGCTGGAGGTTGGAGCCCACTGGGGAGCTCTGTTGCCTGCCTCTTAGTGGCAAGAGCTTGCACAGGGGATGCTGTGGCTCCCAGCCTGCTCCTCACATGTCCTCACTGCCAAGGTTCCCTTTCAGTTCGGCTTGCCAGGGCCCCCTGGGCCTCCCGGTCCCCAGGGCCCCCCAGGCCCCATCATCCCACCCGAGGCGCTGCTGAAGGAGTTCCAGCTGCTGCTGAAAGGTAGGGGTGTGCACCGGCTGGGACACACACACCCCGCTGTGAGCAGGGCCTGGGAGGGTGTCCCGAGGAGCTGACAGGGCCAACCTCAACACTTCGGCGGGCACCCAAGGAGGCACCTGCTCTGGGCTGGACTCAAGGACAGTAGAGCTGGCCAGGTCCAGTCTCTGCCCCATCTTGGCCCATGTCTGCCAAGGGTCAGGGCTGGGGATGGCTGGGGGTTGGGAACCATGGCCAGGAGAAGGCTTCACAGAGGAAGGTGGACCTGGCCACTCAGTATGGCGGGTGCTCAGGGACCAGCGCCTATGCCCTGCCTGGAAGTCAGGAGAGCCCAGCGAAAGGCAGAGGCTAGTGTATGGGGCAGCACCAGGTGGAGCTCAGCCTGGCACCCACAGTCACCACTGGCCAGGGCTGGGGCAGCCTGCCCTGGAGGAGGCAGGGCTGAGTGGAGCCGCGGAGTCCACACTGAGGCCTCCTGCAGAGCGGCGGCTCACATTAGTCATTAGAATTGAGCCGTTTTTTCCTTTTAGTTCAATGTCCTGTTCGTTTAAATATAGCACCTTCTGCGCTGAAGAACCTCCTTGTACTTCCAGTAAAGCTGCAATCGCTTATTTTACCCCCAGCGTCTTTGGAAAATGTGGGTGGGGTAGAGGTGAGGCTGGAGGCCAAGGGCGCTGGGGCACTTCTGCCCGAGCTTCCCAAATCTTGAGGGAAACGGGAGCCGCTGCAGGGTCAGGACGCAAAGACTCCGAGGCCCTTCAGGCCGAGGGGACGTCGCCCTCGCCCCACCCCTGCGCCCGGCAGGCCCCTGGTCTCGCTAGCACCTGTCGTTCAGGGCTGGACCCACGCGGCGGGCGGGTGAGGGGTCCCTGGCGCGCGGCCACCGCTCGCTCTGTGCCAGGTGCGGTGCGGCAGCGGGAGCGCGCGGAGCCCGAACCCTGTACGTGTGGCCCCGCCGGGCCGGTCGCTGCGAGCCTCGCCCCGGTCTCGGCCACCGCCGGGGAGGACGACGACGACGTGGTGGGGGACGTGCTGGCACTGCTGGCCGCGCCCCTGGCCCCGGGGCCGCGGGCGCCGCGCGTGGAGGCCGCTTTCCTCTGCCGCCTGCGCCGGGACGCGTTGGTGGAGCGGCGCGCGCTGCACGAGCTTGGCGTCTACTACCTGGTGAGTGCCGGCGCGCGGGAGGGCGGGTGAGTCCGGCCGGGCGGGAGCCGGGGTGACCATCCGTGCCCCTCGCAGCCCGACGCCGAGGGTGCCTTCCGCCGCGGCCCGGGCCTGAACTTGACCAGCGGCCAGTACAGGGCGCCCGTGGCTGGCTTCTACGCTCTCGCCGCCACGCTGCACGTGGGTGAGGCCCGGGGCGTGGGAGGATCGCCCGCTCTGTCGCCCACCCCGCCGCCCGCCCGCTTGACCACGTCCCACCCTCCCCCGCAGCGCTCGGGGAGCCGCCGAGGAGGGGGCCGCCGCGCCCCCGGGACCACCTGCGCCTGCTCATCTGCATCCAGTCCCGGTGCCAGCGCAACGCGTGAGTGTACCCCGGCCCGGACCCCACACCCGCATTCGCTCGGCCTCCACAAGCTGGAGGTGGTTAAACAGGCACTGGACGGGGCTTCCGCCCGTTCACACCCCACCGTGGCCTAGGTGACCCCACACCTTCTTCCAGGTCTCCCGGTCTACTTCTGCCCCTATCAGGCCTTCCCTTCACAGCAACTGGGAGCTGTTAAAAATGACCTTTCCAGCTGGGCGCGGTGGCTCACGCCTGTAATCGCAGCACTTTGGGAGGCCGAGGCGGGCGGATCACGAGGTCAGGAGATCGAGACCATCCTGGCTAACATGGTGAAACCCCGTCTCTACTAAAAATACAAAAAATTACCCGGGCGTGGTGGGTGCCTGTAATCCCAGCTACTTGGGAGGCTGAGGCAGGAGAATGGCGTGAACCCGGGAGGCGGAGCTTGCAGTGAGCAGAGATAGCGCCACTGCACTCCAGCCTGGGCAACAGAGCGAGACTCCGTCTCAAAAAAACAAACAACAACAACAAAAAAAAACCTTTCCAGGCCACTCCCTGCCCAGACCTTCACCTCCTCCCCAGGTCCTAGGAGGCCGGGCTCCTCCTAGCCTCCCAACTCCTTCCCACCTCAGGGACTTTCATCTTGGGGCTCGAAGCACCAGTGTTACTTCAAGAGGCCTCTCCAGACAGCTTTCTGGAGGCCCCCTCCTCAGTCGCCCTCCCACTCCTCACCCGGGAACTTTCTTCCCCATGATCGCATCCCTTGCTCCTGCACCATCTGGCCCACGAGTGCAGTGACTGTGAGCTCCCTGTCTCCCCACACCCAGAAGGGAGCCCAGGTACAGCGGAGATACCCTGCGGGTAGGATAGCTGGAGCAGACTTGAATGAATGGATCAAGTCCAAAACTTCTTAGTCTGCCTTTGAACCCCCAGAGTGTGTTGGCCTGAACTAACTTAGCATCACCTGCCACCACATCCCCACTTCCGGCTGCATCAGCCAGTGTCCTGTTTCCCATCAGAGCCAGGGCTTTGCTGCCTCTTGCTGGGCCCTCGCCTTGCCTTTCCCAATACAGCAAGCATGCCTCTGGCCCTGTGTCCTTCCTCCTCTTGGGGACTCGGTTCAGACACCACCTCCACTGGAAGACCTGGCCAGGGTCAGGCACTTTGCTGGGCATGTGTTGGCTGCTGGCAGGATTGTGTGTCGTAGGTGAAGTTGGTGGGGTCTCATGGGGCAGGCTGACCCTCCCTCTGTTTTGGGTACAGCTCCCTGGAGGCCATCATGGGCCTGGAGAGCAGCAGTGAGCTCTTCACCATCTCTGTGAATGGCGTCCTGTACCTGCAGGTGAGTGCGGCAGGCTTGGGCATCGAGGGGCACCGCCTGGGCATGGCCACGGGTGGCTGGGTGCAGAAGGGTGCTGTTAGATGCTCAGGATCACTGGGTCGGGTGCAGCACCCTCAGACTCCAGGCCTGGGAGAGGGTCCAGGACATGCCAAGTTCTCACTTTGGTCTGGGCGCAGCCAGGCTTCAAGTCCTGATCTCCTTCCTCCAAACACAGCCCTTCCCCGAGGGCACCTGCCCGCTTGAGCAGCTGCTCCGCTCTGCATTCCCAATATTCAGACTCCCTGAGCACCTCATCCTGAGGCCCAGTACTCCTGGCCACCACAAGCCCGCTGAAGGGACTGGTGCAGGGAGGGAATGGAGGCCAGCACTCTGCCCAGGCTGACGCCCTGAGTCCCCTGTGACTATGGGAAGCCAGATACGTTATTTTCCTACCCAAAACCCTAAGTGACCATCTCTGGCACTGTGGGAATTTTGGCAAGTGGTAGAGAAATGGACATAAAGGTGGAATTTACTAACAAAGAAAACAATTGAGTGCAGGTGTGTGGAATAACAGCTGCTATTGAATTCTCCCAGAGCTTTGGAGAAGGTAGAGCTACTCCCCGAGTTAGCCCAAGTTCACACAGCAGAGCCAGAAATGGAGGCCAGGCTGTCTGGCCCAGAGTCTGTGCTTGCTGAAAGGCATTTAGAGGTCCCTTCTGGGTGCCACACAGCATGCTTGGTGAACTCAGATGGTCTCTGCCCCACCTGGATCTTAAGATGCAGATCCTGAGGCAGGTCTGGGTGGATCCCAGATTCTGCATTTCTGGGAGTTCCCAGGGAATGTGACACTGCTGGTGCATGACCACGCTGCTGGTGCATGACCACGTTTGGAGCAGCCAGGCTAGAGTGCTGGTTTCACGGAAGGCTCTGCCAAATGACTGCCTGTGGGGAAGGGCCACCCTCCCACCTGACTTGGAGCCCTTGCAGGCTCTGAGAAGCCCTGCAGCTGAGAAACCTGTTGGACTCTTGAATCCCACTCTGGCCTTGAGCAGGGGCCCACTCCCACACACGCGAACTGTAGGGCGCTGCAGGGAAAGCAGAAGAGGTGCTGGGTGGGGCCCAACCCGTGCGGGCCCTTGCTCTGTGACCTTGGCGGCCACATTCTTCTCTGGGCCTGAGCCCTTCCCAAAAGCGGGGCTGAGTGGGCAGGAGGGAGTGTGGCTGGCTGGCCCTTGGGTCACCTCTGCAGGCTGTTGGGGTGGCCCAGTGCCTCAAAGGCACCCTCCTTGCAGATGGGGCAGTGGACCTCCGTGTTCTTGGACAACGCCAGCGGCTGCTCCCTCACAGTGCGCAGTGGCTCCCACTTCAGTGCTGTCCTCCTGGGCGTGTGAGCGGCCACCACAGGCCCTTCCTCTCAGGGGCAAATGGAGCACAGATCTAGACAATGTGTGGACAGTGTCAGAGTAGCAGTGGCCACATGGAGGAGGAGGCCCACCCGGAACTCTGCCCACACTGGCCACTGCAGTTCAGCCCACAGAGCCACTGCAGGCAGGCCTACGGACGTGACACGCACGCTGGTGGTCCCGGAGCCAGGGTTGATTCAGGACACCATCTTGGGCTCTTATCCAGGAAAGAAAGAGTCGGCGTGCCTGGGGGCACCTGCTAGTCTCCAGCTGCAGGCCGACTCTTTCCTGGCCTGCTCAGCACCTGCCCAGATGGCCTCTGCGTCTTTCCTGTGCCCAGCCCCACCTTTTCCACCTCTCTTCATGTTCTCATGGAGTGCAAAGTGCACCAGCCAGGGCCCCTACCTGGGAGAGGGTCAGCTGACGCAGGGCTGAGGGGGCTGCCACAGGGACGTACGCTGTGTGTTCTTACTGCTTAGAAGGGACGGGGTCACTCACCACTCCCCTGGTCTCCATCTGGGCTCCTTGGTCTTCCCTGCCCCTCCCCTAACCGTGTTCTACCTGCCAGTGGAGCTGAGCACTGCCTAGCCTGGGCCAGAGGGGCACTGGACAAGGGCCTTTGGGGGACAGTAAGTCTGGGCCCAGCTTCTAGTTCTAATGTGTGCAAGATTAACTCACAAATTCACCTCAGAAGGCCTTTCCAAATGGGAGCTCCACTCTTCCCCTCCTCTGCAAATCTTCACAGCCAAGGCCCCTTCCACCCTCTCCAGAGGTGGATGAGATCCCTTTTCCCCTCCCCTCTGAGGTGCTGACTCACTGGTAGGAGCCACCCACCAGAGGAAAGATCTAGAACGTCTTTACAGATTGGAGACAGCCGGGCCTGCTGACCCATCATCCGAATAGCTGAAGCAGAGTCTTCCACCAGGGGTGCCAGGGCCTGGCTGGGTCCAGCGGCTCTGGGATGAGCCTCCCAAGCATCTTTCCCACTTGGGTGGCCATGCGGCGCTGACATTGGACAGGTGGTGGACGAGAGATGGTCCCGAGAAAGGGTGGTCTTGGGAGGGCTGGTCCCAAGCCTGCTGTGCTCCTGTGGCAGTGATGGGGCCTGGGGATGGGGACGGCAGCTCTCATGAGGACACACAGGCTGTGAGCCCGCAGCCTCCTCAAATGTAGCCTCCCACATTTTCCCCAAAGTACAGGACTGTCCCAGAGTAGGTAGTGAAGAGGACAAGGCCCTCGGCAGCGACCTCCAGGGCCTCCTACCTGCTGAGGAAGAGTTAACCCACTGCCTCCCCACACAACAGGCTACGAAGAACCTGGTGCCTCAGGACCTCCTGGGAGCCAAGCTGGTCTGGCAAGGGCGCTCAGGCCTGGGAGAGAAGGGAGCAATGGCCAGTCACCTTCACCTTCTAACTAACTAGCCTCCGGATGAGGTGGCTGCCACCAGGCCCGAATGATCCCCAGGAGCCCAGCTTCCAAACCCCAACATCGAATCAAACATCTCCATCCCCAAGTGCAGTAACACACAAAAACCAAACACTCTGCCCTGGGAAAGGCCTGGTGCGATTCTCAGTAGGACTCACACCCACCCTACCTAGAAGTACTGGGCTGGCCTGGGTACTGCATCCGTGTGTTTTGATAAGGGGGTGATGTGGCCACGCCCTTATCTAGATTTCACTTTGTATCCACTGGGCACAGATATTCTAGAGAACTTATCTTTCACTCTTGTAAAAGCCACATATCCACATCTCTTTCATTTTTCTCAGTGTGTTATGCAGCAATTTATTAAAGTATTTATTGTCTAATAAATACTGCCAAGTGGAATATATTTATATAACTGACTTCGTGGGGTGGTTCAAGTACTTACTTAAGAACTATGTGACACAACAGTTACAAAACAAAAGGCAGACCTTAAGATCCGGAATCAATCCTTTAGCCCAGGTTCACTAAACTAAGCACAGTAAGGAGGAACCTGGAAGGTGAAGTGGAGATGGCCTCCAGCCTCTACGTGGGAGGGACTCCCTTGAAGGCTGGGAGTGAACCTTCCTGGGAAACTAGGGTCAAGCCTCTCGGGAACAGTGGGACATAGGGATGTATGAGTCACAGACATCAGTGTGCAAACACCTGGTTTGCTATAGGAAGATAGTTACCAAATGAATGGTTCTATTTCCTGATTCTGGGGTGCCAGGGCTCTTTTCTTCAATGAGGCCACACTGTACAATGTCCCAGTCCTCAAACTGAAATGGGTACTTGGCTCTTAAAACTCCCTGGGGAAGGAAGGGGCAGCACCAACACTTCGTTCAGTTCTTACTTGTGGCTTTTACACAACAGACCCCCAGGAGGCATCTAAGGTTTACATGAAGCCTTTACCACTGAGGTCCTCGCAGCATGGATACCAATTCCACTCAATCAACTGGGTGATAAAACCATGTGTGTGTGTTGGGTGGGGGCCAGGGAACATTACAAAACAGATTCTGAAAACGCAAATTTTTAGAATCTTACATCATCCTGAGCCAAACATTTACACAAAAGGATCCAAGAGCTGCTTTACTAAAAACTACTTACAGTCATAATGATGACGTTTTCTATATAAACAAGTGCTTGAAAAGTATTTTAAAGCTTATTCTTCTGAGCTTATTATTCTTCATGCACTCTTTTCATGCTTTTAACATCTTTAACAGAAGTGTCCCCCTTTGAGGTGTTATTGCAAAGATTAACCTCATTCCAGCACAGGGCCAACTCCCCACACCTACCTCACGTGGGAAGCAGAATTTCCGGGCCATGCTGAGCAGCCGGCTGCCTGCTCCAACAGGAAGGTGCACACCTACACCCAGGGAGTCCAGATGGAAGCCACTGAACCGAGTCCTCCACAGACTCCTTCCACCAGACTGCAGCTCTCACCAATGGAATGAGAATGGCTAATTCTGTACTGTTTCTGGCAGGTCTGATGCATGAGTAACCTTGTCTATGAGTCTATTTCCTGGCTAAGCCTGAGCTCATGCTATGTAACATTTTGCAACACTATTTCCATAGGGAAAACTGAAAAGAGCTAGAGGGTTCCCAAAGCCCTGGTCTGGGCCTAGCCTTGACTAACCAGTCATCCCCTGGGTCTCTTCATTGCAACATGCCACTTCCCCAACCAGGGTCATCATGACAGTGAAAGCACAGCAAAATGCCCGTGAACTACAAAACATCACACAACCAGCAGCCTGCAGGCCACTACGAGCCAGTCCAAGATGCCTATAATGGTTTTAACAAGGAAAGACAGCATATTCAAAAGCAAACACAATCTCTGAAGGGTCAAGAGGTGCTCACAGTATAATAACTCAAAAGACTAGGAAAAAAAAAGAGAAACCTTTATTTACAACCATGGGAGTCCCACAGGAGTACACAAAACACACAATGTGCACACACACAAAATGAACCTTTTAAGTCAATACCATGCGTGCTCCTGGCCGCGCGCCACCCCTCAGTGCCCTATCCGCACCACCATCACAGTGACGTTGTCGGCCGAGCCCCGCTGCACCGCCTTGTTGGCCAGCCTGTTGCAGGCTGCTTCGTAGCGGGCGTCGGCTGCGGACTTCCCTTCCCGGGTCTGGATCTTTTCATCCTACCAGATGAGAAAGGGAATGAGTGAATGGAGTGACCCCGCACCCTGTCACTTTCCTGAGACATGACTGCCAGGAAGAAGAGCTGCTCTGGTCTCCATCAGGGCTGGCAGGACAAACTGACCAGTGAGTCAGTAGGCAGAGTTCACACTGAAAAAGGGCACAAGGGCTGTCCCACAATGGGAGGAAATGGGGTCTCAGAACTTCTACTTCTCTGAAAACTAAGACACAATTGGGACAACCACCACCCCCGTGTGAGATTTCTCACCTCGAGACAGGACAAGATGAAGTTCACGGCTTCTTCTGGGGTAAAGACCTTGAAGAGCCCATCACAGGCCAACAAAATGAACCTACAACACCAGGGAGAAATATAAACGGGTTTTAGGCCCAACCAAAAAATAAAAAATAAAAAAAGGGCCTGGAGATGGAGATAAAATAAATATTTGTCCAACTATTCAAAGGCTAAGGTTTTTTTTTTCTTTTTTCTTTTTTTTTTTTTTTTGAGATGGAGTTTCACTCTTGTTGCCCAGGCTGGAGTGCAATGACGCAATCTTGGCTCACTGCAACCTCCACCTTCCCAGTTTAAGCTGTTCTCCTGCCTCAGCCTCCTGAGTAGCTGGGATTACAGGTGCCCGGCACCACGCCCGGGTAATTTTTTGTATTTTTAGTAGAGACAGGGTTTCACCACGTTGGCCAGGCTGGTCTCAAACTCCTAACCTCAGGTGATTCACCTGCCTCAGCCTCCCAAAGTGCTGGGATTACAGGCATGAGCCACAGCGCCTGGCCAGGCTAAGATTTGTTTAAACCCACTTAATTTCTGAGACAAAGGTTTAAACTACTTACAAGTATTTGTGGATAGGATGTTATACATCAAAACTGAGACTATCCTTCTCTTCGCCAATTAACAGAATTATTAATTACCTCAAACATTAGGTGCTGTACTTTCTTAGGCAAACTCCAGAAAAATCACTGAATAAAAACATGGGTGTTATGGTAAATATACAAGAATTTATAACACCATAGGCCTTACACCACTTCCAGACATAAAGCTGAGAATGAGCCCAGCCTCGGTGAAACATCCTTGGGCACACACTGCACAGCTTGGGGCTGCATCCAAGACCGAGGCCCAAGAAGGGGCAGCTGTGCGTGTTCCTGTGTTTGAAAACCACATGCTCTCCCTTTCAGAATCAAACCCCCCTAGACCGTCCCTGGAATCTTTCTGAACACCAATGGATTCAATGTGACAGTTCTAGTTTTCCTGGCATTGGGGGTGGGGAATACGCATCCCCACAGCTTTGCGGTATAAGCCACCCTCCTTTTCTCACTGTAATATCTGTGGGGTTTTTTTGTGTTTTTTTTTCTTTGTTTTTTGTTGCTGCTGCTGCTGTTGTTGTTGAGGCGGACTTTCCCTCTTGTTGCCCAGGCTGGAGAGCAATGGCATGATCTCGCTCACTGTAACCTCCGCCTCCCAGGTTCAAGTGATTCTCCTGCCTCAGCCTCCTGAGTAGCTGGGATTACAGGCGCCCACCACCACGCCTGGCTAATTTTTGTATTTTTGGTAGAGATGAGGTTTTGCCATGTTGGCCAGGCTGGCCTCAAACTCCTGACCACAGGTGATCCACCTGCCTCCGCCTCCCAAAGTGTTGGGATTACAGGCGTGAGCCACCACACCCAGCCTGTTTTCCTCGTTTAACTAGGCTTTCACTCGGCCGCTACTTGCCGAGCCTATCGTCCATGCTGAGAACACCGTGGGGCCTAGTCCTGGCAGGCTCCCACCCCTTCCAGTGTCCTGAGACTCAGACCCTCAATAACCAATCACACAGACCCATGACTACAACCCAGGAAGGCGAGCTAGGAAGCAAAGCAGAAGGTGCATCCTTCAGAACACCAGAGGCGGCGGCTGCTGGAGAGATGATGGAGGACCCCGCGGTACGTGAGAACATGACAAACACACTGAAGAAGATGTGGAGAATGGGGCAGTGGCTCAAGACAAGGCCAAGCAGGCGAGTGCCAAAGCAAGGCACGCGCTCTTCATCCGCAGCACTGGGGCGGGACTCAGAGCAGCACTCGGAGGCCCACTCGCCACAGTGCCACTAGTGTCTCTGGCCTCCCCTCATCAACTCAGTGCTGTGAATCCTGCTTCCGGGAGCTTTCCTTGACCCCTCCTGCTACTGCCTTAGTTCAGCCCTTCATCATCAGGCCAGGGCTGCTGCACCGCTGCTCACAGGCCTCCCTAGCCCCATAATGCCATCTTTAACCATCACCTGTTGAGGCCCTGCCCTCAGCCAGCACGGTGCCGTACCCTTAGGCATGGAGAACAGGAGATGAACAGGTGAACTGTCTCTTTCTCAACCGATCCTGGCTCTGTGTAAAAACCTATGATTCTCCACCAATGATCAACTAAAGTTCAAACTCTCCAGCATGGGGCTGAGGGCCGGCCCTTCAGGATCTGCCCCCAAAGTACCCTGCTATCACTTTCCCACCACTCCCTCCGTCCCTCAAGCGCCTGTCTGGCCATGCTTTCACACTGTCACATTTTAATGCCTTACTGTGTGTTCCCTCTGCCAGGAAGCCCCTTCTCCTCTCTCTGACAGGGATAACCCCTTCCCCTACTGCCAAAGACCCCAGCACACAGCACATGCCTAGGACACACTGGACTGCAGCTGCCCATCCCCATGTGTCCCCCCCTACCACTGTGGACCCCACCAGAGCAGAAACCACATTTTGTTTATCTCTGCACCCCCAGGGCCTAGCACCATGCACACCTTCCCTCCAACAAAGGCTTGATAGAAACTGGAAGTGAGGAAGAGAAATAAACCCACATGCACACACACCTGTGCCTCTTATAGGGCCTTTTACCTGTCATTGGGGGTCAGCTGGCAGCGTCTGATGTCGGGCACAGAGGTGACACCGCAGCGCTTGTACTGCCCGTCCCCAATGGAGCGTGACACCTCTAGCACGCCCAAAACACGCCCATCCCTAAAATGAGAGGAAAAACATTTCAGACTCTACCTGACAGATTATGGGTCCACAGTACTTAGAATCTCACCTTAAAAGCAGAGAATGGAAGTGTGAAAGATACAGACTGTGGAATTCACATTATTAACCACTACTGACATTTCTTGATCTCAAATATGCAGGGGTGTCTAGGCCATTAACTGCTGCCCTGGGGTAGGGACCCTGCCCAGCTGCACATGGGTGGGAACAGCACCTCCAGTGGCTGCCAAGCAGTGCTGCCCAGCTTAACCTTCGACAGGACTCAGCAGTTCTCATCACACACCTAGGTCCCAACTCCAGAATCGGATTTGACTGACTGGGTAAGGGAGCCTGGCAGTGTTTTGTATCTTAAAGCTCCTTGAGTGTTTCCCACATGCAGCCAGGGTTAACAATAGCTAGAACAGAGGGATATTTTGCATTTCAATCTAATTAGATTTGGAAAATCCCTGAAAGTGGCTATTCCTGGATTGTGGAGCACATGTCCTTTGCATCAAGTACAGGTACGGTTTAATGTTAATGTAAATGACAGTATCCTGCATAGCATCATAGTTTCACCCATTCTATTTTAGGTGAGGGGATATGGAGGAGATGGGGCAGTGATCTACAAATGGGAAGAGACATCTAAGGGACAGTCCTATTGCCAAGGAAAAACCATTTGGGGAAGCCTACTGCCCCAAAGAACAATTCTGGTCTAGGCTGCAGCACTGTCACCTTAGGCAGCTGCAAGCTCTCTCCCCTTCAGGCCCTTGTTTGTAAAGGCAAGGCAGAGAACCATACTCAACGTGTGAGAGAGCACTCCGCAAATGCCACGGCTGCGCATGGGCGTTTAAGATCACCACGGGGCTCCCAAATCATGGACCAAGCAAGTTCAGGAGATGCGGTGCAGATGGCTGCACATGGTAGGAAATGCTTCCTGGGCTGCTGTCCTAAAGGCAGAATTCAGCCTGGCCCTTCTCTGGGCCCCAGTTACCCTCTCAGTGGCTCACAGGTCAGTATCCGTAACAAACATGTTTTTTCTTCTTCAAAGACTTCTGCTGGTATCTGCAAAAAGCCTAGCGATCTTCTAGGATACAAACTGTTAAATAGCAAGAGGAAACAGTGCACAGGGGAAGAGCTGAGGACTGAAGATGGGTGGGGGCACCTGGCCTTAAGAGTGCCACTTCAGGAAGCAGCTCACAGTGTAAGTACTATGAAAAGCCAACAAAGTACCTCTCCCATGACCAGGTGACTGGGTGTCTGGTGTGGCTTCCGGCCATCCCAGTCATAAATCCATCCTGTTTCAACAAGATTAAGATTACAATCACCACGTCTGCAATGGCAGGTCCCAGAAGACCAAGTAGCTACCAGCAACTTCTGGTACTGCACAACACAGTACAGACAATGTGAAACAATCTCTAAGTCTAAAGAAGGACAATATGAGCAGCACAGGAACTGCCATCTCTCATTCTCTCTTTTTTTTTTTAAGAGACAGGGTCTCCCTCTGTTGCCCAGGCTGGAGGGCAGTGGTGCAATCACTCGCTGGGCTCAAGTGATCCTCCCACCTCAGCCTCCTGAGTAGCTAGAACTACAGGTGTCACCAAGTCCAGGTAAATAAAAAAAAAATTTTTTTTGTACAGATGGGGTGTTGCCCAGGCTGGTCCTTAAACAATTAGCCTCAAGCAGTCCTCCCACCTCAGCCTCCCAAAGTGCTGAGATTACAGGCGTAATGTGGCCTCATTCTTGTTTTCAAAGTTCCATATACAGAGTAGTAATCTTACATTCACTGAACTGCTAGAGTAACAGGAGAAAGCACAATGGACAGAATGACAGATCCCAGGAAACGCGTTTGGTAACGATGAGGCAAGCTGCCCTGGCACTATGCCTACACTCAATGCGATGTCCTACGTAGGATGTGCACATTCAAATACCTGTCAGTTCAACAAAGGCCAATCACAGAGTCCCATCTCTGAGATCGAGCATCACACAAGGGTAAATCCATGCCACCTCTGTTCTGGAAACTTTGGTACAAGTTCAAAAGGATCACCACTGATGAAGCTGGTTGGGACTCAGCCCCACCAGCCCCACAGGCTTCGTCCTTCCCAGTCTGCTTTATCCATTTCACCGGAACTCTTTTTTGTTTTTAAGAGAAAAGGTCCTGCTATGTTGCCCAGACTGGAGTGCAGTGGCTATTCACAGACATGGTGGCGCATTATAGCTTCAAGCTCCTGGACTCAAATGATCCTCCTGCCTCAGCCTCCAAGTGGCTGGGACTACAGGCGCATGCCACCAATACATACTCTATCCACATCCATTTCTTAGAAAGTCTGCGCTACTCTAGACACAATAGAAAGCTGTCTGTTTCACAGCAGGTTCTCCCCGTTGCCCAGTTTTCAAAGTTCAAACAAACTGCCCAAAGTTCATTCTCTTTCCCCTTCCCTCAGTTTCCCCCCCACCCTCATAATTACAATGCTTAGCAAGTAGTGGCTTTTTTTTTTTTTTTTGAGACAGAGTCTCACTCTATTGCCCAGGCTGGAGTGCAGTGGCATGATCTCGACTCACTGCAACCTCTGCCGCCTGGGTTCAAGTGATCCTCCTGCCTCAACCTCCCGAGTAGCTGGGATTACAGGTGCCTGCCACCGTGCCAGCTAATTTTTTTATTTTTAGTAGAGATGGGGTTTCACCATCCTGGCCAGGCTGGTCTTGAACTCCTGACCTCGTGATCCACCCGCCTTGGCCCCCCAAAGTGCTGGGATTACAGGCGTGAGCCACCACGCCTGGCCAAGTAGTGGCATTTTAAGTCTCAGCCTACCAAGCCAATCTGCCTGTCCCTTGGTACCAGCCCTCATTAGGACTGGCCTCCTGCCCTTACACACTTCCAACTTTTGCTTTGTGCTGCTTTATTTCTCTTCTCTGTTTTCTGCCAACCAGAAAACTGTTTTCCTACTGTTGGACAAGCTGTTCAACAGTGTCTTCAGATCTTAGCTAGTTTTGTTGATATTTTCTGTTCTTTCTCCAGAGAGAGAGAGAGAGACTGGGTGAGACTGAGACATCCTACTACTTGTGTGTTTAAGGCTAATCTGGCTGCTAAAGGCAGCTGGAAGCTGCTTGGTCTTCAGCTCCTCTTGCATGTCAGTAAAAGCAAGACACAGCTGGTCTCAATAAACAGACTATCCACAAGTGATGTTTGCAAAGTTAAGGTTGGGAGGTGGAAGCTCCATCTCCTGACCATCCAAAGACTGGTGGATGCCTAAATCCAACATATTAATACAATGAGTGCTACAGAGATAACCAAAGGTACAATGCTAGAACAGTTACTTTTGGTTATCAGAGGCCTGCACTTGATCAAGTTCTAGGCACACAGTACTGACATTTAAATTTAAATGCTATATGTAAACTTCCCATCTGTTCAGCTGCCTTCCTTGTAAAATAAAAATAAAACTTGTCTTAATCTTCTCAGAAAAATTCACTGCTACATAGCTACCTTCAATGTAAGAAAGTAGAAAAAAATAATGCACAAAGATTTACATACTTTTGTTAAGAAATACTGGAAAGAATCAAGAAATAGGATGAAGGGGACAGGGATGAAAGCATGACATCTCTAAATGTCTTTTTACTCAATTTAGATTTTGAAGCATGCAACAGGGAGTTTTTCATGTTTTTTATTGTGGTAAAATATACATGACATTTACCATCTTAACCATTTTTAAGTGTACAGTTCAGCAGCATTAAATATATTCACACTGTTGTGTTATCAGCACCACCATCCATCCCCAGGACTTTTTCTACCTTCCCAGACTGAGATTGTTCCCATTAAACACTAACCCCACGATTCATTCCCCAGAATTCATACCCCACACCCCCCAATAACCACCATTCTACTTTCTGTGAACTTGACTGGTACCTCCTATGAGTGAAATTCTAGTGTTTGTCTTTTTGCATCTGGCTTCTTTTACTTAGCATAAAGTCCTCAGGTTCATCCATTTTGTAGCATGGGTCAGAATTTCCTTCCTTTTTGAGGTTAAATAATATTCTGTTATATAGACATCTCACGTTGCTTATCTATTCATCTGTCAATGAACATTTGGGTTGCTTCCCCCTTTTCCCCATGGTGAATAATGCTGCTGTGAACACAGGTATGCAAATATCTGTTCGTGTCCCTGCTTTGAGTTCTTTTGGGTATATACGCAGAGGTGGAACTGCAGATCACATGCTAACTCTGTGTTTAATGTCTGAGGAACTGCCATACTGTTTTCCATAGTGGCTACACCATTTCACATTCCCACCAGCCATGCACAGGGGTTCTCATTTTCTCCCTGTAATTTATAAAGGGAAAAAAGCCCTTTATAAATTGGATAAACTGAAAACAATAAACTGAATAAAAATAAATGGAAAACTAATAATATTAATAACCAAAGTGGCAAAATAACCACAGTAAAAACAGTTATTTCACTTTTGCGCACAGTGCCAACAGTACTGCTTTAGTGAGGTATATCTAAGGACAAGAGAACAGCAAGGAACACAAACTAAAGTTAGGATATTTTTATTTTTTGAGACAGGGTCTCACTCTGTCAACTAGGCTGGAGTGCAGTGGCACAATCATAGCTCACTGTATCCTAGAACTCCTAGACTCAAGTGACCCTTCTGTCTCAGCCACCCGAGTGGCTGGGACCACAGGCGCACACCACCAGAACTGGCTCCATGGTGCCATTTTTATTTTTTGTAGAGATAAGGTCTCACTGCGTTGCCCAGGCTTCTCTCAAACTCCTGACGTGGAGCGATCCTCCTGCCTCAGCTTCCCGATGCACTGGAATTACAGGTGTGAGCCCTCTGCTCCCCTAGTAGTGATAATTTTGATACTATGAAACTGTTTTAACAAATAAATATACTGTTGTTAAGAACCAAGATTTCTAGCATTAAGAGAAACGAGCTACAAATATTAAACCAAAGAAGAGAAAACTCTGTAACGTTAAATATGAGTAAGAAATAGCACTCCAAGCTTGCGATTTAAAATGTGTTGTGTTTCCTAGCTTTGCATGTCTTGAGTGGACATAGAACTAATGACACTCCAACTGAACTGAGCACCCGAGAACATGGATTTGGGCTTTTTAAAAAAATTTATTCCCTACACTGATGTAAATCAATTATTATTATTTTTTTTTAAGCAAAAGTCTTGCTCTGTTACTCAAGCTTGAAAGCAATGGTATGATCTCTGCTCACTACAACCTCTGCCTCCCAGGCTCAAGCAATCCTCCCACCTCAGCCTCCTGAGTAGGACCACAAGTGTGTGCCACCCCACCTGGCTAATTTCTCTTTTTTATTTTTTGGTATTTCTTGTAGAGATGGGGTTTCACCACAGTTGCCAAATTGGTCTTGAACTCCTAGGCTCAAGAGATTCACCCACTTCAGCCTCCCGAAGTGCTGGGATTACAGATGTGAGCCACTGCACCCAGCCTGGATTTTGGCTCTTAAACATTAATACACACATATGAAAAGGACACAGGAACCAGCCAGCAGGAGTTTCCACTGGCCATATCTGAAATCAAGTGAGCAGCAGAAAACCCCATGACTGTGACTACAACACAATGAATAGTCAGTTGGCACACAGTGATTCACAAAGGAAGGATGGAGGGAAAGAAGCAGAGGAGTGAAAGGAAAACACTGATTTCCACAACTATAGGTGACTATCTTCCTTTCAAATGGATAAAGGACAGAATGAAACATTGACCCTGCTTTTTTAGAAGAATCTATGATGTTCTCTTATTGATGATAAGAAGTTTCTTTACAGAATGCCCGCTAATACATGTGAAAAGAATCACAGAATATGGAAATCATCTTTGACATCCCTGATGAAATAATGATTTAGGGATGCTAAGACCATTAGGTGAAAGGCTGACAGGAAACAGAATATTCACAAGGTACCAGTGAACCTCCCCAGATTACCTGCTGATGACGCAAGGCAACAGGAGCATCCGGCTGTCACCACCGGAGCCAAGTGCTGGGATTTGGCAACTTAATTAAGGGTCACATTATGTGCCTACTGAAGTGAAGGACTACTGAGTATACAGCATCCCCCATAAAACATTGCTAAAAACATCTCATCTGAATCTAAAGAAGGTCTTACACCTAACTTCCAGTTTATAGGAAATATACAGAAATAACACCGTAAAAAAATACGCAGGTTCAGAATATTGGTGACTCTGTACAACTGCTGGCCTATAACATGGTTCAAAGCCTGGTAAGAAATGAGTCTCGGCAGGGTGCAGTGGCTCACACCTGTATTCCCTGCACTCTGGGAGGCCAAGGCAGAAGGATCACTTAGCTCAGCCTGGAAAACACAGACAGAGACCCTGTCTCTACCAAAAAATAAAAAAATAGCCAGGCACAGTGGCACATGCCTGTGGTCCCAGCTACTTGGGAGGCTGAGGCTGGAGGATCGCTTCAACCTCAGAGGTCAAGGCTGCGGTGAGCTGTGATCGTGCCACTGCACTCCAGGCAACAGATCAAGATTCTCTCTCTCAAAAAAAAAAAAGAAAGAAAGAAAAAGAAAAAGAAAAAGAAATGCCAAGTCCACGGCAGACATGGATGCTGACTAGACCCTGGTTTGAAACAAAGATACTTTGGGGATAACTCGGGAAATAAAAATATAGACAGGGTATTAGATAACTTAACCTAAGGAAATATTATTGTCTTAGGTGTGAAAATTCTCACTAATTATGTCAAGAACGTCCTTATCTTCAGGAGATGCATGCTTAAGTATTTAGGCTGTTATGTCATCATATCTGCAACTTTTAAACAGCTCAGCCTGACACACATCTATACAGACTAAACATGACACAATGTTCACTGCTAGTAGATTTGGAAATGTTTTACTATTGTCAAGTTTCTTCTGTATGTCTGAAAAATTTAATGATAAAAGCTGAGAGTGGGGCAGCCAGCCCTGGCCTCAGGCAGGAGAACAGACCACGACAGGGCTCTGCTGCTCAGGGGCAGCGACCCACGCTGCTGGTCTCTTAGCCTCAGCCCTTCTCTGAGATGAAGGAGTCACCCAAAACCCACACTGTCAAATGATTTCTCTAAGGCATGTAAACACTTCTCTGAATCAGGTAAGGACTGGGATATAGGAAGCAACTGCAACACAACTGGCCTTACTTTCAGCCATCGGACTGTCAGTATCCAATTATTTTCAAGGAGTTCAGGCAAAAGCAGAATGAATGTAAAACTTACAAGAAAGGGGAGAAGAGGTGATGCTTACGCTCATGTTAGAGTCACATTCTCAGGCATGACTGTCCACAGTAGTTACCAGGACAGTAGTTACGGTGGCAAAAACTGGGCCAACAGCACTGCTTGAGGCCTGAAACCAGGCCTATAATCCCATCACTGCTCATGTAAACTGCAGCGACCGTGAATGAAACTGCTTCTTACTAATCCAAGAGCTTTTTGAACAAACGCTAAGGGTTCCAACTACTCTCCAGAAACCTCCCTGTACCACTGACTAGATTCAGCCTGGAGCAATAAAAAAGGCTTCCCCAAATGAACAACAGAAGAGAAACTACACTTCAAAGGATAGGTAAGTGCAGTCTTATACTAAGAGATGACATCTCTCTTATCTCTGGCAGAAAATAAAATTTTAATAGTCAAACTGTACAACAAACCAGAAAATACTCCTGGTCTAATTCATAATGCAATGTCCTTGAAGTGGAATTCTAAAGAAAAGACTTATGCCCTCCTTTAGCTGCCTTGGATAGAAGCAGATAATAAAACCAGAGCAGACATATGGTTTTCAAAGATTTAAAGAGAGAGTGAAATGAAACTGCAAAAGACAGAGCCAAGTAAGACATGGTCCTCTGTGCCAGTTGTTCCCAAGAAGTCCAAAGACATTACTTAACCCGTCTTAACTACTTCAGATTTTCTCTCTGGAGAATTCACCTAAAACTGTAACTTATTCAATGTGAAAAGTGACAGGTTTTTTTTTTGGTTTTTTTTTTTTTTTGAGATGGAGTCTCGCTCTGTTGCCCAGGCTGGAGTGCAGTGGTGCGATCTTGGCTCACTGCAAGCTCCGCCTCCCAGGTTCACGCCATTCTCCTGCCTCAGCCTCCCGAGTAGCTGGGACTACAGGCGCCCGCCACCACGAAAAGTGACAGTATTTAAGAAACTTCCTAGGCACAGAGAAAACACTGTGAATGGTAAATATGAATTTGTCCTTTTGCAAATGTAGGGAGGCAAGTTTCCTTCCACGTGGACACATGTGAAATCTACAACTGTCATCCACCTATGTCACCAGTGTTAGATCTCAGACAGAGCCTCGTCACACTGAAGACTACGTAACAGGGGAAGTTCTACTCCTTGAAGGTCTCGGGACCCTTCTACAGCTAACAGCCCTCCTTCCCATGAGCTCCTCTCAGTCCCTTGGTTACCTGACGTTTCCTCCAGCCTTCTGTATCCTCATCCGCTCTTCATACTGAGTTGGATTATGCTCTTTGCTGAGGCTTAAGGCTGCATGTTTTTGACTCTCCTCATTATAACGACACAAGATTGCCTGGGAAGATGGAGATTGTAATAGTCATGAAATTCAGTGGGCGCAGCATCTAAAGGTACCAGTTGAAAAAAACAGTTAACAATGGAGTTTGAAGAAAACAGTTAACAATGGAGTTTCACATTCAGCCTCCTGCTGATAAACGTAAGTTCAGAGAATCAAGCAGCAAAGAAGTGTCAAAGACACAACAGTTAGGGAGAGAGTCGCCCCTGGTTTTGATATCAACTCTGGTACAAACTCTGCTGAATAACTACAGACAAGTGCTCACTCTGGCTGTTGTCACATTTGTGACATGAAAGGAAGCACTCAACAAGTATCAAGGTCCCTTTTGGCCTGGAGTCTAGAAGGCCAGAGACATGTCCATGAGCCTATGGAAGGCAAAGAGGAGGGCAAGCGTTGTGCATGCTGGCCGAGTGCCAGGTAGGCCGTCCACACCAGTGCCTCCAGGTGTTCTCGCCCCTGCCAGGTTCATTGTGTCTGTTTTACAGGAAGACACTGAGGCACGAAGAATAAGTAACTCAATAAAGTCACAGAGCAGAGCCAGGATTCAAATTTGGGTCTGACTCCTGTCTTTGTTTTTTTGCCAATTTTCCTCTTGCTATTTCTGAAGTCATGTGGTCTAAACACATGTGGGCTAAGGCCAGTCTACTAAAGGGCCACCAGAATGTAAACTCCACCAGGCAGGGGCTGTCATCTGTTATAGTCTCTGCCATACCCCTAGCACTTAGTATTTGATGAATCATCCCCCCAGAAGCATCGTGGGGAGGGGTCTAAAGATGCTGCTTAAGTGTGGACAGTCACTTGATTCCTGTGACTGCCTAGGGAGCAAGGAGGCCGGGTGAAAAAGCGGCAACGGAACGGAACACATGGTCCTGATGCAGAGGAGGCAGGGTCTGCATCCAGCTTTCCGCAGCAGCACCCTCTAGGCTTTACAGCATCCCCACGACTGTCACCAGGGGGAACAACACCCTGGGCTTTCTCCCTCAGCCAGGGACCGGGCTCGGGTGATGAATGGCACCTCATCTGGTATTTTCTAGCTACAGCTCTCAAGTTACTCTGAAATCACAGTAACTTTGATAGGCAGGGGTTAAAGCTTTTCATTCATTACTGTCTAAGGTCAGAGAAAGGAAATAAAAGAAGATTTAGGCTACTTGCATACTGATTACATTCTGATCCACAGCATCACACACACAAACCACGGGAGGAAAAAAGAAACAAAAAAGACGGGATCTGGGTTTTAAAGCACAAGTCTATCATAGGGCGTAAGTTCCCCAGAGAACAAACAGCCTCTAGCTGAGTTGCTGTTCCCTTACCCAGAAGTTAAACTGCAGCAGAACACTCTGCAGCAACCCCAGAAGAAAGGTTTCAACCAGACACCATCACTTTAATCTTATTCAACAAGTACGTGCTAAAGTCTTTTCCCCATAAAACGTATTGTCATCTAAGTGGGTGGCTCCAGAGCCACATACCCGACTATCTCCGAGGTTGGCAATATAAAGAATGTTGTCTACAGCCAGAACACACGTGGCAGTGGACCCATCTTTCCAGGCAGGCTTCCTGGGGGGAAACACATCAGAAACACAGTCACCACCAATAGCCCAGCACTTTGAGACTAATTTCCAGAGCTCAATGGGAAGTATCTTATATTTCAAAATGAACCATTTCCTTGATACTTGCTTTTTTTCTGTTTTAGATTTAGCTAACGGTTATAAAAGCTGAGTGCTACGCACTTTTCAGACAGTGAGCAATAGTGTTAAACCACATCAGAAGACTGAAATGCATTTAGGAAAACACCACACACAGTCCACTCAAACTTCATCATCAAGTTATACTTACTGGCTGGAAGCTTGTTTAAGGAACTCTTCATCAGTATGCTTGAAAGTGTCCAAAAGGCATCTCTTCACGGTTTTCTCTACACTGATTACATCTCCTATTACAGAAGGGCCAAAAGAAAACAATCTCTCAAGGAGGGAAGATTATCCTCCTCCCACTGTCATTTTGGTTTGTTTTTTGTTTTATTTTTTTGAGACGGAGTCTCGTTCTGTCACCAGGCTGGAATGCAGTGGCGCGATCTCAGCTCACTGCAACCTCCGCCTCCCAGGTTCAAGAGATTCTTCTGCCTTAGCCTCCTGAGTAGCTGGGAATACAGGCGCGCGCAACCATGCCAGGCTAATTTTTGTGTTTTTAGTAGAGACAGGGTTTCACCACATTGGCCAGGCTGGTCTCGAACTCCTGACCTCGTGATCCACCTGCCTCGGCCTCCCAAATGCTGGGATTACAGGCGTGGGTCACCAGGGCTGGCCATTTTGTTTTTGTAATTTCTGCACATCAATTGATTTTCAAGCATGATTAAGAACAATCCCTATTTCTTTCCTTTTTTAAATTTTTTTTTCTGAGACTGGGTCTCACTCTGTCACCCAGGCTGCAGTGCAATGGTGCAACTGTGGTTCACTGCAGCCTGAACCTCCTGGGGCTCAGAAAATCCTCCCACCACAGCCTCCTGAGCAGCTGGGACCACAGGCACATACCACCATGTCCAGTTAGGTTTGTTTTTTTTTTTTATAGAGATAGAGTCTCCCTATGTTGCCAGGCTGGTCTCAAACTCCTGGGCTTGAGTGATCTTCTGGCCTTGGCCTCCCAAAGTGCTGTGTGAGCCACCGTGCCCAGCCAGAACAATCTCTGTTTCTTTCCTCACATATAACACAGTGCTATTTGAAGTTGGTTTACTAGTTTTCCAGTAAAGGCAAGACACTAACTGAACCCAAAGACGATTGACAAAAGGTGCCTATCACTTAGAATCATGAGAAGTGCCATTCTAAGTCACACCTGCATGGCCGCTACTCCTGGAAGCCTTGGCATCCACTCCTCAGCACCACTCTTTTAAGACTCATCAATGATTCTCTGCTAAAGCCAAAATAACACATCTGACTGCTTCACACAGCCAACCAAACAGCAATAACCAATTTGAGTATCAACTGATTTAGTTCTCAGTCTCACCTTTAGGAAATTTTCTGATTAAGTTTTGATGCAAATTCTGTGCAGCAAATTTTGAGGCTCGAATTCCTCCATGTCCATCAAAAACAGCAAAATATGAAACCCGAGTACTGAAAGAACGAATTGAGAGTTAATCAAATTCTCACAGCAAAAACCACACTTTTCCATTAAAGCTTTTAAATTTCGTCTCAAAGAGTGAACATTAATAAGTCAGAGGAAGTCACACTGGTTAAGACACCAGTCACACTGTTACAAATGGGAAAAAAAAGGCTTTAACTGAGACAAATATTTAAGTAACTTTCACAGCATTTTATCTTTTTTTAAAAAAAAAATACTTGTGTGTGGGCCAGGTGTGGTGGCTCATGCCTGTAATCCCAGCGCTTTGGGAGGCCGAGGCAGGCGGATCACGAGATCAGGAGATCAAGACCATCCTGGCTAACACGGTGAAACCCCATCTCTACTAACAATACAAAAAAATTAGCCGGGCGTGGTGGCAGGCACCTACAGTCCCAGCTACTCGGGAGGCTGAGGCAGGAGAATGGCGTGAACCCAGGAGGCGGAGCTTGCAGTGAACTGAGATCGCACCACTGCACTTCAGCCGGGGTGACAGAGCGAGATTCTGTCTAAAAAAAAAAAAAACAAAAACACTGTGTGTGTGTAGGTGTGGGAGTGTTTCTGGTGAAGACTGCAAGACCTGCTAAAGGTCTAATATTCTAAAAGAGATGTAACACTTTTCCCAGTATTTTACATTAAATGTTTAAAACTCACATTTGCTTCAAAGATCAAGATCTGTTAATTCTGATTTTTCACTGACAACAAAACTAAAATTCAGAACTCCGTTCCTATTTAAATCGGATTTGGTTTTAAACATTAACAAACAGATCAAGTTATTTATCGAAAACAGTAAAAAATACAGTCATGCATCACTTAACAGAAATGCATTGTTAGGTGACTTTGTTGTGTGAACATCATAGAACATATTTACAGAAACTAACACGGCGCAGCTTACTACACACCTAAGCTACATACATGGTAGAGCCTATTGCTCCTAGGCTAAACTGCACAGCATGTTACTGCACTAAATACCATAGGCAGTTGTAACACACTGGTAGTATTTGTGTATTTAAACATACCTAAACATAGAAAAGGTACAGTAAACATGGTATTATGGCTGAACACGACAGCTCACGCCTGTTAATCCCAACACTTCGGGAGGTGGCCAAGGCAGGAGGATCACTTGAGGCCAGGAGTTCAAGACCAGCCTGGGCAACATAGCGAGACCCCCATCTCTACAAAATTTGTAATCTTATGGGAGCACCGTCATATATGCAGTCCATCACTGACTTGATGTTGTTATTCAGCACATGACTGCATAAGAGCAGGGAGGATATTACAGAATTGTTACTCAAATAAATTTTAAATATCTCATTTTTAAAACCTATCTTACTACTCTTATTCCCATTCCCCTTTCAAATTTTGCCAGAAAACCCACATATATGGAATAAAAGACATCAAATAAACTATTTCAAGGAAAAAAAAAAAACAAAAATGCCCACGAGAAATGACATTTATTCTAGAGAGCTGCTTTTCTTTCAAGTTTTTTGGAATTCCTTTTCAATTTAGGACATCCTGAGCCATGAGAAAAAAAACCTCATCTGGTTTATAACTCAGAGCTGTTCTTACTGCCTGTTATTTGCAAGGCATGATGTAGTGTTCCCAATTAAATTTACACTCAATGGATCTGCCTTCTTGGGCTCCAGAGGTCCCTTTCCTGGTTTTAATGCAAATCCCAGGCTGGGTATGGTGGCTCATGCGAGTAATCCTGGCACTTTGGGAGACCAAGGTGGGAAGATGGCTTGAGCCCAGGACTCTGAGACAAGCCTGAGCAACTTAAGGAGACACTGTCTCTACAAAAAATTCAAAAAATTAGCCGGCTGTGGTGGCACATGCCTATGGTCCCAGCTACTCAGGACGCTGAGGTGGGAGGACTGCTTGAGCCTAGGAGGTCAAGCCTGCAATGAACTATGATTGTGCCACTGTACTCCAGCCTGAGCAAGACAGCAAGACCCTGTCTCAATGGGTGTGTATCTCGTCCCCTCTACATATGATCAGCTGCTCTGCAGCAGCCATCACCTCATCTCCATGAGCAGACCTCATCTACTGGACAAACGCCATCAGCCCAAACGGCTCCAGCACACTGTATGTTAATGACCAACTGGTGTCAGTAAAGGTACGTAATGTATTTATTATGTAATTCTGAATTATGTAACCTATGTAATATGTACTATAATGTATGTTTACAGCCAACTTAATGTCCTACCTTCTGGTTTTTTTCCAGGCCCAAGAGCTTATCCAGAAGGCTTCATTTTAGTTTGTATAGTTGCAGCTAATTTTTCATTGTCTGTCTTTTCCTTGACATCATTTTGACTTTTGTTCTTCCTGGGCCCTGATTATCTGTACTAGCTCTGCTTGATCACCATTCATACTTTAATTAGTGGCTTCCAACTCTTATCTTCTAGGTCATGGATTAAAAATATTCTCTGCCAGAAGCCGCTCAGTTGCTGGTAAGGAGTAACACACGCTGCAGAGCCATGCTATGAAGCGTCATCTCCCGCTCAGCAGGGCTGCTCAACCGCGACACTACTGACATTCCAGGCTGAACAATTCTTTGTTGTGGGGCTGCCCTGTGCTTCTAAGATGTTTACCAGCATCCCTAGTCTCTACCCACCAGATGCCAGTAACAACTCCCTCCCGCAGTTGTGACAAAAATGTACCCAAACACTGACAAATGTCCCCTGGGCGGGGAGCAAAATCAACCCCAGCTGAGAATCACTGATGTACAATCAAGTGATGTGTTAGATTTTCTAGTAAATACAAACTAGCCAGTCCAAAATGCCAGTCAGAACCCAGGAGATGTTAATGCCAGCCGGGCTTCCTACCACATGAGACTCACATGAGGGACGATGGGGGCCTACACTCCTCGGTGATGTCGTTCAGGATGACGTGGGCATCCTGCATCTCCTCCCTCTCACCCTTCCGCTCAGCCACATAGCCCTTCAGACCAAAGATCACCGAAGAGGCTAAGGAAAAGAGAACAAAAGAGCCAATACAAAACTGTGCCCAACCCTCTGGAAACCCTAGTCCCAGAGCAAATGAGAGGGAACTATGACTGTCTGACTCAGCAATATCCTAATGGCGCAAACAAATAAGCAATACCCCTTAAGGCATCTCCCCCAGCTGCAAGTCTATAACTCAAATCGGAGCACTGTTGGACAGGGTGAGCTCTAAGAGGTTGCACAGGGACACAAAAGAGGAGTCAGTGAGCACAAAACAACTCTGTCTAGGGTGTAAGTCAAAGCATCAGGGCAAGGGATGTGCTGCCATCCCAGAGAAGTGAGATTCAAATCAGGCAAAAGGATCATGTGCAAATTAGTCTTGTGATAATTGAATAAGGACAAATGCAAGTCAGGAGAGTTTATCTCAAAAGCCCTTAAGATGCCCTGAAAATATGTATTTCCATGCTCAAGGCTGGTGAAGAATTTGAACAAACAGTAAGATCAGCTGCTTTTACTTCAACTGAGGAAGAAAAGGATAAAAGATTCCAATGCAGGCAGAGATCTATTTACATTTAATGGTTAGACTCATTTAAGCTTATTTTCTGATACCTAATGCCAGACAAATAATAAAATGAACACTGTGAAGAGCTGTCTTCTGGGAAGTGACAAGCTAAGTTGAAGATGACATCTTCCCAGCAAAGCTACAAGTGGGTTTTTTCACATACCTCTGCCTGCATCATACAGCTTTCACTGAGGTAATCTGTGACAAAGGACAATGCAGTCAATGAAAATCCCACAGCTCGGGCCAGGCACGGTTGCTCACGCCTGTAATCCCAGCACTCTGGGAAGCCGAGGCGGGCAGATCACAAAGTCAGGAGATCGAGAGCATCCTGGCTAACATGGTGAAACCCCGTCTCTACTAAAAATACAAAAAACTAGCCAGGCGTGGTGGCAGGCGTCTGTAGTCCCAGCTACTCGGGAGGCTGAGGTAGAATGGTATGAACCCGGGAGGCGGAGCTTGCAGTGAGCCGAGATGGTGCCACTCCAGCCTGGGCGACAGAGCGAGACTCTGTCTCAAAAAAAAGAGAAAAAAAGAAAATCCCACAGCTCAAGAATACTTTAGTACCACAACTGAAGTATTCTCTTTAGTTAATACTTTTCGTTTTCTTCCTCACTAACTTTGACAAGTTACACAACTGACTACAAATTTCAACGGCTTTTTCCAGGCTTAGGGAAGCTGCCTACTAAGCTAAATCACGTAATTCAAAGCACTAATTGACAAACTGCAAACAAAGATTGGAAGTCAGAGAGAGACTAGGTGGTCAAAAAACTAACCATTCACTGCAGAAGGCTAAGAAAAAAACCACCTGTATTTTTTAACTCTTGAGGAACAAATGTAGGTTTCCTATCTGATCAAAGGTAGGATCAGAGATAGATGTACATGAAAAGTAGGAGAAAGCACAGAGAAACTTGGAAATTCATTTGCAAAAAGGGAACCCTACTTATTTCTTAAATACAGACATAAAAAGAAAGTATTATTAGAAAGCTGAAACTGGTTTTGCTCTGGGTTGTTTTAAAATATGAAGTCTAATACATTTGTTTTCAAATTGTCTGAAAACCTTTACAAACTTTCTTTTCCACAAGCTCTTCACTGCCATTCTTCTCTTCCTCGGAGGTTTTTCTCTTTGCTCCTTTCCCTTCAGTCTTTACCATCTGGGATATTGATGTGGCAAGAGAACCTGGAAATAAAGTAAAAGCCAGACAGAAACACAGCTGTAGACTGTTGGAAAAAGTCACTAGTAGACTGGGCTTCATCCTAGCACTCAAAGACAAGGTCATTTGAAGCAAGGACTGGCAGACACAGGCAGACCCAGGAGTTGTGTCTTCATGGTTGGCGGGGAGGGGGAGGGGGGTCCCACAGTGAGAGAACATAAAGTTAAGATCCAGGCCCTGAGTCAAACTGACCCTGCTGAAGGGGTTTGTAAAAGACTTTTCCCAGTGGTAAAAATACATGGTTTTTTTTGGCCTGTAGCATATACATGTTTTTATATCCACAGGCTCTTAGTGTTAAACAAACACTTACAAAATCTGTAAGCAAACTAACATATCCTAATCACGTTCCAAAAAGTAACAAGTACTCGAAAAGGCTCAAAATGAGGTAAATGGCAGCCTTTAAGAACTGTAATACATCCTTTCAAAGGCAAAATAAGGCTGCCACAGCTGTTCCCACTAGCAAAAGGATGAATCTGTACTCAAAGCTAAGGGAATCTGCAGTGTATGTGTTTGAAATGAGAAAAGTCAAGTTTCAAAGAGGTGTGCAACTTAATCTTTCAGTCTCAGCTGTCTTCACCCGTGCGTAACATGGTAAGAATACTGTCATCTCAGAGGGATGTTTGAAAATGGGTCAGGACAAGTAGGAAGAGCATTTGTCACAGTGCCTAACACATCAATCTCCAATAAGGGCAGCTGCTGTCCTAATAAATGACTTGAAATGTTCTCTGCATTTAGGTATAAAAGTATGCAACAGCCAGATGCAGTGGCACATGCCTGCAGTCACAGCTACTTCTGGAGACTGAGGCAGAAGGATCACTTCAGCCCAGGCATTTGAGACCTGCCTGGGCAAAGTAGTAAGACGTTTCTCTTTAAAAAAAAAAAAAAAAAAAAAAAAAAAAGGATGCAAGTACTTATTTACTTACTCAACCTACTCTTTGCCAGACATTTCTTCTTCTTTTTGTTTTTGACACAGGGTCTCATTCTGTCACACAGACTAGAATGCAGTGGCATGATCACAGTTTACTGCAGCCTCCAACTCCTGTGTTCAAGTGATCCTTCCATCTCAGCCTCCTGAGCAGCTGGGACTGAAAGCAGGAACCACTACACCCGGCTAATTTTTTAATTTTTTTGGTAAACACAAGGTGTCTTTTTTTTTTTTTTGAGACGGAGTCTACTCTGTCGCCCAGGCTCGAGTGCAGTGACGCAACGTCAGCTCACTACAACCTCCACCTCCAGGGTTCAAGCAATTCTCCTGTCTCAGCCTACAGGAGTGCACCATCACACCCAGCTAATTTTTGTATTTTTGTATTTTTAGTAGAGACGGAGTTTCACCATGTTGGGTAGGTTGGTCTTGAACCGCCTGTGTCAGACATTTCTTAGTGCTGAGGAAAAAGTAATGAAAATGTTCCTGCCCTCAAGAAGCGTAAATTAGTTGCACAAGGCCCTATTTCTGCAACAGTATAACATAATACACATATGCACCCTGCATAAGGCAACACAGATGTTTCCAACAGTATCTCTCCCAAAGGTCCCCATTAGTGTCCTGTGGCTTACTGTATGGGTTCCAGTTTTCCCCATATGGATGTGAAACTTTCTTCCTTTAAAATTCCAAAACAGATGGCCAGGTGTGGTGGTTCACACCTGTCATCCCAGCACTTTGGGAGGCTGAGATGGGCAGATCATCTAAGGTCAGAAGGTCAAGACAAGCCTGACCAACATGGCGAAACCCGGTCTCTAATTAAAATACAAAAAATTAGCCGGGCATGGTAGCGCCTGTAATCCCAGCTACTCGGGAGGCTGAGGCACGAGACTCACTGGAACCCAGGAGGCGGAGGCTGCAGTGAGCTGAGATCTCGCCACTGCGCTCCAGCCTAGGCAACAGAGCAAGGCTCCATCTCAAAAAAAAAAAAAAGAAAAAGAAAAAGGCCAGGCGCAGCGGCTCATGCCTGTAATCCCAGCACTTTGGGAGGCAGAGGCAGGCGGATCATGAGGTCAAGAGATTGAGACCATCCTGGCCAACATGGTGAAACCCCGTCTCTACTGAAAATACAAAAAATTAGCTGGGTGTGGTGGCAGGTGCCTATAGTCCCAGCTACTCGGGAGGCTTAGACAGGAACTTGAACCCGGGAAGTAGAGGTTGCAGTGAGCTGAGATCGCAACACTGCACTCCAGCCTGCCAACAGAGTGAGACTGTCTTAAAAAAAAAAAAAGAAAAAGAAAAAGAAAAAAAGAAAAATAATAAAATTTCAAAATAAAGACACCTTACAGGTTTGTTATTGACTTCTAAGCAAATTACACTGTAGTCTGAGAATGTAGTCTGTACAAGAAACAGATCATTGAGGCTTATTTTATGGCTTAGTACATAATCAACTTTTGTAAATGGTTCCTGCCCGCTTAAGAATGTGTTATCGGGCCGGGCAAGGTCGCTCACACCTGTCATCCCAGCACTTTGGGAGGCCGAGGCAGGCGGATCACGAAGTCAGGAGATGGAAACCATCCTGGCTAACATGGTGAAACCCCATCTCTACTAAAAATACAAAAAAATTAGGTGGGCGTGGTGGCGGGAGCCTGTAGTCCCAGCTACTTGGGAGGCTGAGGCAGCAGAATGGCATGAACCTGGGAGGCAGAGCTTGCACTGAGCTGAGATCGCGCCACTGCACTCCAGCCTGGGCAACAGAGAGAGAGACAGTCTCAAAAAAGGAAAAAAAAAAAAAGAATGTGTTATCGGCTGGGTGCAGTGGCTCACGCCTGTAATCTCAGCACTTTGGGAGGCTGAGGCGGACAGATCACAAGGTCAGGAGTTCGAGACCAGCCTGGCCAATATGGGAAAACCCTGTCTCTACTAAAAATACAAAAATTAGCCAGGCATGGTGGCACACGCCTGTAGTCCCAACTACTCAGGAGGCTGAGGCAGGAGAATCGCTTAAACCCGGGAGGTGGAGGTAGCAGTGAGCCAAGATTGTGCCACTGCACTCCAGCCTGGGTGAGAGTGTGAGACTCCGTCTCAAGAAAAAAAAAATGTGTTAACTTCTCTAGAAATCTAAAACACTAGACCCAAGATTATATATCCAAAAAATTAAGCTTGTTAATAGTGTTATGTAAATCTTCTAAATTTTTTACTACTTTGCCTTTTGTCCTGTAGATAAATAAGAGACAGCTATGCTGTATCTTCATTTCTTCTATTAAATCCCTTAACAGCCTTCTTTGAACATATTAACTTTCCTTTTTTTTGGAGACAGAGTCTTTCTCTGTCACCCAGGCTGGAGTGCAATGGCGTGATCTCAGCTCACTGCAACCTCTGCCTCCTGGGTTCAAGCGACTCTCCTGCCTCTGCCTCCTGAGTAGCTGGGACGACAGGCACATGCCACCATGCCTGGCTAATTTTTGTATTTTTAGTAGAGACAGGGTTTCGCCATGTTGGCCAGGCTGGTCTTGAACTCCTGACCTCAAGTGATCTACCCGCCTTGGCTTCCCAAAGTGCTGGGATTATAGGCGTGAGCCACCACGCCCAGCCAGAACATATTAACTTTCATTACAACTAAGGGTACTATCTTTATTGGGAAGGTTTCAGGCCACACTGTGAGTGTGAGGATGCTGCAATTTTTTGGTATGGGTCTACAGCCCTGAAGATTGAGAATTCTTATATAAGATGACTGGAGTACTTTTCCTAAAATATAGAAAATATACCTGCATACGAAATGGGATTACCTGCATTCCCCACTGCCCCCACACCATCTATCTCCCAACCTCTCCTAACCCTCACCTTCCCCAACCAGAGGAGCTCTACCTAAGAAGTTCTCATGAGACAGAATCATACCTTTGCCGCAATGGCAACAGGAATCTGCTCTATTCTTCCCTTCTACTTAATTAGGACATGAAAAGGAACATTTTCAGGAGGAGGTAGAGCCAATGCTACTAGCCTCGATACATTTGAGTCAAGCACTCTGTTTAACAAGGCAAATCGGAATAATGAACTCTGAATTTTTAAAAAATGTTAATAACAAAGTTAAGAGTAAATTAGTGAACTCTTAATTCTTAAAGGCAGTTCCAACAATCTGAACCTCAAGAAGTTAATATCACCAGAAAGTGATACAGTATTATCTTTGTGCTTCCAATTAATGTGCCTGTTTATAGTTTTAGTAAACCTTATGCTGTATTATGACTTAATGTCATCCAAAATCCCGTTAAAACCTATACATAAATTTCACATAAGAGTAAAATACTATGTATTATTTCCATCAGCACCTTGGATTTTTCCTACCACTTACCTGAATCGCCACTGCTAGCGGGTGGGAGATCATCAAAAAGCAAAGGTCCCCCTGATCCTGAAACACAGCAGAACACTTAGTGAGCCCACAAAAAATATGTAAGACTTAAGTTTCAGAATCCATCCCACCAGGACACCTATGTAGGTTACTGAAATAAACTCAAAACTTTGCGTCAATCCAGTGGCAACTCATACTGCAATGAATAATATCTTGAACCTATTTTAAAGTCCTATTATTTCAAAGGAAATAAAAATCTGCCTTAAAAAGTTAAATTGTACTTCAGGTAGTAAAATAAATACTCAAATGAACCAGAGAAAACTGCTCCACATTTCCTCGCAGTACTTCTCAGGGCTAGCGACTAGCAGATTTTTCTGCCTTACCTGATGCCATGGATTCAAAACTTAAAGACAGTCCAACACCTAAAACATCTGTGTGTTGAAAATGGGGGAAAGGGAAAAAGATTGAGACAACTACAATCCCAGGATGAGTAGAGACGTTGACACACACCTGGGAGAGCCTGAAGACTGTACCTGAGTCAGTACTGCTGGCCGGAGGGAGGTCATCAAAGAGCAGGGGTCCTTTCTGAGCTTCTTTCCCTAAAACACAGAAAACCTGTTTAGAGAGCATATGGTCATCACCCAGGACAGATTTTCAAAGAGGAAGATCATGTGGTCTCCCCTGCTTTGACACAAGTTTGCTATTAGATTCTAATTTTCTCCTTCCTGTTGGGCAAATTTTTAAAACATATTTTCTTAACAGCTTTTTTAATATGGACATCTGTTTCCAACAGTTACAGTCAACATAAAAGCAATGATTGATGCCCTAACAGGCATCTTCAGGGCCACTGAATATTTTGAGGAAAACAAGTATTTTCTTGATAATTTCATTATTGAAAGCATGAAACATTTAAAAGTCTTTCTTTAAAATAGAATCCTGGGAAGAAAAAAACTGATTCTAGACCAGGAAAACAATACTTGAGACTTCCTGATAGACGTTCAGAAATTTGGGGTGGGGTGGAGGAGGGGCCTTCAAAGACCTACAGGTTTATAAAAATCCTATTTCGGTAACATTCTGCAAGGGAAGAAAATCTGTTGGAACCTGGTGTCCCTAGCCCCAGCACAGTGTCTGATTCAATAAATAGCTATGGAGAAAATAAAGGAGTTTCAGGTAACCAAAGACAGATAGCCTCAGGAGAAAGTCACGAAACTCTTTTAACAAAAAATGTGAAGATTTACACTCCAAAAGTATGTCTTAAATGTTTTATGCCCAATTATCTTTTTCCACATAAAATTTAACGACCATTCCTTATTTTCCAGCTTTTTCCTGAAATTCTGTTTAAGCTATTAGATATCTGAACTGGCACACAAGAATCCAAGTTGAAAGTATACACGTTCACCTCCTGCAAAGTTCAACACACCAACCAAACACACCAGCTCTATCCCACCTCTTGCTCCTCAGAGTTCAAGTATAAAAACGTGCTCATTTACGCCAGGCGCAGTGGCTCATGCCTATAAACCCAGCACTTCGGTAGGCTGAGGTGGGAGGATTGCTTGAGTCCCGGAGTTCGAGACCAGCCTGGACAACATGGCAAAAAAATGTCTATGAAAAAAATACAAAAATTAGCCAGGTGTGGTGGCAGGCGCCTGTAGTCCAAGCTACTCAGTAGGCTGAGGTGGGAGGATCACCTGAGCCCAGGGAGGCCAAGGCTTCAGTGAGCCATGATTGGGCCACTGCACTCCAGCCTAGGCAACACAGTGAGACTCTGTCACAAAAAAAAAAAAAAAAAAAGTACTCACTTAAAAACCAATTCACTTTTTTTTTTTTTTTTTTTTTTTTTGAGACTGAGTCTCACTCTGTTGCCCAGGCTGGAGTGCAGTAATGTGATCTTCGCTCACTGCCTCCACCTCCCGGGTTCAAGCTATTCTCCTGCCCCAGCCTCCTGAGTAGGTGAGATCACAGGCGCACACCACCATGCCCAAATAATTTTTGTATTTTTAGTAGAGACATGGTCTCACCATATTGACCAGGCTAGTCTTGAACTCCTGACCTCAAGTGTTCTGCCTGCCTCAGCCTCCCAAAGCGCTGGGATTACAGGGGTGAGCCACCATGTCTGGTCTAATTTTTGTATTTTTAGTAGAGACGGGGTTTCACCATGTTGGCCAGGTTGGTCTCAAACTCCTGGCCTCAAGTGGTCCACCCGCCTCAGCCTCCCAAAGTGCTGGGATTACAGGTATGAGCTATTGTGCCAGGCCAAACACCAATTCAACTAAACAAATAAATTTATATCCCCCAAGAGGGTCATCCCTATCATCTTTTTGCCTCCATTTAGAAATGAGCTGGGTATCAACTTTCTTCTTTTAAAAA